>NC_000003.12:42737272-43040303 GCF_000001405.40 Homo sapiens | reverse complement strand
CTATATACTTATGGAAATTGGCTCTATTAAAGGTAGCCTTTCAAGTTGAGGGAAAGATTGATTATTCAACAAATGTCACTGAGACATTTGGGTTGCCATCTGAAAAAAAAATAGTTGTTTTATACCTTATCCCTTACTCCAAAATAACTTCCAGATGGATCAAAGATATATCAAAAACAGGAGAGAATTTTAAAAATAACGCTGAAATGAGAATAGCCTTTTAAAATATAACACACGAACGTAAAAATCAGAGAAAATCCTGGTCATTTTAACAATGTACATTTTTAAAACTTTCTGCACTGCAAAAAGACTATAAACAAAGCTTAATTACAATTGAATCTAAGGGAAATATTATATACTACAATGGAAAACAAAGGGCTAAGTTCCTTAATCTGTAAAAAGCTCTTAAAATCATTAAGAAAAAGACCAACAACCCAACAGAAAATAGGGCAAAGAACATGGATGGAGCTGGAGGCCATAATCCTAAGCAAACTAACTCAGGAACAGAAAACCAAATACCACATGTTCTCACTTATAAGTGGGAGCTAAACACTGAATACACATGGACACAAAGAAAGGAATCACAGGGGCCACACAAAGAAGGAACAACAGTCACAGGGGCCTACTTGAAGGTGGAGGGAGAGGATCGAAAAACTACCTATCGAGTCCTATGCTTATAACCTGGGTGACAAAATCATCTGTACACTAGACACCCATGACACAAAATTTACCTGTATAACAAACCTGCACATGTACCCCTGAACATACAAGTTTAAAAAATACATAAATAAAACCTACCTAGGCTAGGCACAGTGGCTCATGCCTGTAATTCCAGCACTTTGGGAAGCCGAAGCAGGCGGATCACCTGTGGTCAGGAGTTCAAGACCAGCCTGGCCAAAATGGCAAAACCGTGTCTCTACTAAAAATACAAAAATGAGCCAGGTGTGGTGGTGGGTGCCTGTAATCACAGCTACTCAGGAGGCTGAGGCAGGAGAATCACTTGAACCCGGGAGGTGGAGGTTGCAATGAGCCAAGATTGCGCCATTGTACTCCAGCCTGGGCGACAGAGTCAGACTCCATCTCAAAAAAAAAAAAAAACCAAAAAAAAAAACTACCTGGTGGCAGATTGTGCTGGTAGCAAGAAAAATAGATGTTTAAAAAAAGAGAAGAAAATGGGGCAAAGAATATGGATAGTATTTTTGTCTTTTGTTTTAAAATGCTTTTAAACAGAGGCAGGACTAAGATGAAACCAAAAAAAAAAAAAAGTCAAAAGAGGTACTTTCTTTTTTTTTATACTAAAAGAATAAAGATGTTTATTAAGCATTGTAAGTTGCATTCAATAGCCTTCAGATACACCACACCACAATCCATCGACAGTCAATCAAACCCAACAGCAGTTCATTCTTGCACAATCCATGTGTCAGGGCCGAACTCCCTTCAACTTACAGTAAGATCCTACTTAGTCCTCGTGGGCAGGGGTTGGGGAATTACACCTCACTTCTGATCACTAATGTGATGAAGAGCATCAGAAGTATATAAAAATGATAAGAAGTGATTCTGATTTCAAAGTACATTGTTTGGAAACATTAACAAAAACATCAAAATGATAGAAGTATACCTGCTTCTACTAAATTCTTGATGGGAAAGTTCTCAAGAACAAGCAATTTGTTTCCTGCTACAGAATGGGGGATTTTTTTTTTTTAAAGATCAAAGAGTTTTTTTTCGCAGAATTTCATATTTGCTAATATGAAAGCATAAAACAGCAACAAAGAACAATAATGCATAAAGCAGTGAATACACCAGTGTAATGTTGATATTCGAAACGGCTAGATAATTTTTGGGGGGCTTTAGAATAAATGCAACAGAGGTCAATAATCATACAATTTCAAGGTTAGCGCAATATCAGTCAATGACTAAACAGAATTAACATCTTTTCTAGGACTATTACTGATTATTAGTATTTTTGTTTTGCAAATGGGCACATACTGATAAGAATGGAAGAAAGGATGATAACATGCACAATATTAACCACACACTTCAAAAATTACGAACCATGCAGAAGTTTAGCTCAAGTAGTAGTATTAAAGGTCTACATCCGATTCAAAACCACATAGTTCATTGATCACAGATGCATGGTGTGAGTCACGAAAAGTTTCAGAACACATTGTGTTGATTTTGAAAGGTCATTTGCATCTTCTATGATTTCAACTTTATCTCCATTTAACCTGCTCGTAAAGTACGTATGATGTATATTTAAAATCAGCAGAACGGCAATATTACTCTATAATTTTTTAGTTTTGATAGTTGCACTTTTTTTTAACACAAAAGAACCACATCAACAGTGATGAAATTTAAGAAAGAAAAACTGTGGTTGTTCCTTATTTCTTTCATAATCATAAAAATCAAAGTCTTAAAGAAAGCTTCATTGTGAAACAGTAATGCAAAATCAAATATAATGGCATACATATGGTGCCAAATGCTACAAATTATATTTTAAGCTATATATACTTAAAGACTGCCAAAATTTGTTTTCTTTATACTTCAAGAAACACAACTATAGGCTTTTGTCATAACCAGTTTAAAGCTTATGTGTACTTCATTTTAAGAGTGGGAGTCAAATGCTCTTCATTTTCTTTCTCTTTTTTGTTTTATTGTAGCATTTTGACTATAACTGGTTAAAATTAAAAATGTATCATTTAAATCTCTGATATCAAAGAGGGATCTGAATTTCCAAAGTCCTCATTTTTCTCTTACAGAAAGGACAAAATGTACATAACTGCAGGTTCTTTCTCTCCAGATATTCCTAAATACCTTACCCTTCCAGCATCCTTCACTCTCTATAAAAAGTAAGTTTACTCTTCTTTATTTAAGACAGCTGCCTCCAGAGCAGCTTCTGTGTGGCAAGGGCTGTCTGTACTTAGTGCATTTCAATGAGGATTTGTATTGCACATTTTAGAGTCATTATTCAAGGCACTTTCAGAGTGGCTGGGAGCCCTGTCATCACCTGGGGTCCCGTTCATCTGGGGAGTTGGCTTCTCCTCGGCCATCGCTCCATTTTCAGCCAGGGACCTGTCTGAAGACATAGCAGAGGACTTCGATCCCCCAGATTTTGACTTAGGTTCTTTGGCCACTTCTTCCACTGAAGCAGCATAAGGAGGTCTGCCCTGAATCGCTGCCTGGTTTGAGGTACTGACTTTTAGTGTTGTGCAATCGCAGGGTCAGCACCCAAGAGTGAGCATGCTCTTAATTTTTCACACCTTGGAAACCACCCTTGCCTCATGTGTTAGTCTTCTATTGCTGTGTAATAAATTACCATGAACTCAGTGGCTTAAAAGAACACATCTATGATTTCACAGTTTCTGTGGGTCAGGAGCCTATTACAGTTTTGCTAGGTTCTCAGCTCAGGGTTTCCCCAGGCTACAATCAAGGTATGGACCAGGGCTGGATCTCACTCTAGCTCAGGGTCCTCTCTTAAGCTGTTCAGGTTGCCAGCTGACACCATCGCTTGCAGTCGGAGGGCTGAGGTCCTCAGGGTTGCTAGGGTCCTCCTAGATGTCTCTTCTCCCCACAGGCAGTTCATAACGTGGCTGTTTACTTTTTTCCTTTTTTTCCACCTCAGTTGAATCCAATTGACCCACAGATCCTGGAGCAAGAATAAAGAGCTGGTGTTTTAAGCCACTGAGTTTTGGAGGTTTGTTACACAGTGTTATTTCAGCAATCACTAACTAATACAGAGTGTTATATGGGATTTGTGAAGCACAGGTATGCTTTATGGGGTGTATAAGAGATGTGCATGTGTGCGGTGCTTGTGTTTTGTGCCTACATAAATGGGATGTGGTGATGTACACAGAAAAACAAGGGTTTATACAGGGTAAAACCAAAGGAGCAAGCAGACCTACTCAAGAGTGGGCTGTATGCAGTTTGTACCCAGGCCCTGGTCAGAAGGTTCCTGTGCAGGAAAACCCACGTTCTACAGCCCTGCCTCTCTCTGCCTTGCCAATGGTTTCTAAGAAGGTGGCATTAGCCAGACGGGGGGTGCTTGACTTGACTGGCATTCAGCAAACCAGGGAAGAGGTGGCATGAGCCCAGCCGAGTCATGTCTGCCCATATAACCAACCTGTGTATGCTTTGGCTACAGAGACTTGTCCCCACAGCAGGGGTTGGCAGCTGAGGAAGAGTCCCACGCTGCAACCCTGAGAGGTGAACAGAGGGGCTCTGTGTGGAGCAGAGAGCAGCTGCAAGCACATCAGCTGGACTGGGGCTTTGCAAGGAGCTGTGCCTCAGAGATCAAGGCCCCAGGACACCCCTACAGGCATCCCCTTTTCCTGCCCTCGTTCATGGACAGCTGAATGACTGTGATTCAGAGAGTGAGCTCTAGAGTCAGACCATCCAGGCTGCTTCTCAGCCCACAAGCTGCCACCTTGGGCAAGTAACCTAATTTCTCTGGGCCTCAATTTCTCAACTTTAAAATAGGATTAAATGTAGTATCTCACTCATAGGTTGCCATGAAGAGTGGATGAGTTAATTCCTGTAAAGTGGGATGGTACCTGCTTCTTACTGAGTATGTGCCACCCGCCAGGCACTGTACTAAGTACATTACATGAATGACCTTGCATCCAGAAACTATGCGTGATCAATGTTATTATCTGACGAAGGCTGGGATCCCCAGAGGACAGACCAGAATTCAACTGAGAGCAGTTTACTTGTGTGCTAACTCCAAGAAACACAAGTAGAGTGGGGGAAGAGAGACAGCAATTACCACTGTGAATAACTGGGCTCCAATCCTGCTAATTTAACTGAGAGGTGTGTAGAATACGCATACAGGGCATCTATACACCTACTCTCCTCAGTCACAGTTGCAGGCTGCTCCTGGGGGCAACATGACCAACCTTCCTTGTTTGCCCACAACTGTCCCAGCTTCAGCACTGAAAGTCCTATGATCTGGGAAACCCCTCCTTCCCAACCTGCATGGTTGGCCACACTACCTGGAGGGTACTCATTCCCCAGCACTTCCAGTGCAGCAAGCAGAGCAAACCTGCAGATGCAGGTGCCAGCAGCCAGGAGCTACCATGTACTAAATGGTCAGGCTCAAGGGGATGAGGTTGGGGTGCACAACCCCATTTTGGGGTGAGAAAAGTAGAGCTGAGAGAGGCTAGGTAATCTGCCCAGGGGTACACAGTGGGAAGTGGCCTGGGGGTGGGAGTTCAAACCCAGGTTGGTCTGATGCCAAGGCCCATGCTCTTGATCATCAGGGTCCATAGCTCCTCCTTCCACAAAGCAGCCACGGGGACATAGATTGGAGGAGCTGGGAGGACGACAGGAGATCAGCTAGTCCCGTGACTGGAAACAGACTTATCTGCAGGCAGACTGGGGTAACATTCAAGAGGCCGGGAGGACAGTAGGTGAGTGTCGGACAATAAAGAGGTAGAGCCTGTGGCCAAAAGGAGAGTATGGCAACCTCCAAAGGGGGCAGCAGATGCTCAGCTCAGGCTGCTTCCTGCTATATGGGAATGAAGGACCAGTATTACTAAACCATCCAATTTTTCAAGGGAAGCTGGGTTTTTATGGTAAATCTCTGAAGTATTACATATTATCTAAGAATTTTCTAAAATAGAAACCCAACCCCATGTGGACGAAACACCACATATTGGTCCACTCACCTCTGCAGGTAACCCTAAGGGCTGACATTGAGGACCCTTTTCTTCAACAGGGGTCTCTATAGAAATGGGGGCTGGTTCCATGTCCATTTGGTGCACACATCCACCCTCACTGAGCTTTATCTGTTTTTTGTCTTTGTTTCTGTCTGGCCATGTTTCCACACATGTGTATCTATGGCTGAGGTCCAGCTCATGGGCACCGGAACAGCCACACTGGTTGTTAACAGACAAGTTAGTAAATAGCTGGTGCCTGTAGTCCCCCAGTCAGCCCGTGTACCCTGACAACACAACCCCTTCCCTGGGATTCCCACACTACCCCTCGATCCAGCAACTCCAGGGTTAACTCCTGACAGTTCAGGGACCTCAGCCAGCACAGTTCCTTCTCATTCTTCAGTGCCCAAGCATCCTCACTTTCTCCCTTCCTCTCCCATTCTCTCCATCGCTATCTCCACCTCTCCCTCTCTCTTTTTTAAAAATGATACAACCATCTTGAATCCTTGTTGAGTCAAAGACGTAAAGTTATAAACAGTGGTATGCTGATAAATGTTCAACAATCAGCTCTCCAGGAGTAGAGGGGAGTCCTGATTTGTAGCATTTGCTGCTTTCCATGGTGTAAACAGATATTCACACCCTGACGGATTTCAAGCTACCAACATGACCAAATGTGGAGTTGTCAAGAGATGTGCAGTGGCACACCATTAGCTAGCATTTATTATATAGTCACGAAGCTGCAAAAGCACAGATTATAGTAATATAATTAGGAAATAATGCATTCTGAGTAGTTATTACCTTTGTTTCTAATATAATTTATTGTTTCTACAACTTAATTTTTTAATAATGCCTGTGTTTCACAACTAGGTCACAAAATTCCTGAAAATTATAGCCATCAGCTCTTGTGAGCTGATGAGCTGGCTCCAGTAACCACTGGATAAATAAACAGAGGCAGGAAAATTACAAAAGCAGGTGCTTGGTGGTCAAAAAACCAAGACTTGGGGGAGAGTCACCATCTAACCTCAGGTGGGCAATTCAGGCCTCTCCACCCAGAACCCCCTACCTCCGCAGCTCTCTACCCCTGCTGCCCAACCCCACCTACCTGCAACAGGAAGTCGAAGAGCGCCAGGCGTGCCCACTCGGTATGGTGGATGCCCGGGCACGGGGCCTGGCCTGGCCAGTTGCAGCTGTGTGCCAGCAGGGCCTGATACTGCAGCCAGCCCAAGGCCAGAGAGTTCTGATCCTCATCTGGGTCGCTCAGGTGCTGCACATCGGGTGCCCACCAGATGACAGGCCTTGCTCCACCGTCTGTGTATCGGTAGGGCAGGAGGGGGCTATGGAAGCGGCGGGCCACAGCAGGTAGGCTCCGGCGCAGCCCCAGCACACGATCTACGTGGAAGGACAGGACCTCAGGCAGGTCCCCAGGCCTCTTGATCAGGCCACAGAGCCCTTGGGAACAGAGTTGGCTGAGCCTGGGAGAGGACAGGTCCTGAAGGGCAGCCTCAGTGGAGAAGCCAACCTGTAGCACCTGCCCATGGGCGGGGACCCTGGCTTTGTCCACCACCTCCCCCTGTGCCAACAGACGGAGCATCTGCACATCGTGGTCTGTCAGCCATGGGGGAGCCTGCCCACCAGTCCTCGAGCTGCTCAACAGCGTCTCAGCATCACACCATACTGACCCTTGCAGCTTCTCAACAGAGCCAGGCCACTGATGAGCTCCTGAGGCCAAGGTGGGATCCTCTGCTTGTTGCCCACCAGTCAAGGCTCTGTTCTCAGCTCCCAGCAGATCCCTGCCTTCTGCTGTATGGGGCCAGAGTGTCAGCCCAGAAGTAGCTCTCCAAGCCGGTAAAGCTGCCATGTCACTCCCTGGGAGTGGACTGACCAGGGTGACCACCTCACTCTGTGTCTCCTGGATGGGACTGCCATGCTGGGGGTGGCCCAGGTCTTTGGTTCCTGGATCTCCAACCTCATCCTCCCTCAGGAGCACAACATGCTGAGTACTGAGTCTTGGATGTCCTGACAAAGTAATGTCCCTCCTCACCCTCCCTGGATGCCTGAGGTCCCCTCCTGGGGACTCCCTGCTTCTGTCCACTCTTGCTCTATGGCCTTGCTCCTCAGCACAGACCAAGATGGAGTTCCTGGGCAAAGCACGGCTTCTCCAGAAGCCCATGTTTCTTGCCCGCTGCCTCCGGCTGGAGCTCAAAGCCTGCCGGATATGGGTTGCAGGGGCGCCAGTTACCCCCTGAGGCTCCATGGGACCAGGGTCTGGGCCGGCGGATGGACGCTGTGGGGGAAAGCGGGTGACAGCCATCGCAGATAGGATCATCAAGAGGCAGAACGCTATCACTGGCCGCCTCTTGCCACGCAGCTTTCTCCGGAGCCAAGACGCCTGAGAGACAGGGTAGAAAGAAAAGCTTGAGATCTGGGAAATACATCAGCTCAACCCACAAAACAATGGGGATGGTAAGCAAATGAGGTGCTCAGTTCATGAGAGAAAGAGAAGAGCACAGCCCAAGTGGAGGGACAGCTGGCTGCCTTCAAGAAAGGAAATGTCAACTCCAGCCAACTATGCTCCTGTTTTCAAGCTTGGCTTGCTTTTCCTTCTAGGGCAGCCTCTGCTGAGGCCTGCAGACCCATGCTCTTCTGTCTTATTCTCCCTTTGAATAAACTGCCATTACAACACTGTCACCATGCAACATAAGGGGCTTTTCTCACGTCTGTCCCCATCACCAAGAGCTGACCTTCTCTTTTTGTCTCCATGTGATCCCATGGGCCCATTCTGGCAGATCTCTTGATGTCCCCACACACATGCCCTTACCCTTTGCCAGAGCACATGGCCACCCAGTTAGAGATGACTTTGCCAGCCTCCTTAGCAACAGGGTGTGACCATGTGACCAAGTCCCTGACTATGTCATGAGAGCCAACCACTTTTGCCAGCCCCACATGCTTAAAAGGAAGTTAGCCACCCTGGCCTTTCTCTCTTGCCGTCCCTGCCGGTTGCACACAGATGTGGCAGCAACAGCTCTGCACATGTTAGCAAGGACACACCCTAGGGGCAGTGATTTCTCAACATGCAGTCCTTGGATTACGTTCAGGTCTTAGTTATTCAGTTAAATATATTCTATGCACACTTCAGTCAACTCTTGGTTGACTGAAGTTCACGTGGGACCAGCAGTATCAGTATCACCTGGGGACTTGTCAGAAATGCAAATTCTCAGGGCCCCACACCAGAATTCCGGAATCAGAAACAGGGGCTGGGCAGCCTGTGTTTTAAGAAGTACTCTGGGTAATTCTGATGTGGGCTTAAGCTTGAGAGCCACTGCTCTAGGGCATCATGAGCCACAAAAGGGAAGGAACGCAGTGTCTGGAGCAGTGCAAGCCTGCAGTTGGGAGTCTCTGTACCTGTGAGCCTTTATGTGACAGACCTACAGGCAGAGCCCTGGTACATAATGGGAATCAACAGATACGTGACTGACAAAATGAATGGACAATCTAGTCCAAATCACAAAAAAACTCCCCAAATTAAGTTTACTTACTAAATCCACCAGATATTCCTTAGAGATTTTTGATACTATATGCAGTGTGAGGCAATTTGCTGGAATGCACAGAAAAGGCACACGGGTAAACAGAATTTTAAAGGTGTCAAAGAAACAACACCCACAAAACAAACCAGATCCCACTTTTTTCCCCGCATGTGCTTGCTCTTCTGAGAAGCTCCCCTGTGGGTGTCAAAAGGGGATTATCCGGGATCTGCAGTGGACATGTAGGTGAAGTCCATCCTCAGTAGCCCCCTGCTTTCTCTCAAAAGTACCACCTCTATCCCCCACAATCCACCCGAGCCATATCTATCCAGGGACCCCGACCCATGACCTAAGCTGATGGGGCCATCCTGGATCCTGACCCATGCTGGGCCAACAGATTCTCACCCCCAACCCCAGCCCTGGGAGCATGGGCTTGTGATAAATCAGCAAGGCTGACTTGTCCTGCTCATGAAATAGAGAGCAGGGGCCCATTGCCACCCAGCCAAAGATGACAGCAGTGGGCCATACTCTGTTGAGAGCCAGTCTGCAGGGAGAGAGAAGGAAACCGTTGCATAGACAAACCAGAGATGAAAACAGGAGGAAAGGCCTTGCCCAGCATCCTGCACTGCAGTTCCAATTCTGAGCCTGGCCCAGGAACAGCAGTAGCCACCGCCTGGGGCTCTTCGGGACTGCGCAGCATCCACGAAACCCATTCTCACTCTACACTTGAGCTGTGGGTCGTGGGTACTCCTGCTACATGCAGCCAAAAAGGCCTAATCCAGGTCATCTCTGAGTTCCCTTTCCTCTACAATTAAAAGAGCATTTCCTGGCTGGGCGCGGTCGCTCATGCCTGTAATCCCAGCACTTTGGGAGGCCAAGGTGGGTGGATCACTTGAGGTCAGGAGTTTGAGACGAACCTGGCCAACATGGCGAAACTTTGTCTCTACTAAAAATACAAAAAAGTAGCTGGGCGTGGTGGCGCATGCGTGTAATCCTAGCTACTTGGGAGAATCACTTGAACCTGGCAGGAGAACCGCTTGAACCCGGGAGGTGGAGGTTGCAGTGAGCCAAAATTGCACCATTGCACTCCAGCCTGGGTGACAGCAGCAAAACTCCATCTCAAAAAAATAAAATCACAAAAGAGTCTTTCCTCCTTCAGTACCCATTTGACCTTCCCCTTCCTTCCAACGGCATGGCCTGGAGGAATGCCGCCCCTCATGAATTTCCTAATTTGTCTGTGTTTTCAGTCCCTTCTAAGTCAGTGGCAGTTTCTGCAGGAACCGAACACATTTCTCAGCACCGTAAACATCAGAAAATAATCAAAAGGAAGTGGAAATGGGAAATCTCAGTTACAGCCCAGCTGTAAAAAGTGCCCATGGCTCCCTCCTACCTCCAGTTCCTCTACATTGGTTCTCTCCCTGTCCTAACCCCTTCTGCCTCCTGGACATGAGGCCAGCATCTCCCTCTTAGCACCTCCATGAGTGGTGCACTGATGTCTCTTGGCCCCACTTTTGCCAAACACCTCAGCTGCAGGAAGCCAGTGTGTGGATCCCACTCTCTGGACCAGCTCCCTCATCTACAAGGGGTTGGGTTGGATGAAATAGCCTTTGAGGCCTCACTTCCCCCAATACCCAGTGATTCTAGCTCTTGGTGGACAGTGGAGGTGGACTGACTCAGCTGTGGGCTCCCCTGAACCTCCTCCTCCTGTCCATGTCAAGCACCTGTAGCAGAACACAGCTGCACAAGAGGACGCACACACCACCATTGCCCAGTAAGTCAGTGTAGGCCCTGGAGGGTGGCTTTCAAAGAAGAGGGTTGAAATGAGGGTTTTCTGCCCCTGCCCAGTCACCACCGGGAGACACAATCACTCCCCTTGGCCTGAACAGTGAGACCATGATAACCAAAGCCTCCCTTGCAGCTCTGAGCTGATCCCCCAAGACTCAGTGGGACATGCCAATACAAGGCGACTCAGGGCCAATGGATACTTTCCATCCACCTGAAGCTGCTGCTGGAGGGACCACTTAAGCTCACCTTCCCTCCCCCATACCTGGAGGGGAGGAGACAGTAGAGAAAATCCCCTCTGGCCTCTGGCACCCACGTGCTAAAATATCTTCCCCCCTCACCTGACACCCCATGCATTAATGCTTCTGTGAAGCCAGCAGGTGAGCCTATATGTCCCAGGGCCACAAAGCCCTGCTTGGACACCCTGCTTAAGAAGGGGTGGGGTGGTGACCAGCAAGCAGAAGGGGTGGGGCGGGGACCAGCAAGCTAAATAAACAGTGGGGAAATCAGGTGAGTCATGCTTCTGATGTCCCCCTCACTTCAGCCAGGGCCTCCAGGGCCACAGGGCAGGGAGACAAAGCCTAGAGAATATTTTCCTTGTAAGTTGTGTGGTCCTCTAGACAACCTGTGCTCCCCAAACCTGGACTGCATCTGGAATCTCTCGCCTGCTTACCAGAGATGGGACAGAACAATGGTTCTTAAACTTGCTCTGGGGATTCCTTCATGTTCTCCCATGGGGTGGGGGGTTAGGAGATGACTCTGTGTGCTCTGCACTTGCCACCCCCACCCACACACACATACACTTCCACCAAGAGAGCTCTGTGTTCTTTCATTAGGTGGGTTTAGCTAATTTACATTACTTGATATGCCATACATATTTAGTCTTAGTTCTGTTGTAATATTTTATGGTATATTTTCTGTATTGTAAATTCAAAATAAAATTCTAAGCCCCCTGACCATCTGAATGGACCCCTCCTTTTGGCCAAGGGCCTTCCAAAGTTAACCTGAAAAACTGGTTCAGGCCATGATGGGAAGAGGAAGCCAGACATGCCTCATTATACCGTCCTCCCTTTTGAAATTTAGGCCCAGCTGACCAGCATTGACATCAACACAGACCTTAAGACTGTTAGAACAGCCTCTTTATGTCTGATAAGAAACATTTACAGTCTATTTCCTCAAGCCAGCTACCTAGAGGCTCCAACTGCATGATAAAGCCTTGGTCTCCACAAGCCCTTATCTTAACCCAGACATTCCTTTCTATTGATTCTAAGTCTTTAGACAATAACTTAACTCTTTCAATCAATTACCAATCAGAGAATCTTTGAATCTACCTATGACCCAGGAACCCCTGCTTCCAGTTGTCCTTCCTTTCTGGACCAAAGCAATGTACCTCTTAAATGTATTGATTGATGTCTTATGTCTCCTTAAAATGTATAAAACCAAGTTGTAGTCTGATCACCTGTTCTCAGGATCTCCTGAGGGCTGTGTCACAGGCCATTGGTCACTCATATTTGGCTCAGAATAAATCTCTTCAAATATTTTACAGTTTGACCTTTTCATCAACAATATTTATAATATTTGAAGTCTTGTACTATGTTTTCTTTTCTCTTACTTTTACTTTGTCTTTTGGTGTATATTTCTTATAATATTTAGGAAATTTTGATTTGGGTCCTAATTATTACCTTTATTATTGTATGCCCTTAATTGTCTGGTTCTTTAGACTGTAGCTCTTAATCCCCTAAAAAGAACAATATTAAAATTATTTCCTCTTCCCCCTCCTTGCCCTCCCTTTCCTCTACCATTCAATTTTCATAACTAGTATTATCTTTTTAAATGTTTATCTTTGTACAATTAAATGTGTTTACATTTCTATATATTTCTCAGCTTTAAATGATATTCTTTAGTTCTCTGCTATTATTAATGAAATAAACAGCATATTAATTCTTTCTCCCACCTTTTGCCTTCATCCCCCATCCAATTGTTTATATTTGTGTCATACGCATTGGTACAATAGGAAGCGTATACATTCGATTCCATCTCTCTAATACCCACATTTGTTCAGGTCTTAGTTATTCAGTTAATATATTGTATGCACACTCTTGTCCCTTTGGACCCAGTTTCCCATTATTTCTTGGTTGACTGAAATTCACATGGGAACAATATTCTCTGATTTCTTGCATGTTCCAACTGTTTTCTACAGCATTCATACATGAAGTAAAGTTGCCTACATAGAAAATACTTGGCTTACAGTTTCTTTCTTTGAATAGCTTATGGGTTCTGCTCCACTGTTTTGTAAGGTTAAGGGAAATCTAAGATTGAACTGATTTTTTACCCTGCCTGGCTGCCCTAAGAATTCTTTCTTTTTCTTTAACATCCAGTAACATTCCTAAGATCTATCAGTGTTGACTGTTTCGGGTCAGCTTTTCTTGGCGTGCAATATGCCCTATTAGAAAAGGTAAACACAAGTCTTTTTATTTCATGAGAATTTTCTTGAGCTAAATATTAAATATTTCTTCCATTCCATGACTTTATTTTACTTTTTTCTTTAGGCTCTTCAATTATGTACACGGTGGCTCTCCTTTATCTTCCTTATATGTTTCTTACCTTCTCTTTAATCCTTTCTAACTATTTTCATTTCATTTTGTTCACTGTTCTTGTTTTTATACTCTATTTGACTTACTGTGTTTTACCTAATATTTATTCACCCTTTCTGTTATTTTCCACTTTTCCCTACTTCTTTCCAGCTCATATTTCACATCTTTCCATTTTACCATTTTTTCTTGAGTTCTTGCATTTCTGCTTTGTGGTATTTATTCACAGAGGGTACTTTAAGTTTTAAAAATTCATTGTGATAAGATTGCTCAAAATTCCACTGTCTCCAGGTAATATTTTCAGGTGGCCAGCCCTCATCTGTTAAGAAACATTGCTGTTCTTTGTCTCCTTTTTTCTCACAGTATCTCTGCATAGATGCTGGACTGTTTTTATTGTATGAGTTGGACCAGTCAATTGAAAGAGGTTCCTGTAGAACCCCGGTGGAATTTGAAATCAACCGGTTTTCATGATGCAGATGCTTTCTTCTTCTCATCTACCCCATGACCAGGCTGCATCCTGCAAATATGGCTTGTTGGCATGGCTCTTTATGTATCACAGTGTCCTCTGCTTTTCTAATCCCAATAGTCCAGCTGGATCCTCTGAGCCACTAAACTTGCCCCCATCCCATTTCCACACCCTCTTTTGCAGACAAGCGGGGGATGGTGATTCTGCTCCTCAGGTGTGTCACTCACCTTCCGGCATATTTCATTGGTGCTTTCTGAGATCTGCCAACTTGGGCTCCCTCTTCCACTCTTTCTCACTTCCTCCAACACTGCACCTGCATGAAACTGGCTGCTTCTTACGCTGTTCCCAAGTATTTTGGTGACTGCCTCCTAATTTATCTGAAAAAGGAATTTGCATTTTGTCTTCCATCTTCTTTGTTACTTTCTGCTAGTTCCAGGGTAAGGTGAGGATGCAGAGTTTATGCTGCCGTGTTTACACCAGCAGTCCTCAATGGTACTTTTTTAAGAAGAAAGGAGTGTGCCCTTACCGAATGCAGTGACTAATCAGCCCTCAGAGCAACGACCTTTTTCCAACTTCCGTGCTCAGGAGCCACAGCACCCAAACAGACCTGAGAATTCCAAGAATTTTGTTCCTGCTGCACACTTCCACAAGATTTATTCACCAGCTTTGTGTGAATCGAGTGCAGCCTCCAGGCTGATCACTTAGCCGCATTCTTCTGGAAAGACCACCCTTGAAGCCCTTTGGAGTGACATGGACCAGGAAGTGAGGTGATCCACCTATCCCAGTTAGACTTCTAAGAGTGAAGGAGAGAGGGAGGGACCACAGGGTCACCTAGCAGTTCTCCACTTTCTAATTTATTCACCATCTCATCCTCTCTCCTATGGATTCCCATCCTTCTGTTTCCAATCTGGCTAAAAGGTAGCACTGTCCACCCAGATACCCAAGCCAGAAATCTGGGCCTGACCTTCATTCCACCTTTCCTCTGCCCCATACATCTAAGTCTTGCAAATTTTTCCTCCTAAACAGCTCTTGAACCAATCCGTTTCTCATTAGACCCTCTGTGACTGAGCCCAGGCACCCTCTTCTTTACCAGGACACGTGCAACAGCCCCCTTTGCTCCCACTCCTGCTCCTCTGCAGGCCACTTGCCACAAACTGGATCATATCCTTCAAAGTCTCCTTAGAGAACACCTAAATGCCGGAAGTGCTCTAGCCATGCTAAACTTCTTTCAATTCTGGACAGTGCCAGACCCACTCTGTCTCCACACCTTTATATGTGTTGATCCTTCTGCCTGAAATAGACCCCTCCTCCTGTTTCCATTGCTCAGGTCTCAGCTTAGACACCACCTCCCCCAGGAAGCCTTCCCCTGAGACTCCTCAATGAATTGGATGTCCTCGCCGTGTGCTCCCATAACACACTGTTCCTTCCCAAGCACACCCCTTTTCACTCTGTACTGGATTTGATCATTTAATGTCTGTCGCTCAATGGATGGGTTGATCCATGCAGGCAGGACATGGGCTCACAATTGCATCTCCAGACTATCACAGTGCCTGGCACGTGAGAAGCTCTCTGCAAAATGAGCTGTCAGATAAGAGGGGTTATCAGGGAGGTGGAAACACTGTTCCCTGGCCTGTGGCACTGCACGTCTGCTGGTGAAGAGGGCTCCTCCAATCTCCAAGGCTCTTTTCTGTTTGGAAAGCCAGCCACCCCCACCCACTACCCAACACAGCAGATGCTTTTTGTGCCCCATTATTTTAAAATGTACCCAGAGTTTGTTTCAAGCAAACACTGCACCTGCAGTGTTTGGTAAGACACAGAGACACAAAAATAATTGCCATGAAATAAGTTTTTGATATATTCACAGTCAGCTAGAAACAGGAAGTACGGCATGCCACACAGGGCCACAGGAGCTGAGATGGGCAGGCAAATTGCGAGAGCAAATGCAGCTGAAGCCTTTACTGTGGTTTTCACAGTACGGAATGAGCAAAGAAAGTTAAGCTAACTGAAATTGAATAATTTCAGCAGGCTCTGGGCTATAGGTGATAGAGCAGAGGACAGACAGAAAGCTGATAAAAGAAGATGGGTGATATAGACTCAGAATTGGTTGGTTTGCACACGAAAGGTATGCTCACAGGCCAGTTGATTACTCTCTCTTCTTAAGAATTAGCTAACCCTCGGAGGGGCAGTCCTTCCCTAAGTCCACAAGGCACCAGACACCAGAGCATAAAAAACCAGAAAATAAGAGAATATAGTGAACACACCCACGTTATGTCCCCGTGGCCCCCGATTGACTCCAGCTGCCCCCACAGCAGACAATCCTCCTGTGTACTGCCGGTCCCCACCTCAAGGACCTGATCACTCCTGCTTTCTTGCCTGCTGTGCCAGGAAGCTCAGGGGAAATTAACACATCTGGTGACAGCCCTCAAGCAATAAGGGACAAAAGTCAGTGGGTAAATAAGCCAATCTCCCTCTTGAGAGGCATTCAATATCATTGCAACTAACAGTGCTCAGTAGGTCTGAGCCTCTTTTCTATAAAACAAATGATGCCTTGTCACCCCCTAAGATACATTTATCTGATGATTTTTCTGAAGTGAGATCCTAAATTTCTGTCCCAATTAGATATGCTTTTAATTTGGTCTATATTGCTATTTTAGAAAACACACAGGTACTACATGCATAGATATGCACTGTTAAAAACCCATATACCAAATAAATCAGGGCAAAATCGAACATCTCCTTCTCCTCCCCAGAGGAAGCCACAGTTAGCAATTAGGGTGTGCATCTTCTCAGGCTGTTGCTTTTCTTTGCATTATAACATATGCATATGTCACAGTATATTAGTTTCCTGTAGCTGCCATAACAGATTACCACTGACTTGCTGGCTTAAAACAACATAAATGTATTCCCTCACAGTTCTGGAGGCCAGAAGTTCCACATCAGTTTCACCGGGTCAAAATCAAGGTGTCAGCAGGGCCGTGCTACCTCCAAAGGCTCTAGGGGAGAATCTGTTCCTTGCCTCTTCCAGCTTTTGGTGGCTGTCGGCATTCCTTGTCTTGTAGTCACATCACTCCAGTCTCCGCCTCCATGGTCTCCTCTTTTGTTTGTGTCAAATCTCCCTCTGCCTCTTACTTAGATGCATATTTGTGATGGCATTTAGGGTCCACCTGGGTAATCCACAGTAAGTTCCCCATCTCAAGATCCTAAATCAGATCTGCAAAGATCCTTTTTCTAAATGAGATAACATGCACAGCATTTGGGGATAATTTTTCAGCCTACTACACATGGTAATTATTTTCAGCATAAAGGAAATGACTATGCCACAACTTGCTTTGATTGACATAAGAGGCCCTGAAGCTTTTTCCGTATTTATCCATACAGAGGTGCTTTACTCTTTTTAACTGCTGCATAATATTTCACAATGTAAATGTGCCATGATTTCTTTACTCATCCTTCATCCTTTTTATTATAACAAACAATATTGCACTGAACATCCAATACATGCAGCTCTTGGAAAGAATCTAAAAATTTCTACAGAGGAGATGCCAAGAGAGGAAGTTGTTGGGCCCCACTCCTTCTCATTGCCCTTACCCTTTCATCATATATAAGTTACTATCTCCTTTAATCCTCACAACAACCTAGAGAAATGAGAATTATATAATTCCTATTTTACAACTGAGAAAACAGAAAGGTCCAGAGTGCCAATGTTTGCCCACGGCCATATAGCTGGCAAGAATACCAACATTTTAAACTAACACTGAAAGGGGAAATGGCCATGGACAAGTTGGCTTGGTTTTTTTTTTTTTCTTCTACAATGAAAAATGTGTTGAATTCCTAATATGTATTCTCAAAGTATTGGATACCACCAGGGTAAAATAAATCATCTTTTGCAAATGTTTCAAGAAGACAGACTGTTTTGATCCTTCTTTCAGCCTCACTTGGCTTCAGAAAACCTGGGGAAAGTTGGCAGTTGTGCAGTTGTGCAGAGAGAAAAGTTCAAAACGGCCATGAGCAGATGTCCCAGGGAGGGCCACCCAAGTAAAGCTTTGGGAAAAGAAAAGCAGCTTTGATCAGACTGAAAAAAAACATCATCTGAAGAGAAATATTCAGCTGAATAATAAAGAGTACATTAGAGAAAACATAAGGGGGATGATGCAGAATCTACTACAAAGTTTGCTGGTGAGACCCAAACTGACCCTGCCATTGCAGACATGCCGGGGGGCGGCCCCACCTCCTCCCCTCAATTCTAACCATCGAAATTACACACCCTGTCTTTTCTGCCCTGCAATGTTCATGGCAGGAGGGAAAGAGAAATGGAGTTACCTTCACTGTGTGGTTCTACAGCTACTCTCTTTCTCCTTCCTTGTCAAGCCCCTACCTCTCAACCCTTCACCAATACCCCTCCTTAATTCCTCAGAGAAGATGCCCATGGGCTTAACAGTCCCATCCACCCACAGTTGCGGAGAAGGAGCAGTGAAAACAGGGGGGTAGCTAGAGAAATAGACACACAGGTTTTGTTGAAGACACCTCTGAGTTCTGCTTCTGCCCTTCTGAGCTGCGTTACAATAGGCAAGTCACACAACCTCTCTGCCCTGTTTCCTCAGCTATAAAATGGGGAGAAAGAGATATCTTCTCCCTCCAGGAGTTGGCACAATAAATAAATGAGTCAAAGTATGTAAAAGGCCCACTACATGGTTGGGTATATTTACATGAGTGGTGGGATCCGGGATTTTCTGTCCCCACTTCTGGATACAGTCTACCTTTCAGGGGTCTGAAAATACTCCTCTTCCTGGGTTTTGGCTCATCGTAAAGTCAGAGTAAAAATGGGGATATTTGGGAGCATAACAGAAGGTAGAGACAGAAAGAGAAGCTCTTTCATTGTAAAACCACAAGCGTCAGCCAGGAGGAAGCCACCTGGGCAGTGAGAAAGTTCTCACTGTCTGCTGAAGCTGCCTCCCAAGATAACCAGGATGGAACAGGAAAGAATTTATTGGCCTTTTAAAATCACGTGGAAAGGTGAGGAGGGAAAGGGTGGGAGCCAGAAGGGAAGTATGTCAGGGAGTTAAAGGAGAAGACAGATTCTGACAAGAATGGGGTTGGGGCTGCCTAGCAATTGTGGGAAGGGAAGCCAGGAGAGTTCTGCCTGAAGGAGCCCAGCCCACTGAGAAGCTGGGGAACTGTGCGGGGCAGGGGACAGGAACCACCACCAAACTCCCTGCCATTGCCTCCACAAGGGTAGAAACAGCTCTCAACCGGGAAGTGCAGCTCTCAGCCATGAAGTTCTAACCATCAAGGGCAGTGTCCTTAATAGCATTATTTGTTTACAATTCTGGGTTCCCCACCTTACCATGGTTGCACTGCAGATGCAGTCTACTTCCCTGCCTACTCTGTGGCTTTGGCCATGTGACTTGCTTTTGCTACCAGGATATGAGTGGATATAACATACACCATGTCCTACTGGAGGCTTTAAATGTGTTTGTGTGGTTTGGCTTGCCTCCTTGCAAATCTGTCCTCACCGTGAGAAGAGCTTGCCCCAGGTGAAGCATCTGGAACAAACCTGAACTCAACCTCCAGCCTGGAGCCAACCCAGCCATGCTCACCAGGCCCAGCCTACCCAACTCCTATTACCAAAATATAGGCATATGTTTTGGTTAGCTATTGAGACTGAGGCTATTTGTTATGCAACATTATTGCAGCAAAACCCAACTAATACACACCTTTTGGTGGCATCTCTTGGGCTCAATGTGTGCCCTCGGTCAGATAACAGGCAGGCAGGTTAGCAATGAAGCCTAGCACCCCTCCCTCAGTTAATAAGAGTGTAGTGCTGTCTCTACAAATGGGGCTTAGGCTGTGATGAGGATGATGGTGCAACCCAGTCACAGACTTATCTCTTGAACCAGTTTCCCCAGTAAGATGGTATGGAGGGAGCCTTCTGTCAAATGGAGGTCTTTTAAGAAGGACTTTTCTGAAAACGTTGAATACAAATGGACTTTGCACAGAGACAGCTTGAGAAACAGGAACGCTTGGAGGAAAGGACCGTACTTAGAGTTTACAGTTCGTACTGTAATAGGCAGCAGGAGATTTTCCTCATTTCTGTAGGGAAAGGAACACTCTTCTTTGGGGAAATCCAATCAGGATCTTGCCTGACAGTTTGGCACTAGATCTCCACTCCCCAGACTGCCTCTATGCCCTGCACCACTCTACACCCTGACACCTCCACTGCCTACAAATATGACTGCAGTTGGCTGGCTGCACAGGGACCAGCTGGCAAAGACAGAGGCTAAGTCATCTTTCCTCAACTACCAGACATCAAAAAAGGATGACAAAAATTTGGTCCTCCACCAAACTGCCATGGGCAATGGGATAACATGCTGGGCAGGGAAGATGGAGAGAAGACAGATCACATGCTCTTCTCCCCACCCAAACAGACAAAATCACAAAGCACTTGTAAAGTGTTTTTTAAGAGTTTTCTGGGTGGGAGAAGGGGTAGAGGGAAGCCATGTGATGGGGTGTGTGTGTGTGTGTGTGTGTGTGTGTGTGTTAAAAACGGAATTTGGGTCTAACTCTGGAGTCATCACTAAAGGTGTGACAACCCCTTAGTTTCTGTTCCCCGACCTTTGCCCCTTTCTAAACAGCCACCCTGCCTGATTCATCACTACTTAGGCTCTGAGTTAAACTGGCAAAGATTTGGGAATTTGGAGTTTCTGTTCCATTTCTTAAAGTGCAGTTTGTCACAACAAAACTATGGCTGGGGTGAAAGGGAATATATGAGCAGACTTTTTCAGAGGGCTGGATTAAAACCACATGTCCCAGTCCTAGGAGGAACTCAGCAGGCAACCCTGCTTTCCTTGATTTCCCAAAGTCAGACCCCAGGCAGGCAGAGCTGAACCGGCCTCTAGGGCAAAGGCAACAGGCACAACCTCCCTCTCCAGTCAGATATGCTGGGTCCTGAGAGGCTGGGCTGTTTGCTCCACTGTGGGCAGAATAACAGGCAGCCTGTCTCCAAAGCTACCACCAGGCCAGGCTCCCTTGCTCAGCTCCATCAGAGGGCTTTGATTTTTCCTTACACATCAGCAACTTCAAGACAAGAGCGGACTTTTGCCCCTGTAATTTCTGGCTCAGCCAATTCCAGGAAAAAGAAAGAAAACCAAAAGAATGATAACTAACATTGATTCAGCATTCACTACATGTCTGAGACTGCTTGAAAACCTTACTTATAATTTAATCCTCATGCCCGTCTTATGAGATACGTACTACTGTTATCATCCTTATTTTACAGGTCAAGAAAACAATGCATAAAGAATCAGAGAGGCCCAAGGCTCACACTGCTGACAAGGGCAGCACCAAGGCACGAACCCAGGCAGTCTGGCTTCAGAGCTAGCTGACCTAGTTGCTGTGCCACCCCAGGAAGAAGCTGCCACGTAAAGCCCCTGCTCCAGCCCTAATTCCAAAAGACTGCACTGGGTCTTGGGGTGGGCCTTCTCTCAAAGGGGGCTTATCTGTTCAGGACTGATCAGTTTATCCACAAGTGAGGCTTGAATGAGGTCAAAGGCAGGTTGCAACCTTTTTCTATCAGGACAAATTGAGGAAAAATAAAAATATTTTTAGGTTAAATGTTTTTCATTCAAAATGAAAACAGCTTTGTTATGTCTCTTGTCCTCCTTTATTCTTTGAGAAATAGAAGAATATCAATGAGAAAAATTCCACCATTTGATATACTGCAAGCTGGGCATATTTGAGAGGTAGCATCAGAAGCAGCTTACTAATAATCTGTTATCCTTAAATTAGTCTAAGGCTTGATGGCTAAAACAGGCAGGTTCTATGCCTCCCGCTTATTCCACAACCAGATGGTGCCCCAGTCCCATGTCAAGAATTATCCAGACTATCAGCCAGGAAATTGAAAACATCTGACTTGTGAGGTGACTATAGCAGATCCCCAAAAAAATGACCACTTATTGAGCACATGCCATGCGCCAGGAACTCTCAAAATCCTACAACATATGTGCTAATATGATAATGTTACAATGGTAGAAATTCAGATTACTGGCAGGCAAGATTTAAATTTTCCAATAGCCCATGTACTTCTCACTTCACAAACAAGGATGAGGGAAGAATCCACAGTCTCGGGATAAAGATGTGAGTATAGGAGGGTGCTAAGCATGGGGAAGAAATCTGGGATTTTGCTGCGATTTTTGCTGTCTCATTCAACAACTTCCCGTAACTTCACACAGCCCTTCCATATGACTAAATACAGCCACTTCCCGTGACCTCAAGCAGCCCTTCCTGTGACTTCATACGGCCACTTCCAGTGACTTCACACAGCCCTTCCTGTGACATCACACTGAATCTTCCTGTGACTTAACACTACTTCTTCCCGTGACTTCCCACCTTCCTGTGGCTTCACCCTGGCCCTTCCTGTGGCTTCGCACTGGCCCTTCCTGTGGCTTCACACAGTCCCTTCTTGTGACTTCCCACAGCCTCTTCCTGTGACTTCACACTATCCCTCCCTGAGACTTCTCCTTGCCCTTCCCTGTGGCTTCAGACGGCCCCCTGTGGCTTCACGCTGCCCCTTCCTGTGGCTTCACACAGCCCCTTCTTGTGACTTCACACAGCCTCATCCTGTGACTTCACACTGCCTTTTTCTGTGACTTCACACTGCCCCTCCCTGTGACTTCCCATTGCCCCTTCCTGTGGCTTCACACTGCCCCTTCCTGTGATTTCCCACTACCCCTTCCTCCCTTCCTGTGACTTCCTACTGCCCCTTCCTGTGGCTTCACAGGGCCCCTTCCTGTAGCTTGACACAGCCCCTGTGACCCCACACTAGCCCTTACTGTGAACTCACACAGCCCTTTCTTGTGACTTCACACAGCCCCTTCCTATGACTTCACACTGCCCCTTCCCATGACTTCCCACTGCCCCTTCCTATGACTTCACACTGCCCCTTCCCGTGACTTCCCACTGCCCCTTCCTATGACTTCACACTGCCCCTTCCTGTGACTTCACACTGCCTCTACCTGTGACTTCACATTGCCCCTTCCTGTGACCTCACACTGCCAATTCATGTGATTTCACACTATCCCTCCCTGTGACTTCACACTACCCTTCCTGTGACCTAACACTGCCCCTTCCTGTGACTTCACACTGCCTCTGTGACTTCACACTGCCTCTATCTGTGATTTCACACTGCCCCTTCCTGAGACCTCACAATGCCACTTCATGTGACTTCACAATGCCCCTTCCTGTGGCTTCACACAACACTTCCTGTGACTTTACATGGTCCTGTCCTGTGACCTAACAGCCCCTTCCAGTGGCTTCACACAGACCCTTCCTGTGAAATCACACAGCCCCTTTCTGGGACTTCACACAGCCCCTTCCTGGGACTTCACACAGCCCCTTCATGGGATTTTACACTGCACCTTCCTGTGACTTCCCACTGCCCATTCCTGTGGCTTCACATAGCCCCTTCCTATGACTGCCTATGGCCCCTTCCTGTGACATTCCACTGCCCCTTCCTGTAACTTCCCACCGTCCCTTCCTGTGGCTTCACACAGACTCTTCCTGTGACTTCACATAGCCACTTCCTGTGACTTCCCACTGCCGCTTCCTATGACTTCACTCAGCCACTTGCTGTGGCTTCCCACTTCCCCTTCCTGTGACTTCCCATGGCCCATTCCAGTGGCTTCAAACAGCCCCTTCCTGGGACCTCACACAGCCCCTTCCTGTGAACTCTCACAGCCCCTTCCAGTGGCTTCACACAGCCCTTCCCTGTGACCTCACACAGCCCCTTCCTGACGCTTCACAAAGCCCCTTCCTGGGGCTTCACATTGCCCCTTCCTGTGACTTTACACTGCCCTTCCTGTCATGTCACACTGCTCCTTCCTGTGGCTTCACACAGCCTCTACCTGTGTCTTCACAGGGACACTTCTGGCATGTTCACACTGCCTCTGCCTGTGGCTTCACACAGCCTGTTTCCCTGTCATCACAGCCCCTACCTATGGCTTCACACAGCCTGTTTCCCTGTCATCACAGCCCCTTCCTGTGTCCTCACACTTCCCCTTCTTGTGGCTTCACACAGCCTCTACCTGAGACTTCACACTGCCCCTTCCTATGACTTCACACTGCCTCTTCCTGTAACGTCACACAGCCACTTCCTGTGACTTCCTATGCCCCTTCCCGGGGCTTCACACAGCCCCTTCCTGTGACCTCACATTGCCACTTCTGCCCTCACACAGCCCCTTTCTGTGACTTCACAGAGCCCCTCCCTGTGACTTCACACTGGCCCTCCATGTGACTTCCCAAACCCCATCCTGTGGCTTCACACAGACCCTTCCTGTGGCTTCACACAGACCCTTCCTGTGGCTTTACACTGCCCCTTCCTTTGGCTTCACACTGCCCCTCCCTGTGGCTTTACACTGCCTCTTCCTGTGACTTCACAGTGCCCCTTCCTGTGGCATCACACAGCCTCTTCCTGTGGCTTCACACTGCCCTGCCCCTCCCTGTTACTTCACACTGCCCTGCCCCTTCCTGTGACTTAACACTGCCCCTTTCTGTGGCTACACATGGCCCCTTGCTGTGGCCTCACACAGCACCTCCCTGCCTGTGGCTTCACACTGCCTCTACCTGTGACTTCCCACTGCCCCTTCCTGTGGCTTCACACAGCCCCTTTCAGTGACTTCACACACCCGCTTCCTGTGACTTCCTACTTTCCTTCCTGTGACTTTGCACAGCCCCTTCCTGTGGCCTCACACAGCCCCTTTCTTGTGACTTCACACTGTACCTTCCTATGGCTTCACACTGCCCCTTCCTGTGGCTTCACACTGCCCCTTCCTGTGACTTCACACTGCCCCTTTCTGTGTCTTCACACAGCCAGAGATCCTGTGACTTCACACAGCCCCTACCTGTGACTTCTCACTGCCCCTTCCTATCACTTCACACCGCCCCTTCCTGTGACTTCACACTGCCCCTTCCTGTGACCTCACAAGCCCCTTACAGTGGCTTCACACAGCCCCTTCCTGTGGCTTCCCACAGCCCCTTCCTGAGAATTCGCACTGCTCCTTCCTGTGACTTCCCACTGCCCCTTCCTGTGATGTCATACTGCCCCTCCCTGTTATTTCACACCACCCTGCCCCTTTCTGTGACTTCCCACAGCCCCTTCCTGTGACTTCACACTGCCCCTACCTGTGATGTCACAGAGCCCCTTCCTGTGGCTTCACACTGCCCCTCCTAGTGGCTTCACACAGCCACTTCCTGTGACTTCACCCAGCCCCTTTCTGTGACTTCTCACTGTCCCTTCCTGTGGCTTCACACAGTCCCTTCCTGTGACCTCAAATTCCCACTTCCTGTGACCACACAAGCCCCTTCCAGTAGCTTCACACTGCCCATTCCCAGGGCGTAAAACAGCCTCTTCCTGTGATTTCACAGTGCCTCTTCCTTTGGCTTCACACAGCCCCTTCCTATGACTTCCCATTGGCCTTTCCTGTAGCTTCACACCACCGCTTCCAGTGACTTCACATTGCCCATTCCTGTGATATCAAAGTGCCCTTTCCTGTGGCTTCACACAGAACCCTGCCTGTGACTTCATACCACGCCTTCCTATGACTTCATACTGTCTCTTCCTGTGACTTCACATGGCCACTTCTTGTGACTTCCCATAGCCACTCATTCTGACTTCCCACTGTCCCATACTGCGACTTCACAAAGCCACTTCCTGTGACTCCCTGCAGCCCCTTCCTGCAACTTCCCACAGCCACTTCCTGTGACTTCCCAATGCCCCTTCCTGTGGCTGCACAATGCCCCTCCTTTTGGCTTCACACTACCCTCCCTGTGGCTTCACACTGCCTCTTCCTGTGACGTCACACTGCCCCTTCTGTGGCTTCAGACTGCCCCTTCTTGTGGCTTCACACTGGCCTTTCCTGTGACTTCACACAGCTTCTTCCTCTGACTTCACACCATCCCTTCCTTTGACATCCCACTGCCTCTTCCTGTGACTTCAGACAGCCCCTTCCCATGACTTCACACTCCTTCTTCCCGTGACTTCTCACTGACCCTGCCTGTGGCTTCACACAGCACCTTCCTGTGACTACCCCCTGTCCCTACCTGTGACTTCACACAGCCCCTTCCTGTGACTTCACACTGTGCCTTCCTGTGGTTTAACACTCCCCCTTCCTGTGGCTTCACACAGCCCCTTCCTGTGACTTCCTACTGCCCCTTCCTGTGGCTTCACACAGTCCCTTCCTGTGGCATCACACCACCTCTTCCTGTGACTTCACACTACCCCTTCCTGCCGCTTTTCAAAGCCCCATTCTGTGGCTTCACACAGCCCCTTCCTGTGGCTTCACATTACCCTTCCTGTGACTTCACACTGCCTCTTCCTGTGACTTCCAACAGCCACTTCTTGTGACTTCCCACTGCCCCTTCCTGTGGTTTCACAAAGCCCCTGCCTGTGAACTCACACTGCCACTTCCTCTGACCTCACCTAGCCCCTTTGTGTGAGTTCATACAGCCACTTCCTGTGACTTCACGTAGCCCCATCCAGTGGCTTTACCCAGTTCCTTCCTGTGATATCACACTACCCTGTCCTGTGACTTCCCACAGCCCCTTCCTGTGACTTCACACAGCACCTTCCTGTAACTTCCCACTGCACATTCTGGTGGCCTCACACTGCCCCTTTCTGTGACTTCCCACTGTCCCTTCCTGTTGCTTCACACTGCCACTTCTTTGGCTTCACAATACCCCTCCCTGTGGCTTCACAATGCCTGTTCCTGTGACTACCCACTGCCTCTTCCTGTGGCTTCACACAGCCCCTTCCTGTGACTTGACACAGCCCCTTGCTGTTACTTCCCACTGCACCTTCTTGTAACTTCCTACTGCCCATTCCTGTGGCCTCACACTGCCCCTTCCTGTGACTTCACAGCACCCCTTGCTGTGGTTTCACACGGCCCCTTCCTTTGACTTCACACTGCCTCTGTGACTTCTCACTGCCCCTTCCTGTGGATTCACAGAGCCTCTACCTGCGATTTCACACTGCCCATTCCTGTGGCTTCACATTGCCTCTTCCTGTGACTTCCCACAGCCACTCCCTGTGACTTCTCACTGCCCCTTCCAGTGACTTCACACAGCCCCTTCCTGTGACCTCATACTGCCCCTTCCTGTGACTTCACACTGCCCCTTTCAGTGGCTTCACACACTCCTTCTTGTGACTTTCCACTGCCCCTTCCTGTGACTTCCCTCTGCCCCTCCCTGTGACTTCCCACAGCTCATTCCCGTGATTTCCCATGCCCCTTCCTGTGGCTTCACAAAGCCCCTTCTGTAACTTCACACTGCCTCTTCCTGTGATTCACACAGCCCCTTCCTGTGGCTTCACACTGCTTCTTCCTGTGGCCTCACACAACCCCCCTTTCTCTGACTTCACATAGCCCCTTCCTGTGACCCCATTGCCCCTTCCTGTGACTTCACACTGCCCCTTCCTGTGGCTACACACAGCTCCTTCCTGTGGCCTCACACTGCCTGTGGCTCCACACTGCCCTTCCCTGTGACTTCACATAGCCCCTTCATGTGACTTTCCACTTCCCTTCCTGTGACTTCACACAGCTCCTTCCTGTGGCCTCACACTGCCTGTGGCTCCACACTGCCCTTCCCTGTGACTTCACATATCCCCTTCATGTGACTTTCCACTTCCCTTCCTGTGACTTCACACAGCTCCTTCCTGTGGCCTCACACTGCCTGTGGCTCCACACTGCCCTTCCCTGTGACTTCACATAGCCCCTTCATGTGACTTTCCACTTCCCTTCCTGTGACTTCACACAGCCCCTTTCATGTGACTTCACACTGTGCCTTCCTGTGGCTTCACACTGCCCCTTCCTGTGGCTTAACAGAGCCACTTCCTGTAAGTTCACCCTGCCCCTACTTGTGACATCACACAGCCCCTTCCTGTGGCTTCACACTGTCCCATTCAGTGGCTTCACACTGCCCCTTCCAGTGGCTTCACACAGCTACTTCCAGTGGCTTCACACAGCCCCTTCCTGTGACCTCACACTGCCCCTTCCTGTGACCTCAGAAGCCCCTTCCAGTGGCTTCAAACAGCCCCTTTCTATGGCTTCCCACAGCCTCTTCCTGTGACTTCCCTCTGCCCCTTCCTGTGACTTTCCACAGTCCCTTTTTGTGACTTCCCACTGCTCCTTCCTGTGACTTCCCATTCCCCTTCCTGTGGCTTCACACAGCCCCTGCCTATGGCTCAACACTGTCCCTTCCTTTGGCCTCACATTGCCCCTTCCTTTGGCTTCACACTGTCCCTGTTACTTCACACAGCCCCTTTATTTGGCTTCACACTGCTCCTTCCTTTGGCTTCACACTGCCGCTTCCTGTGACTTCACACTGCCCTTTTATCTGGCTTCACACTACCCCTTCCTATGACTTCACACAGCCCCTTCCTTGGCTTCACACAGCCCCTTCCTAACGTCACACTGCCTCTTCCTGTGGCTTCATACTGACCCTGTGGCTTCACACAGCCTCCTCCTGTGACTTCACACAGCCCCTTCCCTTGGCTTCACACAGTTCCTTCCTGTGATGTCACGTAGCCCCTTTCTCTGGCTCCACACAGCCCCTTCCTGTGACTTCACATAATTTCTTCTTATGACATCTTCCAGCCCCTTCCTATTGTTTCACACTGCTCCTTCCTGTGACTTCACTCTGCTTCTTCCTGTGACTTCACATTGTCCCTTTCTGTGACTTCACACAGCCATTTCCCATGGCTTCACACAGCCTTGACTTGCTGCAATTCAGTGTGTGCTAAATCCTAGAAGCCAGCCCTGCCTTGTAAATGACAGCCCACACAGTGGGTTCTTACATACAGAAAAAGGTTCCTATTTGCAATAAAAATCTCTTGTGATCTCCTAACCATTTTTTTTTTTTTTTTTTTTGAGATGGAGTCTCACTCTGTCGCCAGGCTGGAGTGCAGTGGTGCGACCTCGGCTCACTGCAACCTCTGCCCTCCAGGTTCAAGTGATTCTCCTGCCTCAGCCTCTCAAGTAGCTGGGACTACAGGCGCACGCCACCACACCCAGCTAATTTTTATATTTTTAGTAGAGACAGGGTTTCACCATGTTGGCCAGGATGATCTTGATCTCCTGACCTCGTGATCTGCCCACCTCGGCCTCCCAAAGTGTTGGGATTACAGGCGTGAGTCACCATGCCTGGCCCATTTCTTAATCTGCCTAAGCAAATGCCCTCTTGGCACATTTGAAGAAAACTATTTTGAACAGTTAAAAACACTATAGATATTTTACCTTAATGGATTTGTTGGTGGGTGGAGAGGGGGGAGTTGGGGAAGGTAAGAGGCTAAAGGTCCATGGCAGGGTGCAATTTGAAATTCCTCTGAGGCTCAGATCTGAATCTCATTTACTTCAAGCAAATATGGTAGGAGGAGCCATCCATGTGTCCATGGCTGTCTGCCCAGGTTCTGCTGCTTAGCTTCCATAGCATAACATCAGGGATATTGTAATCTTATTATGTGATGGAAACTTCCTTGGAGAACAAATGGCAATAGCTAGTGCTGGGGAAGGAATGAAAACCAAAAGAAGCCTTAGAAAATGATGGTTCTCAGTTGGGATGGGTGTGGGGAGGAAGTGGTACACAGGGAGACAAGACCTAGAAAATATTAGCTTTTAAAGCAAGAAAGAAAGGAATGTCAAACTTAGAGATGGCAGAAATCTATAATCCAAATGAATTCTCCACCCTCATGAAATACGAAAAGCAATTCAAAAAATCGTTTCAGCAAAGGCCTCAGCCAAGGTAAAAATTATTTTTCAAGGACAGTGATAGAAATTGAAAATTTAACTCTTGCAGCCCACTCTACTGTATTTCATGGGAGAATATAAAATGCTATAATGGTGTTTCTCAAATTCGGGGATTTGAGAAAGCCTCAAGAACTAGGCTTTCTTGAGAAGCCCTGAAAGCATTAGGGTTCTACTGAAGAGTATGGCCTAGCAGGAAGAAGGCTCTGGCTGGGTAATATCTGAGTACGAGTTCACCTTTTCAGACTCCCTCCTTCACCAGAGTGGTTTCTGTTATTGTAGGTACTGAGTTGCTATATATAACGGCCTGGAACCCAACATGTGACTGGTAGACAACAGGGAGTGAAGGATACTGGGAAAGGCATATGATGTTAGGCACGTACTTTGGAGACCCTCAGGGAACCAGTGTGGGAATCCAGAGCACCCTGGGGCAGGAGGCAGCTTCCTCCAAAGGAACAGTGTAGGGGTGAGGTTGCTCCCCAGAAAAATTGTGCTGCATTACAATTTTATCCTTCTATTCTGACCTCCCCTAATGCCAAGCACTGGACCAAGAAATAAGGACACCAGTGCGAAGAAGGCTTGGCCCCTGCCCCCCAGCAACTCACTGTCTCAAGTGAAAAGGTAATGATATAATAATTTCCCTCATGCCAATTCTGGCAAATCTAGCCTTGCCTACGTTCAGGCCACTTATCTTTCCAAACTTGTGGGACAGGGCTGGTGAAGCATGGAATGCTGGACAGCAGTTCTGGGTGCCACCACCTGAGGTCTCCACCAACATCTGATGACACCATGAGTTTGTTACATGTTTTTCACTGTTATGGCTAGAAGGATGTTGCCTCCAGATATTCTCACAATGACTCTAACAGGTAGGAAGGAAATATCATACCATTTTATGGCTGAGGAACTCGAAAAAGAGACTTCAAAATTTGCTCAAGGTGACACACCATCTAAGTAGAAGAGCTGAGATTCCAACTCTGGCCTCCAGCCTGCAGAGACCAAGCCCTTCCCAGCACACAGGAGCCAGTTCTGGCCCTGGGGACTTCAGGGCACATGGGGGAAAGAATTAGCTCAGGCCATCAGGGGTTTATCCAGAAGCATTTTCAATGCGCCCAGATAACCTGGGGGAAGCAGTGCTAGCAGAAGGATTTTAAAGACCTGAGAAATACCTGGATCCGTCTCTTCATTACATTGGCTGGGGTTCCTGATACCAGCTGAGACATGGGAGATGATGAGTTGTGTTATCTTTCAACAAATACTTACACTCACTTCAGAAAGGCAACATCTAGAAGGATGCGCTGAAGGATACACAGGAGCTGGACTCTCTAGGTCCAACCCCCCAGCTTTGCCCTAATAAGCATATATCTTCACATCAATTTCTGCATCTGAAAAATGAGTATGAAAATGGTTCCTCCCTCAAAGAGTTGCTGTGAGGATTCAACATATTTTAATGTATATAAAGTGCTGAGAACAGAGCCTTGCATACATTTTTATAGTTATTACTTAGCATTATCATTAAATCTCATGATTATTAAATCTCCAAGGTACTTGGGAACTCCAGCACCTCCTTTAAGTTACTGCCCCATGCCGCACTCTCTCCATCTGTGGATGGGCTGGTAACAGTTACAGTCACAGCATTCTGAACACTGGCAAACCATAACTGAGAGGAAAGCGTGTGAAGAGGTTTCAGGGACTGATACCAACGTGCCTCCTCAGAGCCACCACTTGCTCAAGTGACCAAAAGAGTGACCTCTGACTCCCTGCTCTGCTGCTCCTAAGTGCAGTTGACTTCTAAAGCATGGCTGCTCTGTACACACCTGTAGAGTCCTGGTGAGGGCGAAAGCATTCCTGGGCAGATGCCTGGCAGCAGGAAAGCAGGGCTCAGACACAAAATACCTCTTAGAAGACTGGCACTTGAGAAGGTTAAAACAAAGCTATAGTTGAAATCTGAGATGGAAAAATTAAATCTTTCCTTTTTCCTTCAGTGAGTCTATCAGATAGGAAGCCTGTACACTGAATGGGAAATAAAGAGGCCTTGCAGTGGGGATGCTCATGAGGCATTTCCTGACAACCGTGGGCATAGAGCTCCTTCCAGCCAGGTGACCTCCGGCTTCAGAGGACTAGGAAGGAGGCAGGCAGCCACGTCTGGGGGTGCACGTGGCACCATGGAGGCGTGGAGGTCCTCCCTCGAGAGACTCCAGAACACCAACTGTAGCCAGCATTGTTGAGCATCTCCCATGCCAGACCCTGTGCCAGGTACCTGATAAGACAGTTCCTCTACTTCCTGCAACCTCCCTGGAAGGGAGGTATCATTCCTCACATTGGGAAGCTGAGGAAACTGAGGCATAGACAGCTTATGTCAGTTTCTTACAGCCTCATAGCTAAGTGGCAGAGTTAGACTCAAACCCAGGTCTAGCTAACTCCATCAGTTTATTAGCCGGAGTTTTGACCCTGCTATTATAGAAGCCTAAAAGAATAAGAGTTGTTTCTCCACCTGCCTTTCTTCTCCAAGCAAGCAAGCAAGCAAGCAAACCCGGAGAGCTGGAAGCCATCCTCTTCCTGCCCCAGGATAGAATAAAAAGGCCTTTGCTTTAAAAGCCAACCAAGGCTCCTAAAGGTAAATTGAGCTGGGCTGTCTGACTGATATCAGGTCACCTAGGTGAGGACAGGCTTGGAGCCAGACAATTTGATTTAGAAAAGTAATGCTGTTGTTCAGCTAAAAATGGTAGACTAAGCACCTGCTATTCTCTTTCTTTCCTCCTGAAATATGAAAATAACAGTAAAGTGTTCTTATTTTTAAAGAACAAACCTCTAAGGATAAAGAGAACAGGAAAGCAGTCAACCATAAAAGCAAAATTCAGGAAGCTGGAAAGCAGGTGAATGAGTAGCAATGGCCTGAGCAGACTCATGAAAGCTGAATCCTAAACTAGAAGGCAGGTCAAAACTCAACATGATTTACACCAAGGGAGCCCCCAACAGGTAAAGGACTGGTGCTGATAGGATAAAAAACAAAAGGATTGGCTGAAAGTCGACTTAAGAAGAAGCTAGACACCCAGATCTCCATACTGTGAAGTCAGGCAGCTGCCCCTCCTGCACCCAGCAGAAGACTGAAAGTTTGTTCTATGGAGAGAGAAAGCTAGGGAAGCTACATGCTGGGAGACACCTGGGACAGTTGAGGGCAGTGGGGACTATACTGAAAACAGGAGTTTTAAGAGAACATTTACATGCTGAACATTGAAATATTGCAAGGGCCCCCCAAGTATCCAACACAATGGCTAAAAAGTGAGACCTTAGTGGTATGGAATTCAGATATTTGCAATTGCCCCACACACTTGTATTTTGATGAGATCACCCACTAGCAACAGTATGTCCTGTTTCCATGGTCATGGAGACAGTTTGTTGCTGCAGCCATTAAAAGCAAAAGCTTCAATAGCAATGGCTGCTTGGGGCCACCTATCCTGAGCTTCACCACTTGGCAGTGCTGTGCCTCTCACCTGCTCTCCTATGACTATCAGGTGTGTGATACTGAGGGGTACACAACCCGGAAGTATAGGGAAACTTATGTCGAGTGGAGCAAAGCTTTGATCATTGGGAGACTGAAGACAGTGGGTAAATTCAAGTGGTCCTGAATTCAATTTATGCAGCTTCTTGGATAGGTCCATAGGATCACACAATCAATTGCCTGTAGCAGCAGCCAGCTTGATAATACATCGCCATATCATCTCTCCTGTTTCCCTGCTTCTCTTTGGGTGTTTCCTGAGATTGTACTCCCAAATAACAGCACATAAGCCTCCAGCCTCGGGCTCTGTTATTAGAAAACCAGGTTAAGACAAACCAAGGCACATCATTGTAAAGCTTCAGAACACTGGGGAAAATATCCTCCAAGTTTCCAGAGAGAAAGGGAGAAAAAAATAAAACAAGTTTTATACCAAGTAATCAAGAATCAGAATGGCTGTGGACTTCTTTACTACAATACCCGAGGCTAGAGCACCATTGAGCAAAGCCTTCAAAATCTGACAGAAAATTATTTCTTTTAATTCTATACTCAAGCCAAACTATCAATCAAATATGAGGGTAGAATGAAGGCAATTTCAGGCATATAACATTTCAACATGGTTTACCCCTCCTGTAGTCACTTTTAACAAGCTATTGGTTAAATTACTCCACTAAAACCAGGAGGTAAGCCAAGAAAGAGGAAGACATGGGATGCAGGAAACAAAGATGCAAAACAAGAGAGGCAAAGAGACTCGTGGGATGCTGGGAAAGGAGGATCCTAAGCCAACGGCTGTGCACCGACCAAGAAAGCGACCAGCTCAGAAGGAGCAGGTCAAAAGGCTCTGGGCAGGGGGTTTCCAAAGAAAGAAATTGATGTGTGCTTGAGTCTATTAAGAGGAAGTTGGCTTGTGATAAGTACATGAAAAAAACTAAGGAAACAAAAAAGATGATTACTAACTAGAGAGAAACAGAAAGGTGCCCAGGAAAGGAAAGGTGATCATAATATAATACAGCAGTCCCTACCCCTTATCCTTGGAAGATACGTTCCAAGCCCCCCAGCGGATGCCTGAAACCTTGGACAGTACCAAATCCCATTGCCATAAATCAGAACACATTTCTAGAAGTTCATGTCTTCCACCCACAAATTGAATGCCTTTTCCATCTTAATGAAGCACTTATCACACACTTTGGCTGTAACTTTTGCCACAGTTTGAGGTGCAGCAGCAAAACTAGCATGAATTTCTCTTTCTTCAGAAGACAATTTCACAGATAGCAGATTCATTCTTACTGCAGATCTTAGCAACCCCAGCCTACGATTTTTTTTTCTTAAGTAGAGAAACTTTCATCTTCTCACTTAAATGAAGCACTTTCAGCGTCTCTTTGTCACACTCCAATTGCAGGATCACTACTCTTGCACTTTGGGCCATGATGAAGTAAAATAAGGTTTACTTGAACATGGGCAATGCAGTACTCCAATAGCCATCTGATAACTGAGACAGCTACTAAGTTACTAATGGGCAGAGAGCATCTGCAGTGTGAATATACTGGACAAAGGGATGACTCATGTCCCAGGTAGGACAGAGCGAGATGCCACAAGATTCATCACACTACTCAGTACAACACACAAATGAAAACATAAATTGTGTATTTCTGGAATTTTCCATTTAATATTTTCAGACTGCAGGTAACCTTGGGTAACTGAAACTGTGGAAAGTGAAACCAAGGGTACTACTGGATACTGCTCAGCCGTTAAGATATCCATGTCCTAATCCCCAAACCTGTGAACAAGTTACCTTATGTGGTTAGAGGGATTCGGACGGTGTGATTAAATTAAGGGTCTTGAAATGGGGAGATTATCCTAGATCATCTGATGGGCCCGATGTAATCACAAGTATCCTTTTAAGAGGGAAGCAAGAAGGCGGCCATGTGATGACTGAAACAGAGGGAATCAGAGTCAGTGAGAGAGAAGATGCTGCACTGGTGGCTTTGAAGATGGAGGTAGAGACCATGAGCCAAGGAATGCAGGTGGCCTCTAAAGGATAGAGGTGGCAAGGAAATGGATTCTCCCCCAGAGCCTCCAGAAAGAACTGGCCCTGCCAACACCTTGATTTTAGCCAAATAAGACTCACTTTGGACTTCTAGTCTCCAGAACTGTAAGAAAATTAATTCGTGTCGTTTTAAACCAACAAGTTCCTAGCAATTTGTTACCGCACCAATACGAAGCTAATACATCTGTGAGTAGGTTTTAAGTAGTCATAATGTAAACACTGATCTCACCAAAATTATTACCTAATTATATTGGGGGAATGGATGGATGAGAATAATGTGTCTGTACTGGAGATGGGGAAACGTGGTGAAAGGCCCAAATCCTCATCTTCCATAGAGGGGAGTGAATAAATAATGGTCAAAACTGAGAACAGTTTGGGAAGCACTGTTCCAGTTTTCCACCCTCATTTTTGATAAATGATGAAAAGGAACTCCAAAGAAGCTGTGGTTGAGCTATCCAGTGAGTCATCTTCTACTGAGAAGAGGGTGGGTGGGTGTAGGCTCTTGTGTGACGATCACTCATAAGCTAGTTTATGTTTTGTGTCTTAAACAATAAAACAGCTGATCAGTTAACCTAGTCATCCCCTAGTTAACCTGGGGGAAGTATTGGCAAGATCTGACATCTGCAGTCTCAACTGCTAGGTGAGAAGTCATTCATTAGCCTTCGCTCTGAGCAGCTAAACGTCTCCTTGGCCAATGAAATAGCTTTCACCTGAAGTCAACTGGTTTTATTTTCCATGGCCTGACCCAGACATCTCTCCCCATTGAAGACATGCTAAATACTAAAAACTCATCTTGGGAAGTCTAAGAAAAAAGGCCTTCCTCACTCATTCTGCCACTCCCAAACACCTGAAGCCTGCCAAAGTTCTCCAACCATGAGGCAGGCAGGAAAATAACAGTTAGAATCCAGGCTCTCAGAGAGCAGGTAAATGTTACCAAAACAACGACACCCTCATAGATCCTAAACGAATGAATGAATGAATAAATAAATGAATGAAATGCATATATTCAAAAGAGTCACTGATACAGTAGTGGGATTCAATTATCACTAGGGGGCAAAATCACCTTCTCTGGGTCAGTAGTCCCAAAACTTTTTGGTCATACACCTTTACTGGTAAAAAATCTGAGCACATCCTTCCAATATTTACAAACCATTTTTTTCCACTATTTACAAATTAGAAGCATGTAATACTACATAAATATGTTCATTATAAAACATGGACAAGAAATTTAAAATCATAAAAGAATTAGATAAAATAAACGTAAATAGCAGTTCTGATATTTTCCTGCTGCACCTGGTGGATTGTCTAGTATACCCACTGAAGTGGCTGAGCCCCACTTTGAGACCTTTTATCTGGTAGCAGGCTGCCTTCACTCTGCTACCAGTGTGCTACCACTCTGCTGCCAGATGACTCTGGCAGGGAGTGACTTGAGTTTGATTCTGTCTATCATCTATTCTTTTTTTTTTTTTTTTTTTGAGACAGTCTCACCCTGTCACCCAGGCTGGAGTGCAGTGGTGCGATCTTGGCTCACTGCAACCTCCGTCTCCCTGGTTCAAGCAATTCTCCCACTTCACCCTCCCGAGTAGCTGGGATGACAGGAGCCTGCCACCATGCCTGGCTAATTTTTGTATTTTTAGTAGAGACACAGTTTTGCCATGTTGGCCAGGCTGGTCTCGAACTCCTGACCTCAGGCGATCTGCCTGCCTTGGCCTCCCAAAGTGCTGGGATTACAGGTGTGAGCCACTGCGTCTGGCCTCTAAGGTTTTACTTTTAACACATCTAGTCTCCTTTAAAAATGCATATTTATTCACAATGTACTAGACATAATCTGAAGGGATTATGGGACCAAGTAAAGTAGCTATTTTCCTGTGTAAGTCAGGAGGATCACCAAGATTGAGATCAATGCTCTAAAGATTCACTGCAGAAATAAATTAATCAAATGGAGTCCAGGCACATTTGAATAAGAAAATTAAGGCATAATGAACACCTGTCATCCTCAAACATTCAGAAATGAAAATCAGAGAAAAAGGTCTGGAAACAAGGAAGGTGGGAATTGTTGAGCTTGATTTTCAAGCATAAAAGAACTGAAGAATGAGATGGCTGTAAACCAATGTTTTCCTCACTCAGAGCCAACCAATAGAAATACAATGTGAACCACATAGGAAATTTCAAAGTTTCTAGTGGCCACATTTTTAAAAAAAGAAAAAGAAACAATTGAAACTCATTTTAATAATATATTTTATTTAACCTGATATATAAAAAATATTATCAGTTCAACATGTTATCAATATAAAAACTATTAATGAGATATTTTAGTTTTTTTGTAACATCTTTGATATCCAATGTGTATTTCACACAAACAGCACATCTCAATTCAGACCAGCTACATTTCAGTATGTGGCTGGTGACTGCAATATTGAACAGCACAGCTCTAAGCCAAGGCAGAGGTCCTTGGAGCCCCAGGAGCCCACAGAATGCTTGAGAAATGCTATACTAAAGGATAAACAGCAGTAGATCACTTGGACCAATAAAAACACAAAAGCAAGCATAAAAATTGTGGTACAGTACAGTCCCAACTTACGAGAGATCAGATTCTGAATACAGCAAATCAGGCAAAAATTAAGTCCAGATCAGAATTACCCTTGAAAATCCCTTAAGAAAGAAATTGATATGCCATCAGTTTTTCCTCCAGCCTTAGGACACATGCTGAGTCTTTTGTCTCAACAAAATAAAACCGCAGAGTTGGAAAATTATGTCACGTACTCAGCCTCTGCGACTGTCGGTTTGTCTTGAGAAACAAACTAGACCATCTAACAAGGAGGATTCTGGGAAGACGAATGTTTGAATGCGGACCTACCTGGCTCCACTCATATTTAAAAGGAGACCAGTAATGATTAACACCAGAATAGTAAGCTGATTTCCAATCAGCAAGCTTTCTATGCTGTGTAGCTTTTAGTAATAAAAAGCATCCCAAAGGGAAGGGAGAGCATACGTGACAGTAGAAAGGGCAGGGTGCCCAGCAAGCCTTGAGGAGCCACAACTGCGGGTGGGAAAGAGGGTGGTTGAAGAGAGACAGGCAGCCCGGTCAGACCCCTGGAGCCTGCAGGAGAAGGGGAAGGGGTGAGGCAAGGACCCACCTCACAGGAAGCCTCCCTACCCCTCAGAAATTCTTCCTCCAAAGCAAACTTGACTGCCTCCAGAGGCCCCCAGTGCCAGCAGTCTAATTACATCCGCAGGGGCCCACCTATCCCCACCTTCACCTTTACCTTCCTCACCTCCTCTCATGTCTCACTGAGGCTCCTGGAAAAATAGTGTCCCTGGAAGTAAGTAGCCATAGCCCCTCATCTTGGATTACAGCTCTCCTCTTTTGAAAGGGAATCAAATTAATCAATATTTCCCCTCAGCTCCCTGTCTGCAGCTTCATGTTCACAAACAAATAGGCAAGCTCTGCATTCTTGTCCACATACTTGCTGGAGGCTGCATAAGCCTGCTGAGCACAGACCAATATTTCATAATATCTGGCTCCTTTTCTTTGTTCTGGCTTCCTGCCCTGCTCTGGCCAGGCCAAGTCCATTGCAGGCTAGATGTGGCCACGTGCTGTTTGGATTTAGCTGTATCCAGTGTTAGAAGGAATGATCGCTTTCCCGGACTGCATATCATCAAGTTCCACCAAGAAAAGCAGCAGCTGGAAGGGTTTCGCTCCTTCCCTTGTGTCATGACGTGGAACTTCTTACAGCATATGACCCGGGGTCGGCTTTCTGGACTAGGCCCACAATGTCTGCGCCCTGCTCAGGGTTCTGCCAAGGTGAAGATCTGGCACTGGGTGTTCCCAACACTGAGGCATCTGGAATGATGTGTCTGGTGGACAGGGAGGGGCAGGGGTGGAGGAGGGGAAGAGAAGCCAAGGAGAGAGCTCTCCTCCTAGGAAAATGTGGACTCAACCCCCTCTTCCTTTCTGTGACAGGCACCCAGGCATCTCCACCAGTTCATGATGGTGCCATAGGGTCTCAAAAGAACAAAATTTTTCTTGTCTTCATGAAAATGTAAAATTTAATTGAGGAAATGAGTCCAGGGCCAGATTTTCAAAGACAAAACTAGCAAGCAACAGAAATTAGTCTTCACTGTCCTCCGTGCCCCACTTTGCCCCAAAATACAACTACAATGAAATGGTCCATCACCTCATCCGTGTGTTGAATGACTGTACAGTTAATTTCTTGGGAGCAGCACTCTACAACAACTAAAGTGAGAAGGATATTCTTTACAAAGTATTAATGTGATTTTCCTGTTTGCTTTTCTGAGAACCTAAGCTTGATCTTATTCATCTACTGGGAAATGTGACAGAGGAATGTAACAAAGATAATATGCAATGTCGGCCAAGGGAATGTTCGCCTTCTGATGTGTGAAATAGAATTATATGGAAATGCATGGTCTTGTAGGCATGGCTGCTGTCTTGAGAGAAGATTTCCTAGATTCCTTCATCTCTCTCTTTAGCATCAAGGGCCAAGCCTGGAGAATCTTGCTGATTTGGCCCAGGGGCCAAAGGAGATGTTTATGCGATCTCCTTCTGCTTTTGAGACTCTGTGGCTGTCTGTCCACAAACTCCAAGAGGAATCTGACTGAAGAGCAAAACCCTAACTCTGGAAGTGGTAGAACACAGCAGTTACTTGTTAAATATCTAGTAACTACTGATTTTTCTTGTTTTGGTAGATGGGAGTCAGAAAGCATTGGACACTCGGCCCCAGGAGCACGCAGCTCCAGCCTGACCGCTCTCACAGGACTGGGCCAACTGATGATGGGTAAGAACACGTGGTCCTCAAGACAGAGCCTGGACAACCCCTGTAGTAAACTGAATACTGACTCCAAAGACGTCCAGGCCCTAATCTCTGGGACCTGGGACCTTTGCATATGTGATAAAGTTAAGGTTCTTGAGAGGAAGAGACTGTCTTAGATTAGCTGGGTGGATTCTAAATGTGATCACAAGTGTCCGTATTAGAGGCAAGTGGAGGGAAAAATGAATACAGAAGAGGGGACAGCAAAGTGATGATGAAAGCGGAGACTAGAATGATGGTCTCTGAAGATAGAGGAATTCCTGGCACAAGCTAGTAACACAGGCAGCTGCTAGAAGCCAGAAAAGGCAAGAAAAAGGATTCTCCCCTAGAACCTCCAAAGAAAACCAGCCCTTCTGACAACTTGAGTTTAGTCCAGTGAAACTTGTTTTGGACTTCTGACCAGAGCTATAGAGAACAAATTTGTGTTGTTTTGAGCCACTCGATGTGCGTCAATTTGTTACAGCAACAATGGGAAATGAACACAACCCCTATACTGGCTGCTGCAGAGATTGGCGGCATGACCTCTTTAAGATGCCTTTCTACTGTAGGAGTCCCTGGGCAACAAGGGGGGCCAAGAAGGCCAGGCCCAGCATGCCCACCTCAGGAATCTGAGTACATCAGGGTGGGCTGCGAGAGAGCCAGCCACTGAAGCCCCAGTAGACAAGCTCCTCTCCTCCCCACAGCCCTGCCCTGGGAGAAACAGCAGGGAGGCAGGCTTGGGGTTGACAGCTAGACCCAGGACAGAGGTTGCTGGGCACCTTCACCCTGGGGTTTGCTGCATGTGGAAGGTGCCTGCCTGTGGAGGAGAAGCACCAGTATGCACCAGCTCCGTCCAGAATGTGGAGAATATATTGGCAGGGAGGAGTGGTGATTTGGAAATGCAACAATGCACGCATTGCCTTCCAAATTGGCTTCATTCCCACCAACCTCAACCAAGTTCAAGAAGGGGGACAGTTCCATCAAAATGAGAGAGTAGTTCAATCAGATTGTCACACTGTGATTGGAACCCATTAGTACAAGGGAAAGAAAAGGAAAAGAGAAAAAGAAGAGAGGAAAAAAATAAGTCATAAGGGTATGTTATTTCATGAGACTTTAATTTCAGCTATACACACTGATATGTACACGTGTACACACACACGCACACACATATTAGGTTAAAAAAAAAAAGTCCAAAAGCCAATAGATAAAATGACGTAGTTGTGGCAGTAAGAAACAAAGAGGCTTTTCTCACGCTGTGAATCCTAGGGAAGCTGACACTGATTAGAGGGTCCCTCCACCCAAATCTAGGCATCACTAGTAGCCACGGAGGAACAAGTCAGAACCAGCTATAACCAGAGAAGTGATATCAGGTGAACTGGCACCAGAAAACCCCAGGTTAGCACCTAAGGTCACAGGGAGCGGGAGTAAGCAGGTGGGAGGAAGAGCCACCAGGAGGAGAGGGCCACCCACACAGGGCCGTCTGTCATAGCAGGAGGCAGAGACAGAGACCCCCTCCCCTGCCTACCGCACACTCCTGCTGAGACACCTGTCCTGGGTGTCCTAGCTCTTCACTCATTTCTAAAATGGTGGAAGGTTTAGCACCCGCCTCCTAGGGTTGATATGAGTGTTTAATGAGTTAATGTGTATATAATTCTATAAAAGTCGCAGGGACATAATAACTGTTCAAAAGGTGGTCGCTCCCATTATTAGCATTACCCCGCTAAGAACAAGCTACAGCAAAGGGCAAACTGGGCTAAGTAGCTGAGCTCCAGGTCTGCCCTAGACACACCCACCAGCCATGAACTCTGTCAGGTGGTCCAGTCCCGAGTGCGTCTGCATCGCTTGCCCTGCCCCCACCACCTCTTCTTCAGCCTCTCCTGGTTCTCGGATATGAGGCCCCCAGAATATTCCACAAAAGCTGACCCTTCATCCAACCAGCTCTTGGGTGGAGAACCCTTCCATTAGGAGTTCTCCCGGCTGCGTCTTCTGCAGTGTTGGAACTCATCACAATCAGTGTCCTCCATACAGTGGACAGTGAGGCGATGTCCCAGACCACCTAAAGGACTTCAGAAGTGGTCAGCAGCAGTGTGCCTGCTGGGACGCTAATACCCCCAGGAGCAGCCCTCAACCTATGGCAGACAGGAATTGGCAAATAAAGACTCCATCCTCTTTACCTGTAGGGGAGGACAACTCCTAGGAGTGACATGTTCCTCACGGCCTCCCAGAAGTTCCCAGCAGGACCGAGCCCCAGAAGTCCCCAGCAGGAACCTGCCCTCTCATGCACCCTGCACTGGCTGCCTTCCCTGTCTCACTTCCTCCCTCCGTACTGCTGTCTTCTGGTGATGTCTTCCAGATAAACTGTTTGCACTGGAATCCTGGTCTCAAGGTCTCCTTCTGGAGGAAGCCAACCTAAGACACAACCTTATAGGCCCATTATGCTAATTAAATGAGATAACTGTCAAATGCTTACAATTATTCTAGACCCGCAATAGATGCTCAATAAACATAAGCTATGAGGGGGAAGAAGAGGAGAACTCCTCCATTGTGCAGCTGTTATTCCAGGTGCAGCTGAGGAGGGAAGAATCTGCACCCAGTGAGGGCCAGAACAGCCCATGGAGGAGAGGCCCCTGGGAGATACACCTTTGAAAAAGAATGGGCATGTGTTGTTTTCCAATCCGAATATGATTATCCCCATTTCTAAGGATCCCAGATCCCCCCCCCCTCTCTCTGTCTCTCTCTCATGCGTGTGAAAGTAGTAGCTTGAACATGTAATACCTCACACTTGAAACATGGAAAGTCAGGCCAAAAGGGAGCTCCGAAGAGCAGGGAGCAGAGGCCAGAGGTGAGATCAGCAAGACTTATTGAGGGCCTTCTCACCCTCAGACCCAGCAACTCAACCCCAGACACTTCACACACAAAACTATGTTCCTCTGACTCTCTGAAAGGGAGTTGCAGAGTCACCCAAGGTGCAGGTAGCAGAGGGTAGAGGGTGGGCAGGAAGAAAAAATTATTCATCTCCTGTCCCAAATGAGGAACACTGGCTGGTGGGGTTGCTCATCACAGGGCCCCTCGGCCTGGACATGATTCCAGCCCAGGTTCCAGCCTCAGCTCTGAAACTGCTCGGCCTATGAAGGGAGTGTGGGATGTGCAGTTCTGCACAGGGCCCTTAGCACATGCAGCTGCCAGCTCTCTGCTCCAGGGACAGAGTGACCTACTTGTCATCAGAAAGACAAATGGCCTCTCAGAGTTTGTGCACATTCTCCAAGGAGACCACAAGTCCTGAGGCTCAGTGTAGATGACCTACAGCCCACGGGGCACAGGCTGAGCCAGGAACTGAGTATCCTACACCCAAATGGTCACAGGGAACACCCCTCAGTCCCTGACCACAGGACCATGACCTTTCTCCAGTTCCCAAACTATTTGACAAGTTTCATCTCTGGGCCTAGAGGGGAGATGGCCAGGTCCCCATGGCTTCCTGCCATCACCAGCCTAGCATAGCTGCAAATAACACATGGGCTATTGATCCCAACTCCACTGTGGGCATTGATCTCAAATCCGCTGTGTTCTTGCTGTGTGACCTTGGGCCTTGATTTCCTCATCTGTACAATGGGGGTCATAATAGTACCTAGTACCTCCTTCATAGGGTGGTCCATTCATTAGTTCATTAAGTAGGTATTTCCTGAGCCAAGCACTGCTCCAGGCAGAAGAGAAACATCATGAACAAAAGAGACAAAAGCCCTCTTATGGTGGTAACATTCTGATGGGAAAAGAATGTGACCTGTCCATCATAAAAATAAAATCACTCTACTAAACACTATGAGAGTTACATGAGGTGTTGTAGATAAAGCATTCAAAACAGAGCCTAATGCAAAGTTAAGTTCAGTCAATGTTAGCTGTCATTAGGATTGTTGCTATTACCATGATGGTAATTTCCTAGCAACGCCCATGGGATCAACTCCATGGCAGGGATCCTGGCACTGTGCTGAGAGCAAGAGCCCCATAGGCAGGAATGTCAACGGAGTGTCTCTTATGTCCCCCTGTTTGCTGGTTGCCCTGGTCCAGTCTCCACGTTGATTATACGTTGGGGCTTTGCAGCCCTGCTAGCCCCAGGAGCCCTCTCCACATCCACAGCTGAATTAGCATTTTGTTCCAGCTCACAAGAGTGCCAGTGTGGGAACACCACAGGCCAGATGGAATTTTGGAGACCCTGTCATTTGTTGGAAATTTTCTCTGGCTGCCTTTGTATTAACAGCCACACATTTTGCTCTCAGATCTGGGAGTGGGGCTGGGATCAAGAGGGGGTGGGGATTGCTGCTGAAAAATAAAGTAAGTTTCTTTCTGGGCTATACCTTTCCAACCTTCCAGAGATTTCTGCTCCCTGGCTGCTCAGAGGCCAAGATGCAACCTCAGAGAAGAAGGGGAGGGGAGCAGGTCTGTGCCTTCCCTGTGCATGTCTCCTCTCTTTTGACCAAACACATGACAACAGGGGAGGCCGAGCCAATTAGGAACACTTCAGGACAGAATCCACCTCGCTCTTCACCGGACATCCACCCCAGTCTCCAGGAGGTGGTAGAGATTCATACAGGATTAGACCTAGAGGAGAGTTTATAAACCGGGACCCACAGGCCAAATCTGGCCTGCAGATGTGTTTTGTTTGGCTTGTAGTGTTTTAAATAAATTTGAACCAATATTTAAAATCCAGGATATTTCACATAAAAATTCAGATTTCCGGCTTCCCTTGAAAAAGGGGAAGTTCTAGTTATACTTTGGGCCCAGGTCCCTACATGGTTGGCGTAGAGTATGACACTCTCTCTCAATGACATGCTCCCTGAAGTTCACCACAGGCCTCACTACTCCCTATTGTCTCCCAAAACCAAGGAAGAAGGACAGTTGCCTTTGGCATCTCATTTGCCTTATTGTTTTTCTTATAGAAGATGAACACTTCTCTGACTACAGCTCAAGTAAACCTGAAGAAACGAAACATAGGCGGATTTGTTTTCGTTACACCCAGCCCACTTCCTTCACTTATGCTAGCAGCCTGGCCTCCATCTGCACTTCAATTTATATCTCTTGGTCCAGGGCTACAATGTCCAATATGAGAGCCACTAGCCACATGTGACTATTTACATTTGAATTAATTAAAATTTAAAGGTTTCCATTCCTGGTTGTACTGGTCACATTTCAGGTGTTCAATTGCCACCTGCAAGTAGTGGCTACTATGTTGGACAGCACAGGATAGAACATTTCCATCATCTCAGAAAGTTCTGTTGGACAACTCTGGAGATATTTGAATATAAGATGTAGGAGGCTAACAACCAATCGAAACATCTGTTGCCCACATCCTCCACATCTACACTGTGGTGGATGCTGTCGGGGGAAATGATATGCATCGGGGCTGCTGCCTTCCAAGAATTAGGGAGAAAGCCTAATTAACAAGTTTCTGAGACAAGACAAGTCTCAGTCAAAGACAAGAGAAGTGCCTGGCAGTGTCTGATGGACCCTCTTGGATTCAGAGAAGAGGAACAGGTCTCTGTGTCCATGGCACAAAGAAAATGTTCTGCTTGTCTACCGAATGCCCTCTCAGCCCAGTCCCAAGCAGAAAACTGCATCGGAGGCCTCCAGAAATGGAAGTTCCCTCAGCCCTCTCATGGAGATGCTGCTTAGAAGACTGAGGCTGAGCCTCCATGCATGTGTCTTGGAGGCTCCCCAAGCAAAATACACAAAGACAGTCAAATTGGTCTTCAGAGCTTGCCCTCCCTATCAGTGCTTCCTCCCCAGCATTGGCCTTCCCCATCCCCCTAGGCCCGGCTCCTGCCTCCATGCCTCCCCTGGTGTTGTCCTCTGCCCAGGCCTCCCCAAATCCAGACCTAGTTCCCTCCCAGGGCCCCTTCTCTAGTATTGCCCTTTCTTCTCCTCTATCTATACAAGATGCCCCTGAGACCCAGACCCCTGGGACCATGCTTGATGCAACAAACTAATTTCCAAGGATATTTATTTTTAGCAAAAAATTTCCAAAGACTAGATATCAAAATGCAAGGGCTAAGTCCAAGTGTGAGAATTTTCAGGTTGATTGAGTGGAAAAAGCATCACATTTGTGGCTGGAGGGCCCACCTGGGAGTCCTTCATATTTATGAACTGCATGACTTGGCCATGACTCAGATTCACTGAACCTTTATTTATGGATCTCTAAAATGGGTCTCATACAATAGTCTTAACATTGAAAGGATGAGGATTCCGGGAGATAATGAATGAGACAGCTACAAAGTCCAATGCTTTGGGCATTGTTGTTATTGTGTTGTTATGCTACAATGACATAATACAATATGTTGTAAATACAATATGTTATTATTACTGAGGGGAAATTATCTTCCAACACCCAGCACAGTGCCTGGCACACATCAGGTTTTAATTTTTTAAAAGATTATTTTTTAATGGCCGTGGAGTAGAGGCTGGGGAAAGATGCTTTTAGGCAAAGGGGGCTTCTGTCACTCCCCCAGACACAGATCACATTGATGAATATCTACACAGAAGCAGGGGTTCTGAATCTTTTTAACACCAAAGACCCTTCTGGCCACCTGGTGAAGCTGAAGATCCTTCTCAAGATGCGTTTTTTATTGTATAAAATGAAAAATACAGGGTTACCAAGATAATCAATTACATTGAAATAATTATCCAGATCTTCTAAAAAACAAACGTGTGATATAATCCTACACGTGCTTCTTTATTAACACATTAAAAACCAATATCTATCAGTATACCTAATAACAAATGCACTTTCAAAGCAGTGATGAATAAAAACTACATTTCAAAGTGTCTGCTTCTACTGTCATTACATAAAATATCTGTGACTTCTCTTGGTGACAAAGTCACAGGTCCTGCCAACACTACTGTGGCTGGTGCCTACATTCATTATTGAAGAAACAATGAATTCCAGTTAGAGATGAGTGAAAATAAAGATGTAACTTTCTTTAACCTAGTGCTCCCCTGAATTCCATGTGTTAAAGCAAACTAAATATGGCCTGAGAAGGACTCCGTACTTCTATATTTGAGTCCTTGTGGATGAACTGTAACCTAGCTTAATAGTCAGACAAAATTAAAAACCTAACTTAATAGTATGCGGCAGTAACAATGGCTGAGTGTTCGCCAATCCCAGCGGCCATACTTCAACCACTCATAGACTGCTGAATGTTCAAACTGCTCAAATAAGGCAAACGCCAAGCTGTAACCAATCTCACTGTTTCTGTACCTACTTCCGATTCCTGTACGTCACTTTACCTTTTTTGTCTATAAATTTGTTCTGACCACGAGGCACCCCTGGAGTCTTTGTGAATCTGCTGTGATTCTGGCAGCTGCCCGATTTGCGAATCATTCATTGCTCAATTAAACCCTTTTAAATTTAATTCGGCTGAAGTTTTTATCACATGCTTGGACCCCAGATCAACAACTCTTGAACTAGGCGTCCCTTTCCCCTTCCTCTGTTTCCAGTTCACCGTCATAGGGATGGATCCCCAGGGATGAGGCAAAGGCAGCCCCTCTTTGGCATACATCCCAAACTCCTTCTGAGGGGAGCCAGAGTCTAAGGTATCCCCCACTCCTAATCCTTTTGTTGCACTGAAGGATCCTCCTGACAGTTCTAGAAGCCCAGGCCTTGCTATGCCTCCAGGCCTGTCTGTTGTCCAAGGAGAATGTAATCACAGCCCCCATTAACTGAGCACTGACTATGTGCTGACTGTTACGCAAGGTGCCTTATGCTCATTAAAGCATTGAGCATACATTCCCACAAGGAGGCCCTGGTATTGCCAAGGGAAACTGAGGCTAAGAGGTTAAAGGTTCACTGAAATGCCCAAGGTGGTGAGCAGGGTTTGAATTCAGTTCTGATTACAACTCACCCTCTGAACCCTTCATGCTTTAAAACCACACCGAGTAAGATATTACGACAATTACAGTCTAAACTCAGCCACCGCCAGGGAGGGAAGTGAGTGTGAACCAGGAGCCAGGAGCCTCTCCAGACTCCCAGCGAAGTGACTACACAAGGCATCCCTGCCCAGTCAGCCTAAAGGGAGATGAGGGGATTTTAACTAGAGTTTCAGGGGAGAATGTTCTGAAAGAAAGGAATACAATAGCATCTTTGTAGTTGTAACAGGATCTTGGGCAGAGGGGTGGGGGTGGGGGGCCAGAATGTGGTAAGTAACTGTAAAAGCCAACTAGGTCCAGAGCCTGCAGACTGGCCAGGCTTGCCGGGAGGCTGGGAATGAGCACCCGTGCTATCCAGGAAGCAACCCTGCCAGCAGCCAGTCCCTGAGCTGGGGTCCAGGTCCCCCAGGAGGCATACACTGAGCCTCTATGTGGACAGACAACAGAGCCACTCTGTCCTTGAGAAAGAACCCTGTGTGTCCCACTCACTCTCCTTCCAGCACAGGCACAGACATCCAAATGTCCCATTCACTGGCCGTTACAGCCTCCAGCCCTCAAACTGCCTGCAGCCTCCACCTCCGCTGGGCCCAGGCACCCAGGCAGCATGACCGCAGCCCCCACCATAGTCTGGGCACAGCTTGAGCCTGGCTCCAGCCCCCGTACTCCATCAAACACCTCTGCTTCAGAGCCCAGGCAGCACCTCTGCAGCTGCTCTATGGCTATGCAAGTGTGTGAGGGTGTGTGAGTGTGTATGCAAGATTACCAGTGTGTGGGTGTGTATTTCATTGTGACACTGTGAATGTCAATGTAAGCATGTGGTTTATGTGTGTGTGAATAATATATCTAAGTGCATGGAGTGGGTAGATGTGTGTGTGTGTATATCTGCGTGACTCTGTAGAGGGTATGAATAGCAGAGATAACAGCAAGAAAAAGACCGATTGGCCAGGCGCAGTGCCTCATGCCTGTAATCCCAACACTTTAGGGGGCTGAAAGGGAAGAATCACTTGAGGCCAGGAGTTTGAGACCAGCCTGGGCAACAAAGTGAGACCTTGTCTCTACTGAAAATAAGAAAGAAAAAAGAAAGAAGGAAAAGGAGACTTATAGAAGAGAAGCCCCCAGGAGACTCCCAAGACCTCAGATGACATCCTTAAAAGAACTTTCCCCAGCCAGTGGCCTTGCCTGGCCCCCACCCCCACTGCTTCCACCTAGACAGGTCCAAGGGACTTCAGGGGTCCCCAGACCTCCTCTCAACAGGCTGGGGTGAAAAGAGTGAGATAACCGCACCCATCATTTGCATACATGCCCATAGTTCCCCCAGGCACAAGCCTCGAGCTCATTCAGGTTTGGGTCCGGCCCCTTACCCCACCATTTCCCAGCCACAAGAGCTCAGGCAAAGCATTTGGTTCCTCTGAGCCTTAGTTTCCTCATTAATAAAAAAGAGTGACACCTAGCTGACAGAGCAACACACCTGGCCTGCAGAACAACATGCCTGGAACACAGAACAACACTGCCAGGACTCAGAACATCACACGTGGGACTCTCAGAACATCAAACCTGGGACTCAGAGCTTCACACCTGGGATGCAGTCAATGACTGTCATTAAGTAGACAAGTAGGCTGCCCCCCATCCTCCCCAAGACTCGGAATTCCCGAGGGGCCTAGGGTATAGAGCGTGCTCATTCTCATCTCAATGCTCAAATGGAGGCCGGGCACATGGCAGGCAGATGCCTCTCTGATAAAAAAACTTAGTAAATGTGGGTTTCCTTTGTCCTCCCTTCTTCCACCACAGACAACCACCGCTGCTGTCCCAGAAGCAGGCAGAGAGCAGCACTCTGAGAAGCTGGTTGGGAGTTATCCCCAAGGGTGTATGCATAGGGACCCTTTTTTTTTTTTTTTTGAGACGGGGTCTCACTCTGTCACCCAGGCTGGAATGCAGTGACATGATCATAGCTCACTGCACCCTCGACCTCCTGGGCCCAAGCAATCCTCCCACCTCAGCCTCTTAAGTAGCTGGGACTATAGGCACACACCTTTTTAAACTTTTGTAGAGATAGGGTCTCTCTCTACATAAGTTTATGTTGCCCAACATAGACAAAAGTCTATGTTGCCCAGGCTGGTCTTGAACTCCTGAACCAAGGGATCCTCCCTCCTCAGCCTCCCAAAGTGCTGGAATTACAAGCATGAGCCACCACACCTGGCCCTGCACAGGGACTCTTGACCATGCAGACCTCCCAGCAGGTGCACCTGTCTATGCTGTGAGTCTAACGCTGGGAGCACCACACAGAGACTCCTCCAAAGAGACCCAAAAGAAAGCAGGTGGCCGGGCGCGGTGGCTCACGCCTGTAATCCCAGCACTTTGGGAGGCCGAGGCGGGCGGATCACGAGGTCAGGAGATCGAGACCATCCCGGCTAAAACGGTGAAACCCCGTCTCTACTAAAAATACAAAAAATTAGCCGGGCGTAGTGGCGGGCGCCTGTAGTCCCAGCTACTTGGGAGGCTGAGGCAGGAGAATGGCGTGAACCCGGGAGGCGGAGCTTGCAGTGAGCCGAGATCCCGCCACTGCACTCCAGCCTGGGCGACAGAGCGAGACTCCGTCTCAAAAAAAAAAAAAAAAAAAAAAAAAAAAAAAAAAAAAGAAAGCAGGTAGGATTTTCCATGATAAACAGGTATTGCTCTTACAATTTACAAAAGACAGAGATAAAACAATAGAGTTGCAAAACCCTAACAGGCCCAAAAGGAAAATTGAGGAAAACATTCCCCTATAATTAGGTCAGGAAAAGAAGCAGTGACAATATTCAAAAGAACAAGTTTCTAAGAATCCTACCTCAACTCTACATTCACCAAAAAGAAAGATCAACGGCATTCTGAACCCTAAAAGGGAAGTCCAGACAGACAGAATGGGACACCTAGAAGGAAGAGATTGCACAGACCTGGAGACAGAAAGCAAATGTGAGGACCCACCCCATCCATTAATGCACCTTTTCCCAGGCTCTGTAGGAAATGTGTTCCTTGCTCCTCCCTGCAACCCTCTCCCCCTATCGACGTTTCCCCCTTTCCTTCCACCTGGCCAGTAAGAGTTATCACATTATCCCTGGGCTGCAGTTCATTCATCTCCTTTGTAGATAAGAATGAAAGGGACTGCGGCTCCTGCACTTTTTGAAATTACGGCCCGCTAATGTTATGGTTTGACTGTATTTGGGTCTTCCCTTCCCATCTCAAAGATATCACCAAGCATTTAACAGCACTACAGTTACTTTTTAAATCCTTGCCAGAATATCTTGAGAATTTCCTAGTGCCCAGTGCATTGGAAGTCACCTCACAACACTGCTGCAAAGCCTGTCTGGCTAGAAGCAAGACTGGCCAGTGGAACCATTGGGTTTGTCCTGCTGATAATGCCTCCCCAGCAGGAGCACAGAGCTGACATTAGGGACAGCCCTGGAGCATGTGAAGCACAGAGAGGCAGTGGCAGTCAGCCCTCAGTCCATCCAGGCCAGCAGAAAACAGCACTGCTCTGCCAAAGGGCAACAACACTGACGAAACCCAGCTCAGAAGAGTGTGCCCCATGCAGCCCGGGAGCCCCGCTGCATGGCATGCTCACAAGCTGAAAGGGGCACCTGCCTGGCTCAGCACCATGCCTAGACGTGAAGGTTCTCCACAGAGCTGGTCTCGTTTGTCTCTGTGCCTTACTCTCTTCATCTCGCATCCCTGTGTCTCTGGGTCTGACTCTTCTCGTTTTTCTCTCCCTTTCTCTCTTCTAATCTTATCCCCTCTGCTGTTTTTGACCGGTTCTTTGGCTGATGGCATTTCTGGAAAAATCCCTACCCAACCTGGCTCTTATAGAACCATGAACCTGCTGCCCCAAGATGGGAGGATTTGAATCCTCCAGCTGGTTCTGGAAGAGGCTGTTTGCTCATTGCAAGCAAACACCCTCAAAAGCCAAACAAAAACTGCCCACAAGTAAACAGCATGTGATACAGCCCCTTCCCGCGGCCACTTAGCAGAATTCCAAGCTCATGGCAGGAGGAGAAGTTGGGCTAGGAAGGATGCAGCAGCCACAGCCCCTACCCACTCTCCAGCAGTGGTAGTCAGCTGGGCTGGAGGCCAGAAGGAAGGGAGCCAGGTGTCTACACTGGCTGGAGGAGAGCATCAGGGACCACAGGCAAGGTGGCTTGGGGGACATAAATAAACCCGTACACACAATTATTGTTGGAATTCTCTCTATCCTACCCCCATCCCTTTTTTTTTTTGAGCTAGAGTCTCGCTCTGTCGCCGAGGCTGGAGTGCAGTGGCTCAATCTCAGCTCACTGCAGCCTCTGCCTCCTGGATTCAAAGGACTCTCCTGCCTCAGCCTCCCAAGCAGCTGGGACTACAGGCACCCACCACCATGCCCAGCTAATTTTTGTATTTTCAGTAGAGATGGGGTTTCACCATGTTGGCCAGGCTGGTCTCAAACTCCTGACCTCAGGTGATCTGTCCACCTCAGCCTTCCAAAGTGCTGGGATTACAGGTGTGAGCCACCACACCCAGCCTCTCTCTATCCTACTCTTGTGATTATCAAGGCAATATGTACAAAATCAATTCAAAGGATTAAAGGGGAAGTATCCAACATTTCACCTTCACATTGCTCTTAAGAATATAACATAATAAGTGATTTTATAGAATTAAAATGATTAGTATCATTGTTAAGTTACTTCTATATATGATCATTTTGTGGGATATGATGAGGTTTCTCTTCATATAATCTGATCAATCTTTTATTCTTTAATTCATAGTACCCCCTCCCCCCACTTTTTTCTCCTTTTTTTCCTTTTTGCCTTTGTTAGGTGCCCAGGCACGCCACAGTACCAGGCTTTATCAGTACCAGCTCACGTTCCTTTCCTTATTTGGAAAGAGGACTAACTTTCTAGCTCATTACAGACACCCCTTCCCCTTCCTCTCCACTTTGTGTGCCCACCCTATCTAAAAAAAATCAAAATGTTTAGCCAACCAGGATTAGTTTAGATTGTATGACCCGACCCCGGCCAATGAGGAAAGGGTACAGGGGCAGGACTTGCATCAGGAATAAAGGCTCTCGTGCCCCTTTGTTCAGGTGTGCTCTCATGGCAACTGGCCAAGGAGGCACCCCTCTGCGCAGAAGTAAAATTGCTTTGTTAAGAATCCTTTGTTTGAGTGTTCAATTTCCTTAGGATTTTGAGCATTATTCCTAACAATTTCTAAGTGTGACTAGAAAAGAAACACCAAAAGCTAAATTTAAATGAAAATGAAGAGAAAGGAGGAAGGCCGACAGAGACCCATACATCCGGATGCCTGAACAAGAACCTGGAGTCACTCCTGACCTGTTCTCAGCCTCCACATCTGAGATTACCAAGGGCTGGAGGTTCTCCTGCCCAAACATCTCCCTACCTGCTCCTCTGGCCTGCTACAGAATCCATACCTCTATCCTGGCCCCCAGGATCACAATCCTTCTTCTCAGCCTCCAAAACCGCTCTCTAAAATGCAAACACAATCCCATCTCTCCAAGCTCAAAAGCCCTTCCATTGCCCCCTCTGCCCTAGGGACAATAACACAAACCCCTAGCTGGTGGGGCGAGCACCCACATCCAAGAGCCAGGCCCTGGCCCCAGCCCCATCTCCAGGAGGTTCCCCTGTGGTCCCAGCCCAGCTCCTTCCCAGCCAAATTTTAACAGCTCATTTTTGCCTCCAGGGGTTTTGCATGTGCTATTCCTTCTGCTAGAATGCCTTTCCCTCTTCTTTTTGTTATATATATATTTTAATTTACATACAGTAAACCTGAAACTTTTCTGTATCATTCTATGAGTTTTAACACATGTATTAGATTTGCATGTCCACCACCACAGTCAGGACACAACAGTTCCATCACTCCAGAATTCTCCTTTGTGCTGCCCCTTTGTAATCACAGCCTCTCTACCCCTAACCCCTGCAACCGCTGATCTGTTTTCCATCCCTATAGTTTTGCCTTTTCTAGAATGTCATTTAAAAGGAATACCACAGTATGTAACCCAGTAGGATTGGTTTCTCCCAGTCAGCATAATGCCTTTGACATCCCTCCACGTTGTTGCATGGATCTATGGTTCTTTTCTATTGCTGAGGAGTAGTCCACCGTATGGACATACCACAGTTTATCCAGTTACACTTGAGCAACATTTGGGTTGTTTCCAGTTTGGGGCAATTATACGTAAAGCTGTTATAAACATTTGCATCAGGTTTTTTTGTAGACATATGTTTTCATTCCTCCTGCATAAACACACAGGAATGGGATTGCTGGGATATATGGTAAGTGTATGTTTAACTTTTAAAAAACTAACAAACTGCTTTCTACTGTGTTTCCCACTTTCATGTATGAGAGTTCCTGTTGCTGGCATCCTGACCAATACTTGAGGTTGTCAGGGTGTTTTGCTTCACTTTTTAACTATTCTAACAGATGTACAGTGGCTTCTCCTTTCTTCCCTTGACAGAATCCAGATCCTCCTCAGATACTCCCTGTCCTGGAGGCTCCCTCTGCCCCACTCACTCCTCAGGTTGGGTCTATCCTTTCTCTATATCTTCAGCAGAATATTTGGCCCACAGGGCTGAAGCATTTCCTTGTGCTTCCCTCTCCCCTGAACCTACCACCTACCACCTGCTCCCCTGCCTCCGCCCACACACACACACACACACACACACACACACACACACACACGTATGCACAGGCAGCCTCAATAAACTGTGTACTCCTCAGAAGCAGGGTATGTATTTTTGATTTTTCTATTTTCTGCCCTACACAATGTCTGGCTTAAAGCAGACATTTTATAAATGAATGGATGAATGAATGAATGACAAGACGGCAGGGAGACAGAGGGAGCATTAACACACATTTACACATTGAATGTGAATCCTCCATTTGTGGCCTTCTTGATATGCCACTCAGGAATTCCAAAGTCACTTGGGAGTAAGACTCAGTCCCTGCCCATGGAGACACCCGTTCCTTCAGAACTTGTGAAGGCCTAGAAATCAGAGTGAGGCCCCTATAACCGAGTACCCCCATTTTTCTAAGACAAAGAGAATAAGTTATTTTTTTAATTATTTTTTCTTCTATCTTCCTCCTTTTCCCTCAATCCTTGCTTCCTACTTAGCTCTTTAGAAATGCAGTTAGAAGCTCTACCTTCCCTTCACCAAACACTCCCTATATGAAAAGCTTATCTAACTATGTGCTTACTTAGAAGCTCCAGAGCCTGAGCTACCTTCCACCAGGAGCTTGCCTCGAGAGATAACAGTCAATTTACAACCTAAAGTATGCCCACTCCAAAACTCTTTCCCACCTGGAGAGTATCTCAAGACAACGATGACCTTACAACCTAGCTCTGCCTGTGATGGTGCTAGCTCAACTCCCTGGTAGATAAGGCACCAAAGCAAGTCACGGAGACCCCCACCTGCTTGCTCACTCCCCTGCATGCCATTCATGCCAAGTATTCATTTAAAGGACCCTGCTTTCTGCTCTAAAGCAAAGCGGTACCCTTAAAGGCAGGAGCCTGTACCTCTTCCCCTAAGCTAAGCTTTAGAATAAAGTCACTTTCTTTATACTAGACCTTGCTCTTGTTAATTGGACTCTACAAGTGGTGAGTGACTGAATCTGCATTTCAGTTATACTCCTGCTGTTTCCTCACCCTTCACATCAGCCCTCATCCTGCTTTCCTTCCACTCTTAGCCTCCTTGACCCCAGGATTCACCAGATGCTATTATAAAGCACCTTCCATCTTCCACTCAGCTGGCAGTTCTGGAGCCACAGGCTGGACTCTGGGGAATAGGACCAGATCCCAGGCCACTCCCAAGAGTATGTGTGCATGCGTGAGTGTGTGTGTGCGTGCACATGTGTGTGTATGAGTATATGTGTGATGTGTGAAAGTCAGCGTGTGTGTGTGTGAGAGAGAGAGAAAGAGAGAGAGAGAGAGATAGGAAGTGAAATCCACATAAAGAAGGGCGGCCTGGGATTTTCCCACAATCATGGCTCCCTCTCATCCTCAATCTCAGGCCAAGTGGTCCTTCACACACAGGCCTGTGCAGACACATCCAGAAAATGAGGGATCACGCCCTAAACTCCCTAGGCAGAAACACTTTAGCAGTCACATCACAAGATGATCCAAGCAAAGACAGCCCCAGGTGACTCACAGCAACCATGCCTCAAAGAAAACTGATGCACTCTGTGTCTCTACTAGTACCTTAGGTGGGGAGCAGACATTGGGCCTCCCAGACCTATTGGAAGGATGTCGGCATCTTTGAGGCCAAGCTGAAGCATGTTTCTCTCACTAGTCCCTGAAACAACTAAGGAACTCATTTCTTTGTGAGGCCTGTTCCCACCACCCCCGACATCCCTGTTTTTTGGATCAACCTCTGTTTGGTATGGTTGGGGCCAGTAGATTCTTTAAAACACTCTGCTCCCTGCCCAGCCCTGCACAAAGCCTGGGTCAGGTATGCAGCAGGAGCTGCAAGTAAGGGCTGTACCCCAGAAGAGAGAGGGGATCAAATTTCCCACAGGCTCCATGGGCTGCATTTCAAGGTTCCAATACCAGTTTAACCTCTTCTTTAGCTAAGCCTGATGACTTCTGCGACTCATTCAGTGCAGAGGGACTCAATGAGGGGACCCCAGCAGTAGATTCCAAGGACCTGCGGCTGTTTGGGGAGCTACATTCTCATCCAGTCAGCAGCATTCTGCAAGGGAGACAGACTGGACGAACATCTGCAGGCTGGGTTTTCCTGCCTGATGAGAAGAGAGACTTAAAGAAGCAAGAAAACTACTTGAGGGTAAATTTCATCTATACTAGATCCTTACTTAGAGAAGAGTCCCAGAAGCATCCCCTTGACTGGTATTGAATGAAAGGCACCTGTGACTTCCTTACCATTTTAGACCCTAACAAAAAGCAAACCTATTTTTGTGGGTCGTTTGTAAAGCCCCCAATCTTACAGCACCTTTGAGACACCAAGTATTTTCACCTCCATGACTCCATTTGCTCCTCACAATGACTCATTTTACAGATAAGGGGCTAAGGTTCAGAGCAAGGCAGCGCTTACCCAGAGCCACACGGTGACCTAGCCCAGCACAAACCCCATTCTGACTGCAAACCCCAGGCCTTTCCTCTGCCACTCCAAGCCACACCACATCCCTCAATTCTATGATGGGGCTGTAGTGACTGTGACAGGACCTACATGGAGAGTGGAGGGGAAGAACTAGGAGACCCGGGCCCTAGCCTGGCTCTAAGTGACCCTAAAGAGGCCACATCCCTTTTCCAGCTTCAGCTACTTGTCCTCTGAGTCTTAACCTCCAGGGATTTTAGCTCTTGGTTCTCCCAAGGAGGACTGGCCCATGTGGGCTCCCCTGGGACTCCATTGCCCCCACTGCTGCCTGCCTGATGACCTGCCCACAGCACAGAGTGAAGACAGGCAAGAGGAAACTCCTCCCACAGCACGCTGGGCCCTGGGAGGGTAGTTACAGTAAGAGCTTGGATAGAGAAAGAGGCCGGAGCAATTCATTCTTGTGAATTTTTCTGATTTCCACTTAGCTGGGCACTCAGGTCCTCATTTCCATGGATAATGAGAAGCTGGCCACATGCCACTGAAATCAGCCCCAATCCTGAAGTGACCTAAATGTCCAAAAATGGGGAGATGATTATCAAAATCACGGTACTGAGCATTAAATGTATGGTTATAAAAGATTTTTCTAGAGATGTAGACATGGAAACGTGCTTTGATATAAACTGAAGTAAAACAAATCAGACTGCAAAATTCCATGTGTGGTGAAATCTCAGCTCTTTAAAATAATACTCAAAGAGAATAGGAAATATGCCAAAATGATAATCATGGTTCCTGTAGAAGTTGTGTATTTTTTCTCAAAAATCAGGAGGAAAACATTTTTTAATTGGCAGTAATAGTTTCAACTTTCTCTATCAATATTTTTCTTTTTTAATTTTTAACCCAACACATATATATCTGATTCTATCAATATTTTTCATCAAGTACAGAGTCCTTGGCAAACACCAAACCTCCCACCACCACTGCAAAGAAAGAAACTGACAAGTGTTCCAATCTTCGCTTTAGAAAAATACACACCAAGCCATGGCAATGACCCCTGACTCCTCAGGATAATCAAAAATGCCCCCGCAGATACTGCAGCTCAATGCTCTTTTCTTTTTTCTTTTTTTCAAAAGGACATTTAAGGATTCTATACTTTTATTTGTATACTTCTAACCCAGAGTTTCCCATCATACGTATCTTGGATCAATAATAGGATGGCATTAGGGAAATACTGAATAAAGGATACCGTATTCAAACAAGCTGGGCAAGTTCAAATCTCAGTGTAATGAATTAAAAGACAATACTCTGTGGAAGGACCCTCAAAGAGATATAGCATGTGATATATGTGATATCATATAATGGGAAATGATATAGCATCTATCATTTCCCAAAAACTATTTTAGGACTATCTCAAGGAATGACCACTCTGTGGACATAGGGATATCTTGGGAAGTGCAGCTTTGAGCCCCAGCTTTCTCCCGTTCTCTCAGCCTTCTTGCCCTGTGGTTCTCAGCCCTGGCAGCACACTGGGCTCACTTGCAGAGCCTGAAAACATCCCTTGGTCTGGGTCTCATCTGGATTTGGGCTGGGGGATGGGGGCAGCCTGAGTCAGGGCTGAGAACCACTTCTTCCCCACACCTTTTTAGTTGTTCATGCTAAGCACAGCTCAACACTAGAATTGAGATCCAATCTCAAAATTATTCACATATCACCCATTTTTGGAGCTAAATGGCACCTTGAATAACATCTAGTCCAATCTCTCATCTAACAGAAGAGGAAACTAAGGTCCTCAAAGGATTCCTAGCCCCCTGTCTCCTCCCATGCTGCTTCTAGCCAGTGCCAGGCTGCCCTGTGGTCTCTGGACCTCAAGACCCTTCATTCAGATGGAGAAGCAAAGGACAGCCTTCAGATCTCCAAGGCCATTTCACTGCCAGAGGATGACCATCAGGCCCCTCTCTCTGCAAGTGAACCCTGAGACAGTGAAATGTTGACACAAGTCCTCTTCCTAACACAATACCAGAACCCAGAGCCAGGGACGTGAAACCGGGAAGCTGCAATGACTCACAGAACGGGAAGCTTACGCTGGCAGTGGGGCAAACACACCAATGTTCCCCTAGGCAGCCTGAGCAGAAGGCAGGTACCATCTCTCCTCCAGGCACTCTGCTTCAGCCGCAGACCACAGAGCCTCTGCTACATTTGCCTTTAAAGCCAGGAGACTCCAGCATGCTAATGCCCCTCGGAGTGGATGGCTGTGGCCTGAGTTCTGGTAACACTCTTGCTCCTAAACAGGGAATTTGTAATAGGATATCTCCACACTTTTCGTTTCACATCCTGTACCCCCAATCATTCCCCCTTTTGAAGCTTAAGATTCCACTATTTCCTTCTCTTAGCAGCTTTGAGAAAAAACCTGAAGCTGGATAGGTGTTAGGAGGGGTGAAACATACACACACCCCTAGCCTCAAAGGTACCCTTCCCTGAGCCCCCAGCTCCTTATGACCAGCCCTCCACCTCTGTTCCAGCCACCTGCCAGGCCCCCCTGCACACAAAGGAGCTGTTCTCACAGAGACCCTCCATCCTACAGCGCAGTCTCTAGACAGCCTTCTAAACCCCAGGCCCAGCAAAACTCCCCACAAAGCATCTCCAGTGGGTTCCGATCTGCCTTCTGTGAGCTTGGAAGGAAAGGGAAGAGGCGAGCAGGCACGGAAGCAGCCAGGGGAGCCCAGTGAACTGCAGGAGCCCAGTTGGGGTTGCAGGGGTTTTCTGCTGCGGGAGAAGCAGAGCAACTAACCAGCGGCCGGGCCTGAGGGACGCCCCTTTCCTGGGGTTGCATGTGTCCTTTAGCTAAGCCGCCTGGGCCACATTCTCGATGGGTTTTTCTTTTCTGCCTGTTAGTGTCTGTGAAGTTGATCAATGGAAGGGCCACGTCCACAAGATCCTGGTTTCATCGTGACATCCCAGACCCACCAGTGCTTCCACATCTGCCCAACAGTCCTCCTGTCGGGGAGGTAGAGGAAGGCGGATTGGAACCTTACTAGAGCCAATTTAACTCAATGTTAATTTAGTTATTAAATGTTAATAAACGTTAGGACATTATTTTTAATATCAATACATAGCTAAATTAGAGAAGATAGTATAAAATTCACATGAACTTTGGAGAGTATTAAAATGACTTCAAAAGCATCTCATCAGAGGCTGCCGTGGGTTCCCCAGGGAACGCTCCCCTCTCCCTGCCTTGTGGATTGCATGAAGATTGCAGAGTTGCGAGTGGGTTACGGTTAGGTCAAGGAGTGCAGATTAGTAATAAAAGCCCCCTTATTACGGTCCGCCCCACTAAGAGCGGCAGGAAAGCCGATCGCCCCCAGCTCTGGTGCAGAAATGAAAGCCGCCGCCGCCCCATGCAACTTTCGGGGAACAACTCCGGCCTCGGGAGGCCGCGCAGGCTGCGCGCGCCCTGGGCCGCTGCGCGTTGACTGCAGCCACCTGTCCTGGTGATCGCCCCACCCTCCGCTCGCGCGTTCCTTCCCGCGAGTCCTACCATGTCCCCGGCGGTGCCCCGGCCGGCTCCTCGGCGCGCTCAGCCGGCTCGCAGACTCATCCCGCCTCCCCTTGGCCGCCCCCGGCGCCGTGGCTCGCCAGGCTTCCCAGGATGCGCGGCTACTCGGCTGGGGCGGGTTTCCCGGACTGAAGGTGCACACGTTCTCTGCAGCCAAGTGGCCCTGCGCCAACTCTCGGGAGATCGCTGCACACCGGGATACTCCGCGGGTGGGGAATACACGCCGGATCTACTGAGATCTACGGGGATCTGAGGGAGCCTACCCGCGGCCGCGAGCCTCTGCGGTCTACTCGGGACTTTTGCAGAGTTTGCAAAGTCCCTGCCGCGCGTCCCGGCCCAGCTTCCCCATTCCCCTGAAAGCGCGGGAGGGGGAAGCTCCCTTCACAATAAAAGCCCTGCCGGGGGCTCGGCCAGCCGCAGTCTTCTGGTCTTCTGGAGTAGGGGCCCAGGTGCTAGGAAGGAAAGGTCTACGCCCTGACTGCCCGCCTGACGGGTGATGCACCAAGGCTGGACGGTGAGGGACGCCTCTAAGGTGTGAGGGTGCTTGGTGAGTTCGCTGCAACTCAGCAATATGGCTGAGTGTTGCCCAAACTGCCACCCTCTCCTGCCAAGCAGGACAAGTCTTTTTCTTTACTGTCGCTTGTCAGAAGGACAAGTCTTTTTTTACTGTCACTTCTTCGCCTTGTTTGGGTTCAGTCCCCAAGAGGATTTGGAAGGAAAATCCGTTGACCACTAAGCTAATTAACAATGAAGAGTTTTTGTCCTTGAGAACTAATCACTGTTAAAGTCACTGAAGTAAGTGGCTGATACCTCTCTGCTTTGGATGCACAGACAGTGCCTTTGTGTCCCCTGAGTCACCTACTGCCAACAAAGGCACAGTCAGAGCAAGACCTGAGAGTCTATCCGTTCCCCGTTGGGGAATGTCCTGGGCTTAGGGGTTCTGTAGTCCCAAAATCAGGGCTAGCCCCACTATTAACAGCTGGATGACCATCGACCAGTCCCCAGACGTCTTTATGACTTGTGTCCCCCAGTGGCCCAATGTTTGGACCCCAGGATTATTAAGAGCCTGTAGACAATGGATGGAGGCGAGGCAGAGTCAGCAGTAGGGTGCTCTGAGAGAATTTGGGGGCCAGGCTGAAAAATTAGCCTCCAGTACTGAAACTAACAGGAAGCATCATTAGCTAGATGAAGACAGGCATCTTCCCAGCAGTCTCCTGCCCCAGAATGATCTGAGGTTATCACTGATGGCAGTGCTTCTAAAGGGAAGCAAAGATCCAGAGAGTCCCCTTAAATTGTGTATGTGTGTATGGGCAGGAGGAACAGATGAAGGGAAAGTATTCGGTCCTTAACATTCCAGATGCTTTCTGTACATTATTTCATTTAATAACCACAAACGATCCTAAAAGGAAAACTTTTGCAAATTAGGAAAGTCAGGATTAGGGAGGTGAAGTAACTTTCCTGAGACCAGATCGCCAGTAAACAGTTTAGCAAATCCAAGTCTATTTGCCAGAACATGAAACAAAGAGGAAGACTTGATATGGCAGGAACAGGAGGCAGGATGTAGCACTGCAAACTGCAGCTTGTCTGTGCATATGGACTACTGAAAGGACAGAGAGTTTGAGCCCTGGTTGGGAAATGAGGGAAGAGGGTGGAGGACAGTACAAACCATTCAGGGTTTTATTTAGATGTTTAGGGAGACGCTGTGATCTTTTGAGTCTCATTTTCTGACTGTGACCCCACACAAGATATATATTAAACATATATGTATAAATGTAACTAAAAGATTGTTTTATAAAACATTACTTCATGTGATGCACTCTGACATTTTCTATTCTATTCCAATTTTATGTATTTTTAATGATGGTCTCAAATCACTAACTTAGACAGGAAGAGAGTGCCCAGTATTTCCAGGATTACTGGAAGCAGAACTGTTTTTCAAAAGAAGCAGCTCCAATGACTCATGGAACACACTTGGGAAAAGCTGCTGCAGGATCTAGCCCAGCCAAATAAAATGTCACACAAGAACATGGCTAAGCTGTAAAGAATTGTTTGTTGTTATAGCATATCCTGGTCCATCCTAATAACATGAATAAAATTACTTTTAAGAAGAATTACTTGAAAAGAGTCATAAATCAGATTTTTGTCATTTCTCTGCTCAAAACCTACCAGAGGCTTCAAATCTCCTGCAGTGTAACATGCCACATCTTACAGGGGCCTACAAGTCCTTTCACACTTTGGCCCTCATTGGTTCTCTAACATTATCTCTGCACACTCTCTCTCACTGTGCTCCAGGACACACTCACCTTCTTATTGTCCCTTGCATATTACAGGCAAGATCCCACCTCAGGACCTTTGCACTTGTTATCCCTCTCCCTAGAATGCCCCAGATATCCCCATGGTTTGCTCCCTCATCTCCTTCAGGTCTTTGCCCAAGTGTCACCTCTTTAGTGAAGCCTTCTCTGACCACTCTATTTAAGATTGCACACTCCATTCCTCTTCAGTTCCACCTTGTAATTCTTTTTTTTTTTTTTTTTTTTTTTTGAGACGGAGTCTCGCTCTGTCGCCCAGGCCGGACTGCGGACTGCAGTGGCGCAATCTCGGCTCACTGCAAGCTCCGCTTCCCGGGTTCACGCCATTCTCCTGCCTCAGCCTCCCGAGTAGCTGGGACTACAGGCGCCCGCCACCGCGCCCGGCTAATTTTTTGTATTTTTAGTAGAGACGGGGTTTCACCTTGTTAGCCAGGATGGTCTCGATCTCCTGACCTCATGATCCACCTGCCTCGGCCTCCCAAAGTGCTGGGATTACAGGCGTGAGCCACCGCGCCTGGCCGCAACTTCTTGGAAGCTATATTAAAGGGTTTTAAATTTAGATAACCAGTAAATCCCTCCCTTCTAGGAAACAACACTTCATGTTTTGTTACTTTCCAAATTTTTGTTGACTGGTGGTTGGCTGCTCCCAGGTTGTTGGCAGAGCCTCTGGTTACACTGCAGACCTTGCAAGTAGGAAATACTCAACTCACTCCACTGGGACAGGTTGGTGCTAGAGAGGAATATTTTATTATTTTCATGACAGGGTGCTCCAGGTTCATTAGGAGTGAGTCTATCTTTCACCAGTTAGCAGATTTCCAACTTGCTCTAAGGACGTTTTAGGGTTTCTTATAAACTGGTACCCCAGGCAGCGGCCCAACAGGCCCACTCTCTAATAAGATTCCATGTCTAGCTCCATTCCAGACTTACTGAATCAAAATTTCCAAGGCTTGAGTGTCTTTATATTTTTTAAGCATAGCCAGGGCTGAGAACTGCTGAACGACGCAATTCCTCTTCCTTGGCTCCCATATCCAAATGGCCTTTCTAAATGATTCTGGAATCTTTCTCCTCCTCACGGCCAGTTCTTTGGCTCAAACTTTTGTCATCACTTACAGTACTCTCAGAAACTCAACTAGCATCTCAGGCTCTACTTTTGCTCTTTCCAATCCATCCTGCACATTACTGCCAAAACGTAAACATGGGCCTGCCACTGACCTGTTCCACATAACTCTCAGGATTAAGTGCAAATTCCTCAGCAGCATAGCTTTCAGACTCCTTCAAGGTTTGACCTCCGATTACTTCTTCAAGCCTTTTACACACTCATAAACCTCCTTCAGGGCAGTTTCCTCCATCTCAAAGCCTTTTCTTGACACATTCCTATTTCCAACCTGACATACCTCCCTGCACCAGTCCTCCCCATCCTGAAGGTCCAGCACAGCATGTCCCCTGAAGTTTCTCTGTTGCAAATATTATCTCCTGTGACTCTCACTTCCTAGAAGAAAAGACGATTCTGGGCCTTCTGTCTCCATCTTCCTGGTACCAAGTAGCTACTTGATAAATGCTTCTGAATAAAGGAATGAGACAGAGAAGACTGAGGTTCAAAACTGAATCTACCACTCACAAAGCATGGGTCCTCAGCAAAGCCACTTCCTCTCCACTGGTTCAGGTTCCTCATCTGACAGATAAGAACCATCATCCCAGCCCAGCCTAACTCCCTGGATTCCTGCAACCATGTAATGTGCTCATATAAGTTACAACATCCAAGTCAGGACTTTTCTCATGGTAAACTTTCAAAAACATTTATTGAATCCAAGAATGACGAATGAGAAAAAAACTTCTTTTGCAGCAGAGAATGTTAGCATCCAGTTTACATTCTTTTTTTTCATTCACTTAACTCGTATATTTCAAGGGGAAGCAGTATACTTGGCCAAAAAATTATATATTTCACAACCTCCCTTGCAAAAACGAACAGCCAATAAGAAGCAAATGGAAGTCATTGGTGGGGCCCACAGAAGCATTTGAAGGGGGCTGAGGTAACTTACATTATTGTTCAGCAAATATTTACTCCCTATATTAGTCTGTTTTCATGCTGTTGATAAAGACATACCCAAGACTGGGCAATTTACCAAAGAAAGAGGTTTAATGGACCTAGAATTCCACATGGCCTCACAATCGTGGCAGAAGGCAAGGAAGAGCAAGTCACGTCTTACATGGATGGCAGCAGGCAAAGAGAGAGAGAGCTTGTGCAGGGAAACTCCGCCTTACAAAGCCATCAGATCTCATGAGACTTATTCACTATCATGAAAACAGCATGGGAAATATCTGTTCCCATGATTCAATTACCTCCCATAGGGTCCCTCCCACAACATGTGGGAATTCAAGATGAGATTTGGGTGGGGACACAGCCAAACCATATTATTCTGCCCTGGCCCCTCCCAAATGTCATGTCCTTACATTTCAAAACCAATCATGCCTTTTCAACAGTCCCCCCAAAGTGTTAACTCATTTCAGCATTAACTCAAAAGTCCACAGTCCAATGTCTCATCTGAGACAAAACAAGTCCCTTCTGCCTATGAGCCTGTAAAATCAAAAGCAAGTTAGTTATTTCCTAGATACAATGGGGGTACAGGAATTGGGTAAATACAGCCATTCCAAATGGGAGAAATTGGCCAAAACAAAGGGGCTACAGGCCCCATGTAAATCTGAAATCCAGCAAGGAAGTCAAATCTTAAAGTTCCAAAATTATCTCCTTGACTCCATGTCTCACATCCAGGTCATGTTGACGCAAGAGGTGGGCTCCCGTGGCCTTGGGCAGCTCCATCCCTGTGGCTTTGCAGGGTATAGCCCACCTCCTGGCCACTTTCACAGGCTGGCATTGGGTGGTCTGCAGCTTTTCCAGGTTCACAATGCAAGCTATTGGTGAATCTACCATTCTGGGATCTGGAGGATTGTGGCCCTCTTCTCACAGCTCCATTAGGCAGTGCCCTAGTAGGGGTTCTGGGTGGGGGTTCACACCCCACATTTCCCTTCCACACTGCCCTGGCAGAGATTCTCAAAGAGGGCCCCACTCCTGCAGCAAACTTCTGCCTGGACATCCAGGCATTTCCATACATCCTCTGAAATCTAGGAGGAGGTTCCTGAACACCAATTTGTGACTTCTGTGTACTTGCAGGCTCAACACCACGTAGAAGCTGCCAAGGCTTGGGGCTTGCACCCACTGATGCCACAGCCCAAGCTCTATATTGGACCCTTTCAGCCATGGCTGGAACAGCTGGGATGCAGTGCACCGAGTCCCTAGGCTGCACACAGTATGGGAACCCTGAGCCCAGCCCACAAAACCACTTTTTCCTCCTAAGCCTCTGGGCCTGTGATGGGAGGGGTTGCTGTGAAGACCTCTGACATGCCCTGGTGACATTTTCTTCATTGTCTTGGGGATTAACATTCAGCTCCTCATTGCTTGTGCAAATTTCTGCAGCTGGCTTGACTTTTCCTCAGAAAATGGGATTTTCTTTTCTCTCCCATTATCAGGCTGCAAATTTTCCAAACTTTTATGCTCTGCATCCCTTATGAAACTGCCTTTAATAGCACCCAAGTCACCTCTTGAATGCTTTGCTGCTTAGAAATTTCTTCTGCCAGATACCCTAAATCATCTCTCTCAAGTTCAAAGTTCCACATATCTCTAGGGCAGGGGCAAAATGCTGCCAGTCTCTTTGCTAAAACATAACAAAAGTTACCTTTGCTCCAGTTCCCAAGAAGTTCCTCATCTCCATCTGAGACCACCTCAGCCTGGACCTTATTGTTCATATCTCTATCAGCATTTTGGGCAAAGCCATTCAACAAATCTCTAGGAAGTTCCAAACTTTCCCACATTTTCCTATCTTCTTCTGAGCCCTCTAAACTGTTCCAACCTCTTCCTGTTACCCAGGTCCAAAGCCACTTCCACATTTTCAGGTATCTTTTCAGCAGCACCCCACACTACTGGTACCAATTTAATGTATTAGTCCATTTTCACGCTGTTGATAAAGACATACCCAAGACTGGGAAGAAAAAGAGGTTTAATTGGACTTACAGTTCCACATGCCTGGGAAGGCCTCAGAATTATGGTGGGAGGCGAAAGGCACTTCTTACATGATGTCGGCAGGAGAAAATGAGAAGGATGCAAAAGTGGAACCCCCTGATAAAACCATCAGATCTCGTGAGACTATTCACTATCAGGAGGACAGCATGGGAACGACCTGCCTTCATGATTCAATTATCTTCCACAGGGTCCCTCCCACAACATGTGGGAATTGAAGATGAGATTTGGGTGGGGACACAGCCAAACCTTTTTACTCCCCTTCCCCCTGCTGTGAGCAGAACATATATCTTTACTGCACTGTTGTTGGGATTGGCCATGGACTAACTCTGACCAATAAGACGTGAGCAAACAGAAGCATTGTGTGTGCTTGTGCAGTATTGCTTGGCTTTGCATTCTGATGATGCATCATGTGAAGAACAAGCACAAAGGTAATTTGATCTTTTGAAATTAAAGTTGTATTCTAAATAAGTTACAGTCTTTAATAAAGAAATTGAAAAAAAATCCTGTTTATCTTGGCTGCCCTTTCCTGGTGACAGTTTTTGAAATTCTGAAATCATCTGCTAAAACTCAAGTCATTTTTTGCTGCATAAGTTTTTGAAACAACCTATGCATAACCATCGAACGACTCAGGTGTAGTCAGTTCATCCTTTGTCAGGCTCCTTGTTGGCCTCTTCAAAGAGCATCAAACAGTTTTGGAGAAACAGCATAGAAATGTGTTAACTATAATCTTTTCTCCATTCTCAACCTCAATATATTTCCAAATTGAAGAAGAACATTGTTATGGACTGCAACCCCGGGGAGCCCTCACCAAGACACTAACCCTGCTGTCACCTTGATTTTGGACTTCCAGTCTCCAAAACCATGAGAAAATAAATTTCTCTTGTGTCATGGGTGGGCAATGACTAGCTGGGCCCGTGGCATGGAGGGGGAAAAGAATTCACCAAGACAGTTGTAAATAAAGAAAGGCAGATTTGTTAGACAAAGTATAAAAATACATTCCAAGAAAGCAATGAGCAAATCAACATGAGAAGAGATGACTGCAAAGAAAAAGGGCTTGCTGGAGATTTTATAGAATAGTGTTTATGCTGAAGAGGGCTTTGTGCAGTACTGATTAACACCAAGGTTGCAGTGAGCTAACTTGCAGGTGTCTGGTGATCCTTGGGCACAAGAGGGCTACATGTCCTGGACCATGAAGAAAGGCAGGCTTATAGCTTATCCGCTTCTCTTTTGCTTTCCAGTCTTCTCTTTTTAAGCCATCCAGTCTATGGCATTTTGTTAAGGCAGCCCAAGCCTACTAAAACAGACATCCTTTTGTCCCACACTTGGAAAATATGATTTTATGGCAGGCCAACATTTTAATATCTTTTCTATGGCTGACAACAATGACAGCCACGTCTAAAGAGGTGTTTTCTACTTTTATAGAGTCAAAAATCTTATTAAGTGCTTCTGCAGGTTCTGAGGAATTTTTAAGAGGCCCAAAATTTTCATTATAAAAGGCTCAATGTCAGGTAAGCAAATTATATGCCTTTTTAGCAGTATTGTATATAAGATATGCAGGTTATTTAGTAGGTAAGGTGTTTTCATTTTTTTTCTTTTTTTGGTAAGAAATTTATAGACTGAATGGAATTTGCCAAAATTTATATTTGCACTGTCTGCTGAATAGGCAGATTGCTGAGTAAAGTCCAGTTTGTATTTGAACACAATACCAATTATCTTTTGTGTTTTCTGTAGTTTTATTAAGCTCTTAATAGAAATCAAGAAAATGATTTGAAACCTCCTTTTTCAAATCAAAGTACCTAACAGCTAGGGACAATATTTTTTGTTGCTATGATTTGACACATCACTTAATGTACGGTAGAAAGTATGATCAGTGGTAAGATCTGACAGAATCAGCTCTACACGCCAGGGGGCTAACACAGCAGTTTCCCCCTCTTTTGCCCACAGGACTTTTTAGTTGCAACTTCTATAATCAGGAAATAAAACCTTACTCAGTTTCATGGAGCAATCAAAGGAACAATAAAATAATGCATGTTTGTTCATTCATGTGGTAAGCCCAAGCTAATTCTGTGGCCTCTGTGTTCCACTGAGCATTGATGTCTTTTGGGCAAGAGAAGGGATAAGATACTTTTGATTGATTAAGAAGTATTTGAATTTCTTATCCTAGACTTGTGAGATTCAGTCTCATCTGCATTTTTGTATCTCCTTCTCCACCATGCCCAATCCCAAATTCTTTTCATAATAGGGTGCAGTATACTTTGTTTCCGTTATTCACCTCCCTGATCTGGCTGGATGTGTCTTTCCATCTATCATTAAAATAAGTTATTTAGTCTTTTCTTTGCAGTGATATCTGGGTCATGCTGGCAATAGTATAATAATAGTTCTTATTTTCAATATCTGAACTCTTAGAAAACATAGTCATAATATTCACAATGTTAAAAATTAATCCAGCACTATCTCAATACAAAGTTCAACAGCTGATCCACAGTCAAAATAAAAAACAGACTGTTAACACTCACAATTACAACACACTTAAGATGGACCCTTAAATCACATCACTTGGAGTGAAGCTATAATGAATATTCCATTATTGTGAACCACAAATCATGGTTGTCAACATCAGTGGTCAAGGGAAAAATAAGCAAGAGCAACTACAAAAGGCAGATAATCTATACCTTATCCATTTGACACTAAAACTAGTATTGCTTTCAGCCCCTATTTTTTGGGCAGCAATGTGGTTTATGTACTTTTCCCCCAGTCTTCCCCAACCAGCACCAAAAACTGGAACTTTTCATGTCCCAAGCAGGGGTTCCTGGGACGTGGAACTTTCAATGCTAAACTGGAACAGTACTGAGCAAACCAGGACAGTTGGTCACCCTAGATTAAAGGAAGCCCACTGGATATATCAGTCATATCCACTTTCAGAACAGATGGATTCAACTAGCAACTGATACATTTACTGAGCATCCACAATGTACCACATTTACTGAGCATCCACAATGTACCAAGTATAGTGCAAGGTATTTTCATGTACATTTAATTTTTTTAAATATTTATAACAGCCCCATGAAGTAGCTATTACATTTTCCGTTTTATTATATTCTCCCTTTTATAGATGGATAAACTGAGGCTAAAAATACAGACTCCATCACTTATGGACTTGGGGAAAGAGGAAAATTGATTTTTGTCCTTCCCTTGGCTAGAGAGGAATTATATCTGAGTCAACCAAAGATCAGACACACTGGCAAGGAGGAGCAAACTGGAGAACTCTAAGGAAAAGACAGCAAATTATAGGGGGATGAATTAGGGCCTGCTAATCCCACTATTCTTTACTGCCTCCTGGGCACTTTTTTGTTCCTGGAAGATTGGGACCTTGTTTGATTAAGAGTTGCGAAGGTGGGCGGATCACAATGTCAGGAGTTCAAGACCAGCCTGACCAATATGGTGAAACCCTGTCTCTACTAAAAATACAAAAATTAGCCGAGCTTGGTGGCGGGCGCCTGTAATCCCAGCTACTCGGGAGGCTGAGGCAGGAGAATCACTTGAACCTGGGAGGTGGAGCAGAAGTTGTAATGAGCCGAGATTGCACCATTGCACTCCAGCCCAAGAGACAGCGTAAAAGACTCCGTCAAAAAAAAAAAAAAAATTGCATCCCTTATGCAGTTGCTCTTAAACTTTTTTCCTGATGACAAACAAGAGAAAATTCAGATCCCAAGGCACATGACCATTATCTCACAGCTAGCATGAAATTTTTTCACCCCAATCCACTATATACATGTGTAATTAATGTTAAAATAATTAAATTATTATTTAAATGTTTTAAATACATTTCTGACATTGTGTTTCAAAATCTTATGTCTAAAATTACTGTTTCAGAAGGCTGTACTGTGGGCAAGCCATTTACCATTTATAAGCTTCTTATCAAAGAAAATACAAAATTTCTCTCTCCACCTTTTCAAGCAATAAAAAGAATTCAGATAAAACATATTATTTAAGCTTATTACTTATTTATAACTGAAGAGTATAAATAATTGTATTTTTTCTGGAATTCTAACGCTAGTTCTCACTTGCAAAACAGTCACAGCATAACCAGAAAAGATATATCACATGTAAAGACTAATTCGCTTGCCAAGCCCAAAGAGTTATTAGTATCTCATTTTCATACCTATTTATCTTGTGTTCCAAGTGCAGGCAACTAGGTAAGTATTATTTCCGTGAATATAAAGATTTATTATCTCCTCACCACTACAGATCTTACAGACACTGTAATAGTCTAACTCCACTATTGACGTTTGAGAGCCAACATTTTTGATTCCCACCTCTCCTTCCCTCTTACCCTCTTGCCCACACCTGGACAAGCCTATTAGAACGCCTGTGGGCTTCCTCCGTTGGTGCTAGCAGCAAGTTCAAACCATGTAAGCCCCTGCAGGCACACTGGGAACCCTCACCCCATAACCACAATTAAACTTCAAGCCACCTTGTTCTCTTAACCTACTTTCAGACTGGCTTGGGTGCCTGCCCTGCCCTCCCCAGAAAGAATATTTAAGTAAAAATTCCCTCATATCCTCTTTGTACATGTGTGGCACCATCACTTTTGATACCCAATCCAATTTTGGATACATGGGTGGGTAGACGGTGCCATCCCACCTGGCAGAGTGATTACAACAGACATTAAAAACATAAAAAGATATTATGAACAACTTCATGCCAATAAATTTGATGTTTAGGTGAAATGAACAAATTCTTTGAAAAACACAACTTACCAAAAGTAGCAAAAGAATAATAGAAAATTTGAATATAATTAAAGATATTGAATTCATAATTAAAAGCTTTCCCACAAAGAAAACTCTAGTCCCAGGTGGCTTCTCTGGTTAATTCTCCCAAATATTTAAGAAAAAAAAAATACAAACCTTATCAGAGGACTAAAGAAAAGTAGGAACACTTCCCAATTCATTTGATGAGGCCCTGATACCAAAACCTAACAATAACATTACAAGGAGGAAAAATTATAAGTCCTTATCTCTCAGGAACATAGACACAAAAGTCTTAAAACAAAATATGAACAAATAAATCCAGCAATATGTATACACACACATATATGTAGACATGATATATATTGTAATATAATCATTAACAAGCAGAGTTTATTCCAAGAATAAAAGTATCATCAATGTAATTCACCATATTAATAGAATAAAAGAGAAAAATACCCTTTTAATAGATTTTGATAAAATTCAAAACTCATTCACAATAAAAAAGAAAAAATTCTCATCAGACTAAAAACAAGAGGGCACCAGCTTAATCTGCTATAGAGTTTCTGTAAAGAACCTACAGCTAGCATTACACTTATTGGTAAAATACTGAACTCTTTCTCTTGAGTTTGGGGCTAAGACAAGAATCCAGTATCACTTCTACTCAAGGTTTTACTGAAGAGCTTAGTCAATGTAAAAGTAAGAACAAGAAATAAAAGATATAGAAGTCAGTAAGGAAAAATAAATATATCATTATTCATATAAATATTATTTTCTACATAAAAATGCAAAATTACCTATAAGCTAATAGAAAAAATAAATGAAGTTATCAAGGTCACTGGATACAAAGTCAATATATAAAATCTATTGTATTTCTATATACTAGCAATAAAAATTTGAAAATAAAATGTAAAAAGTTCATTACAATAATATTAACAACATCAAATATTCAGAAATAGTGAAATATGTTCAAGATCTCTACACTGAAAATTAAAAAAGCTTTCTGACAAATTAAAGAAGGTCTAAATAAAGAAATTATATAGCAAATGTATGGATAGGAAGACTCCGTATTAAAAAGATATCAATTGTCTGTCAAACTGATCTGTAAATTCAATCCTAATAAGTTTACATCAAAATTAACAAAATGATTCCAAAATTTTACATCAAAATGAAAATGACCTAGAATATCTAAGATAATCTTGAGGAATAGCAAATTTGGAGGACCTATAATATCAAGACTTATAAAGCTTCTGTAATTAAGAGAGTGTGGGCCAAGTGTGGTGGCCCACACCTGTAATCCCAGCACTTTGGGAGGCCAAGGCAGGCAGATCGCTTGAGTGCAGGAGTTTGAGGCCAGCCTAGAAAACATGGCAAAACCCCATCTCAACAAAAAACACATATAAATTAGCTGAGCATGGTGGCACAGATCTGTAATACCAGCTATTCCAGGGGCTGAGGCAGGAGGATTGCTTGAGCCAGGGAGGCAGATGGTGCAGTGAGCCAAGATCACACACCACTGCACTCCAGCCTGCGTGACAGAGTGGGACCCTGTCTCAAACAAACAAACAAAGCGAGTGTACTATTGACACAGAATAAAGAGACCAAAAAAGATAATAGAGAGTCCAGAAATAGGCCAGCATATATATAGTCAATGGGAAAATTATAATCTTTCAAAAATTACGATAGACCAATGGGAAAAATATGAACTTTGTCCACCCCCTAGCACCATAAATAAAAATTAAATTGAGGCAAATCATAGACATAAGTGTAAAAAGTAAAATGATAGTGCTTATGGAAGAAAACACAGGCAAACAGCTTTATGACCCTGCTGTAGGCAAAGGTTTCTTAAATAGGACACAAAAAGCACTAATCAGAAAAGATTGCTAAATTTGGTCAAGCACGGTGGCTCACGCCTGTAATTCCAGCACTTTGGGAAACCGAGGCGGATCACCTGAGGTCAGGAGTTCACAACCAGCCTCTACTAAAAATACAAAAATTAGCTAGGCATGGTGGCGGGTGCCTGTAGTCCCAGCTACACCAAAGGCTGAGGCATGAAAATCACTTGAACCCAGGAGGCAGAGGTTGTAGTGAGCCCAGATGGCGTCACTGCAATCGAGCCTGGGCGACACAGAGAAACTCTGTACCAAAAAAAAAAAAAAGGAAACAGAAAGAAAAGACTGCTAAATTAAACTTCATTAAAATAAATAGTTTTTTTCTGCATCAAAAGACACTATTAATTAGGAGAGTGAGGAGGCAAGCCACAGACTGGCATATTCACAGTATGTATTCACAGATTTTATCCAGAATATGTTAAAAAGTTCAAATCATTTTTTTTTAAAGACAATCAGCTCCATGGGGGAAAAAGGGGTGCCAAAAATTTGAACAGGCATGTCATATACAGAATATCCAAATGGCCAATAAGCATTAAAAAACAGTACTCAACATCATTAGTCATTAGGCAAATATAAATGAAAACTAAAATGAGTTACCACTATATCCCTACCAGAATGGTTGATACTAAAATGACTAATGAGAAGGAGAATGTGGAGCAATTAAAAACTCTCAAACATTGCTAGGGACAGTATAAATCATTACAACAGGCATACTTCAGAGATACTGCAGGTTCAGTTCCAGACCACTGCAATAAAGCGAACAGCACAATGCAGTTATGTTTACACCATAGTGTAGTTTATTAAATGTGCAATAGTATTATGTCTAAAATATTATAGGTTGGCACCATTAAAAGTAATGATAAAAACCGGAATTACTTTTGCACCAACCTAATAACAATGTATAACCTTAATTGTAAAATGCTTTATGGATAAAAATGCTAATGATCATCTGAGACTCCAACGAGTCATAATCTTTTGCTGGTGGAAGGTCTTGCCTCAATGTTGATGGCTGCTGACGATCAGGGTGGTGGTTGCTGAGGTTGGCATGGCTGTAGCAATTTCTTAAAATAAGACAACTATGAAGTTTGCCACATTGATTGATTCTTCCTTTCATAAAAGGTTTCTCTGTAGCATGCAATGCTGTTGGATAGCATTTTACCCACAGTAGAACTTTTTCAAAATTGGAGGAGATTCTGTTTCAAGAAACCACTTTCTTTGCTCATCCATAAGAAGCTACTTCTTATCTATTCAAGTTCAATCATGAGATTGTAGCAATTCAGTCACATCTTCAGGGTCTACTTCTATTTCTCCATTTCCTCCACATCTGCAGTGACTTCCTCCATTGAAGGCTTGAGTCCCTGCAAAATCATCCATGAGGGTTGGAATCAACGTCTTCCGAACTCTTCTTAATGTTGATATTTTGACCTCCTCCCACGAATCACGAATGTTCTTAATGACATCTAGAACGGTGAATCCTTTCTAGGAGGTTTTCAATTTACTTTGTCCAAATCCATCAGAGGAATCACCGTCTATGGCAGCTATGGTCCTACAAAATGTATGTCTGAAATAATAAGACTTGAAAGTTGAAATTACTCCTTGGTCCAGGGGCTGCAGAATGGATGTTTTGTCAGCAGGCATGAAAACAACATGAATTCATCTCCTTGTGCATCTCCATCAGAGCTCCCGGGTGACTAGGTGCATTGTCAATAAGCAATAATATTTTGAAAGAAATCTTTTTTTTCTGAGTAATAGATATCAAAATAGGCTTAAAATATTCAGTAAAACAATATTCAGTAAACAGATGTACTGTCATCTAGCTGTTGTTCCATTTATAGAGCACAGGCAGAGCAGATTTCACTTAATTCTGAAGGGCCCTAGGATTTTTTTTGAATAGGAAATGAGCATTGGTTTCAACTTAAAGTCACCTGCTGCATCAGCTCATTAAGAGAGTCAGCCTGCACTTCGAAGCTTTGAAGCTAGACACTGACTTCTCCTTTCTAGCTATGAAAGTCCTCTTCTTCCAACATAAGGTTGTATCATCTGCATTGAAAATCTGTTGTTTAGTGTAGACATCTTCATCAATTATCTTAGCTAGATCTAGATAACCTGCTGCAGTTTCTCTGTCAGCACTTGCTGCTTCATCTTGCTCTTTTATGTTATGAAGGCAGCTTTGTTCCTTAAACCTCACAAACCAACCTCCGCTAGCTTCAAACTGTTCTTCTGCAGCTTCCTCATCTCTCAGCCTTCATAGAACTGGAGAGAGTTAGGATCTTGCTCTGGATTCGGCTTTGGCTTAAGGGAATGTTGTGTCTCGTTTAATCCTCTATCCAGACCACTAAAAGTTATTTCACTTTCGTGAATTCACTAGGGTAGCACTTCTAATTTCCTTCAAGAACTTTTCCTTTGCATTCACAAATTGGCTGTTTGGGGCAAGGGGCTCAACTTTTGGCCTGTCTTGACTTTTCACATGCCATCTTCACTAAGCTTAATCATTTCTAGCTTTTAATTAAAAGTAAGAGATGTGTGACTCTTCCTTTCACCTGAACACTTAGAGGCCATTTTATAGTTATTAGTTGGCCTAATTTAAATATTATTAAGGTCTGAGGAGTGGGAGGGTGATGGAGAAAATGGCTGCTTCCTGGAGCAGTCAGAACACACCCAACATTTATTGAGTAACTTTGCCGTCTTATATGGATGAGGGTCATGGTGCTCCAAAACTATTACAATACTAACAACTAAGATCATTGATCACAGATTGCTATAACAGATGTAATAACAATGAAGGACTTTAAAATATTGCAAGAATTACCAAAATGTGATACAGAGATATGAAGTGAGAAGATGATGTTGGAAAAACGGCGCTGATAGGCTTGCTCAATGCAGGTTTGTCATAAACCTTCAATATGTAAAAAATGCAATTGCCTACCCTATAACAGTTCCATTCCCATATATATGTATGTGTATATTACGTATGTGTATATTATGACCAAAAAAAGTGTGTATTACGACCAAATTAATTATGCTAGTCTCAAGCTTGCTTTTTCATACAGGCTATATATTTACATATATACAAATACATATATATGTGAATGGAATTGTTTTATTATAGGGTAGGCATATGTTTAGCATACATATACATATATTATGTATATGTATCTATTTACATATACATATGTAAATAGATACATATACATAATATATCTCTCTCCAAAAAGGAGTACTGAATAAGTTATCCCAAAGGCATATAAAAGGATGTTCATACTAGCTTTATTCACAATAGTCCCAAACCTAAAACCAACCAAATATCCATCAACTTGTGGTATATTCAGTCAATGGAAGAGTATTCAGCAATTTTAAAAAGCCTCTGCTGCATACAACATGGATAAATCTCACAGATATATTGTGGTGAAAGCATCTAAACATAAAAGAGTACATATTAAATGATTTTATTTATATGTAGAATAGATAACACTAACCTATAGTAATATAAATCATAATGATATCTAACCCTTGGGAGGAGACTGACTGTAAGAAAACTTGAGGAAGCCTTCTATGCTACCTTGATCTGGGTGGAGGGTACAATAAATCTCAATATTTGCCTCTGCTAAAGACTACCTTGCTAGTCTCAAGCTTGCTTTTTCTCACTTAACAATATATTGTGACCATTTACATGTCAGCAAAGATATCTTTCATTAATATTAAGTTGTTGGCGTCTTTTTTCTTTTCTTTTTTTGTGATGGGGTCTCATTCTGTAGCCTGCACTCTGCACTGGAGTGCAGTGGCGCCATCATGGCTCACTGCAGCCTCAAACTCCTGGGCTCAAGCGACCCTCTCACCTTAGCCTCCTGAGTAGCTTGGACTACAGGTGCATGCCACCACAACTGGCTAATTTTGTTTTTTAGAGACAGGGTCTTGCCATGTTGCCCAGGTTAGTCTTAAACTCTTAGCCTCAAGCTATCCTCCCCCCTTTGCCTCTCAAAGTGCTGGGATTACAGGCGTGAGCTGCCGTACATAGCTGGACATCTTTTTTTTTTATTAAACGTACTTTCAGGAATCTTATTCTCCAAAGTAAGTTATAAATGCTACAGTGGCAGGGGCTCCATCTTACAAATCCCATGAATAAAGGGAACTTGGAGCTGTGGAAACAGTCCTGGGTTTAAAGCTGAATTTTGCCCCTTTGCCTGTGCAACCTTGGACAAATTACACACCTTCTCCAGGTTCAGTTTCCACATCTATTTTTTTTTTTAAATCGGGACAACGCTTACACATGAAGTTGTTAGAAAGTTTTAAATAGGCAATGAATGTAAGGAGCTCAACACCTAGTAGGTTCTCATCAACTGATAGCTCCATTCTCTTCCATCCTCACCAAGCCTTGCTCATAGAGCCCTCAATAAAGCTGTGATTATTTTCTTACTTTGCTCCTGTATCCAAGCACCAGGGTAGAGAATGAATGAAGGGCAGTATCAGCTCAACAGTCTTCCTAATACCAATCATTTCTTCTCAAGGTCAAGAGCTTGTTTTTAACTTGCTTTTAACAAGAGCTTGTTTTTAATTTGGTTTAATTGACCACATCATTTGAGATTTGAAGATGAATCCTGAGAACTCATAGTAATGGGTTCCTTGATTCCTCTCACCGGTCATGGCCAGCAATCCCATCAGCAGGAATAAAAGGGAAGAAATGCACTGAGCTCTAAGCCTGGCAGGCAGTGTTTGACACATCCAGGCTGATCCCAGAATCAACGGTACAAGAAAGAAATATTTTAAATAACGAGAATTTGAAGAAGCAAATAGCACCACCAAGTGGCCAACATTCCATATGGAAGTTGTTCCATGCCCAGATTCAGCCGTGAGTCTTTCCTAGCTACTGTATAATGTCTTGGCTTCACAGGGGTGGAGAGAGAAATAAGATAAATAAAGGGCAGTGAACACAGTTGATCCCTCCATCTGTTCCTCAACAAGATCTGTGAATATGTGCCCACTGTGTTTTGGGCCTCCTAACTTCATAATCAGGCTCTAATTCAACCTCTTGCCATGGCATTTTATAGACTTTAACCTGCACAAACCCCACCCTACTCCTATTTACTGCCAGCTGAACTCTCAATGTGGGATTTATAAAAATATATTTCTTGTCACAGTTCCTGTCTTCTACCATATATGGCTGCCTATCTACTTAGGGGTTTTCCTGAACAATATGAGGACAGTTTGTTCAAAGATGTAATCTTAGCACCAAACATGATGCTTGGCATGGAGAATGAGCTTAATAAATGTTTTTGAGCAAACTAATATAAAAGTGATTCAACTGTCCAATATATGATATATCCACTGACTTCAGAAATCATTTCACTCACTCGATTCAATACATATTAAGTACCTCCTATGTGCCAATAATTGTGTATGGGGCTAGGGTGACAAAGATGACTAGAACACCAGTCCTCTGCCCGCAAGTATCTCTAGGTGGGCAACAGACAGTCATGAACATGAATAATATAACCAGAGCTATGAGAAAGGAGTTAGCAGGCTTCTCTTGATACCTGGAGGAGAAAGAGGAATTCAACTTGCCTGAGTTGATGAGCTAAGGCCTCCAGGGCTTCTGAGCCAAAAGAGTGTTTAGGATGAGTAGTTCTCCAGATGGACTATAAATGGGGGGTTGGGGAGAGGAATTCTAGCCAAAGAGAACAGGATGCTGTGCATGGAGTCTGAGCAGGGTCACCTCTGGACTTCACAGAGCAAGAAGCTGAGCTTTCTGTTGTGTTTGAGGGATACAAAATACCCATCTTCACAAGGGTAGCATTTGAGGGTATTGTGGGAAGCAATAGGGGAAAGCCCTCAAAACTTTCTCTGCAAAAGTAATAATTTCCTTTTTGTCAACCAGGAATATTTGAAAACATTTCAAAATAACAACCTCTCTTTTTTCTCCCTGGTAATCCTTTGGCAACTCTGCTTTCCTGATCCCTTGTCTGTTTCTCTCCTCTCTCCTTTCTCCCCAACTTGTTACCTTTCCCCTACCCAGTCTCAGAATCCCTGCAAGAATCCATAGGAACCACTGCTGTCCCAGGTTAGGAGAAAAAATTAAAAATGGATCTTGAGCACGACATTTCAGGACCACAGACAGTGGCATGAAGCCTACCCATCCACTGACATTTCAGTCATGCCAGCTCCAACTCATTAGGCCCTCTGCAGACTCGAAAACATGGCCTCCAAGTTTACCAAGCAAACAAGGAAACACGGACACATCCAGAAGCAATAGGAGAGGTTAAAATAACGATAGAACAAACAGACAAATATTAGTCGAGGTATAAGAGATTTGAAGAATATAAAACAAAGTTGGCCTGATGGATCTTTATAGAATACTGCAACCAAAAATTGCAAAATATATATGTTGTTTTAAAGTATGGAACATTTCTTAAAATTAAGTGTCCATTGTACAGTCGCAACATATTTCAAAGGACTGAAATCATAAGAGTATATTATTTTAAAAGTATTCAGCCAAGCTAGAAATCAGTTACAAAAAATAACTAGAAAATCCTCATGTATTTTGAAATTAAGAAATACACTTTTAAATAACAAATGGATCAAAGAATATATTCATAATATAAATTAGAAAATTTTTGGAACTGAATGAAAATGAAGATAGCAACATTTGGAGATGCAGACAAAGTAGTAAATACAGAGAAGTTTACAGCCTAAACTCATATATTAAAAAATAAAAAGGTGGAAAACTAAACAGTTAAACACTAGCCCAAGTTAGAAAAAGAAAAGCAAAAACAAAGGATAGAAGGAAGAAGTTAGTAAAGATGAGAGCAAAAATTAATAAAAGGGAAAACAAACATACAATAAAGAAGATTAAAGTTAAATTTAAAGTCCTTTGAAAAGACAAATAGCATGGATAAACTTCTAGTGAGATTGATCAAGAAAAATGAGAGGTCACAAATAACCTCTTTTTCATGAATGAAAAAGACATAAGTGCAGATTCTATAATAATTAAAAATAAAATAATATGAATAACTTTACGCCACTACATTTACAAGTTTAACAGGAAATGAAAATTTTTTCAGAAAAATACAACAGAAAGAAAATTTTTAAAATCTGAAATCTTCCTATGAAATAGACTGCATCTGTAATTAAAATCTTCCTGCAAAGAAATCTCCACGCCCAGAAGCATTCAATTGGGCTTCCACAAAATTAATATGGAAAAAACAATGCCAATGTTACATAAAGTCTTCCAGAGAATGAAAGAAAAAGGTATATCCTCCCCAACTCATTGTATGAGGCTATCACAATCTTGATAGCACAAAACCCGATGAGGACAGTATAAAAAGAAAATTTAGAGCCCAATATCATTCGCGAGCATGGATGCCAAAATAGTCTATACTATACAATATAGTATACATATTTGTTACGAAGGTAACAAAATTTGGAGATGCAGGTAAAGTAGTAAATACAGGGAAGTTTGCTGTATAATACTATATAGTATACATATTTACAAATAGTAAATCAAACATCAAATTTTAAAAAGGGGAGAGGGAGCTAATATATCATTACAAATATTAGTTTATTTCAGGGATGAAAGATTTAACATAACAAATCAATCAATGTAATTGGCTACATTAATAGATTAAAGGATAAAAATCCTATGTTCATCGCAATAGATTTCAAAAGAGCATCTGATAAAATTCAGCCTTCTTTTCTTTCCTAATTATAAATTAAGGAAAAAACCTTACTGGCTGGGCACAGTGGATCACACCTCTAATCCCAGCACTTTGGGAGGCCAAGGAGGAAGGATCGCTTGGGCTCAGGAGTTCAAGACCAACCTGGACAACAAACATAGTGAGACTTCATCTCTACTAAAAATAAAAAAAAAATTAGCTGGGCATGGTGACACGTATCTATAGTTCCAACTTTTGGGAGACTGGGGCAGGAGGACTGCTTGAGCCTGGGAGACTGAAGCTGCAGTGATCTGTGATTGTACCACTGCACTCTAGCCTGGGCTACAGAATAAGACTCTGTCTCAAAAAAAAAAGAAAGAAAAGAAGAGAGAAAAGAGAAGGAAAGAAAAGAGAAGGAAGGAAGGAAAGAAAAGAAAGGAAAAAACCTTGCTAAAACTAGAAACAGAGGGATTCCCCTTCATCTCATAAAGAATATCTATTAAAAGTTACAGTAGGGCTGGGGGAGGGAGAGCATTAGGAGAAATACCTAATGTAAAAGTGACGAGTTGATGGGTGCAGCAAACCAACATGGCACATGTGTACCTATGTATCAAACCTGCATGTTGTGCACATGTATCCTAGAACTTAAAGTATAATAATAATAATAAAAGTTACAGTAAAGATCATACTTAATAATGAAATTATTGAGATTGGGAATAAGGCAAGAAAGCCCACTATCATCACTGCTATTCAACACGGTACCAGAGGTTCTAGCTAGTTTAATAAGAGAAATAAATAAAAAGTATGAGGATTTAAAAGACAGAAACAAAACTGTGATTATTTACAAATGATGTAAGTCTAAAGTAATCTACAAATTAATTATGAGAATTAGTAGTTTAGTAAGATAAATGGATATAAACTCAATATAAAAATGCCAATTATATTTCTACATTAACACTGGCCAAATTAAATTTTTAAAAATCCACTTTATTTTCTGTCACTGCCATAACAAATTATAACAAACTTATTGCTTTAAAAATGTTTTAAATGTATAGACAAATTTATCATCTTACAGTTCAATAAATTAGAAGTCTGACACAGGTATCATCAGGCTAAAATCAAGGTATAAGCAGGGCTGTATTGATCTCTGGAGCCTCTAGTGGAGGATCTATTTTCTTGCCTTTTCCGGCTTATGGATCCCTTCTTTCATTCTTAGAGCCAGTAACATTGCATCACTTTCATCTTCTTCCGAAGTCACATACCCTTCTGACTATAGTCAGGAAAGGATTTCCAGTTTTAAGGTCTCAGGTGATTAGGTTGGGCCCATGCAGATAATCCAGGATAATCTCCCCATCTCGAGGTTCTTAACCTTAACCACATCTACAAAGTCTCTTTTGCCATGTGTAATATGTATAAGGCAATATATTCATGGGTTCTAGAGATTAGGGCATGGATATATTTAGGGGGAGGCATTATTCTGCCTATCACAATGCAATTTATAATAGCATTAAAATGTCAAGTATCTAGGAATAAATCCATCAAAGGTCTTTAAAATGCTACACATAAAACTGTAAAACATTATTGAGGACAAGTGACCACACAAAATGGCGGCATAGGAAGCTCTAGGAGTTGGTCTCTCCACCAAAGCAACCACTGGGCTGGAAAGAGCAATTGGAATCAACTAATTCAGAAATCTGGAACTTGATCAGATACTTAAAACAACCAGGTTAGTGCTCAATGAAGGGACAGACTGCCCGGGGGCCGGGGGGTTGGGCAGTCTTGTTTTGGTGACTGGCTGACCACCCATAATGGATGAGAAACTTCAGTGACCACAAATAAGGAATACACATCTTGCAAAAAATAGTTCAGAAAAGTCACAAATGGATGGCTGCAGCACTCAACAAGCAAAAATAAACAATTCTTAAGTAGTAAAAGAATCAAATTTCCAGAGTTACCACTCTGGAGTTAATATTCAGAATGTCTTGTTCTCAACAACAACAAAAAATTACAAAGCATACAAAGAAATCTGGCCCACTCCCAGGAAAAAAAAAGAATTTGGCAAAAACTATCACTGAGGAAGCACAGTGGTTTCTCTTGTATTTGATGCCACCGATCCACCACATACTGACCTTAGGCCTTGTTGTATGTAGTTTCTTTCCTTTTACTATTCCTCCATGTTAGAGAAAAGACCTATCCTTCTTAGGCTTTGTTTAGCAGAGCTTCTATTGCTACTGGGCTTTTGCAACAAGTATTGACATTCTCATTTGATTCCTCCATAGTCACTTAGCATGCCCTATCTAGTGCCTCCAAACTCAGGGACATTAGTAAAATCTTGTGTGGATATACTCTAATTACTGTAAACTTTCTCAGAAAAGGTCTTGAGTCTTTCTCAAAGAAGACTTCAGTCAGACCCATCTACACCAGCCTGAAGAAAGTCATCAATTAGAAGCAATAAAGTGGTGCTATGGTCTGAATGTGTCCCACAAATTCACGTGTTGGAAATTTAATTCCCAAAGCAACAATGTTGGGGTGGCGTCTTTTGGGAGGTGTGTAGGTCATGAGGGAATTGATTAATGGTATTATAAAGAGGCTTGATGGAAGAAGTTTGGTTCCCTTTTGCCCTTCCACTTTCTGAGTACACAGCATTTCTCCCCTCCAGAGGATGCAGCGTTCAAGGTTCTATCTTTGAAGCAAAGACCACACCCTCACCAGATACCAAAACTTCCAGTGCCTTAATTGGACTTCCCAGCCTCCATGATTATGACAAATAAAATTTCTGTTCTTTATAAATTACCCAGTCTCAGGTATTCTGTTATAGCAGCACTAACAGATTCAGACAAGTGGTATGTTGAGATTCACTCTCTTCTCTTTATGTAGTCTTTTATTCTTTTCAGGTCAATATCAGGCCACAAGGGTGGGGAGTTAGAGAGTTGGATGTCTGTGCTCAACTCATCATCTTAAGCTGAAACATTCTGAATGGCATTTTAAAACACAGAACTGGTCTATTACATCTCTATTAGCTGCAACTTTGGGGGTGGAGTGAAGTTCATAAAAACGTAACTCACTTCCTAGCATTGCTATTAATGTTGTTTCAGTTCTCATTGTGCTACAAAACTCAGTAAAAGTAAACTACCGTTTTTGTTATAACTGCACAGACACTTCTGAGACCTCAGTCTGCCTGGAGCAAAAAAAAAAAAAAACTTTATTAAAGTCTAATCCAGTAAACATGGTGCTGTCAAGAAATTGTTTTATGTATCATCTCAATAACTCTCCAGCTCAAACTGTATTTCAGGGATTCCCCTTCCTTCAAGTTGTTGGTCTGGTGGCTGGCTCCTTCACATGGATGGCCTGTGATATGGTTTGGCTGTGTCCCCACCCAAATCTCATCTTGAATTGCAGCTCCCATAATTCCCACGTGTTATGGGAGGGACCCAGTGGGAGATAATTTAATTACAGGGGCGGTTTTTCCCATACTGTTCTCATGGTAGTGAATAAGTCTCACAAGATCTCATGGTGTTATAAGGGGAAAACCCTTTCGCTTGGTCCTCATTTTCTCTTGCCTGCTGCCATGTAAGACATGCCTTTAGCCTTCTGCCATGATTGTGAGGCCTCCCCAGCCATATATAACTGTGACTCCACTAAACCTCTTTTCTTTATAAATTACTCAGTCTCGGGTATGTCTTTATCAGCAGTGTGAAAACAGACTAATATAGCCTGCAATGCAGATTCTTTCATGGTGTGTCTTATTAGACTCATGTTCCAATTAGATCTGAGCAGTTTCTTGGCATAGGCAGTCCTACTGAGGCAAGCCACTTGTTCTCACTACCCCAACAGCTCTAACAGATTCCTCTCACTACAGAGGTCTGTAGGTCTTCCAAACCACTTTAGGATCCCATTTCCATAGCCTACCTTATGCCTACTGGAAACACTGTAACCCCCCACCATGCCAAACTCCACTTAGCAGAAACAATCATGGCTAAGACATGGCAAGCAAAGAATGGTCTCTCATAGCAGGGCACAGTGGTTCACGCCTGTAATCCCAGCACTTTGGGAGGCTGAGGCGGGTGGATCACCTGAGGTCAGGAGTTTGAGACCAGCGTGGCCAACATGGTGAAACTCCATCTCTACAAAAAATACAAAAATTAGCTGGGCGTGGTGGCAGGTGCCTGTAATCCCAGCTGTTCAGGAGGCTGAGGCAGGAGAATCACTTGAACCTGAGAGGCAGAGGTTACAGTGAGCCGAGATCATGCCACTGCACTCCAGCCTTGCGACTGAGCGAGACTCTGTCTCAAACAACAACCACCACCACCAAAAAGAAAAAATGGCCTCTCCTGCCATTTCTTCCCAACATCTTTGCAGAAGCATAGCCTGTTGGTTCTGATGCTCATAATAAGCAAACTCCAGAGATGTGGGAACTTGGCCCTCAGTTCAGTCACCTCACCTGAGGACCTGACAGGATTAGGTCTCCCATCTCACTTCTTCCCCTGAATTATCCAGGAAGGGAGAGAGGTAGCAGGGATCACTTTCCCCAAACTCTCCCTCCAATCCACTTTATAAATCTACCTCTGTTTGGAAGGAAGAAGAAACTAGTTTTTTGGGGTCACAAATTTGACCTCACAACTGGCAAGTGCTCTTTGAGCTTCATAATTGTGAGGCAGGGTCTCTGCGCTCTTTCCTCAGTGGAGATCTATTCCCACAGTAATCAACACGATTCTTGGCTTCAATAAAAGATGAAGTAAAGGAGAAGTCAGTCAGTAAAATTGGGAGAAAAAGAACTTCGCAATAATGCTTCATATTCATAATGTTACACAATGTTCCCTCTCACTTTTTCAATGTTAAGATTTGATGAGCTCAATATAACCATGAGAAATGTGTATGGGCAGAGGATTTTTTTTTAGGGTAGTGAAAATATTCTATATGGTACTAAAATTTATACATATATATATAATAATAATTATAACAAGGCTGGACACGATGGCTCACACCTGTAATCCTAGCACTTTGGGAGGCCGAAGTGGGTGGATTGCCTGAGCTCAGGAGTTTGAGACCAGCCTGGGCAACATGGTGAAACCCCATCTCTACTAAAATACAAAAAATTCGCCAGGCATGGTGGAGCATGCCTGTATTCCCAGCTCCTGGGGAGGCTGAGGCGGAAGAATCACTTGAACCCAGGAGGCAGAGGTTGCAGTGAGCCGAGATCGTGCCACTGCACTCCAGCCGGGGCAACAGAGCTGAGCAAACACTAAGGTAAACTACAGACATTGGGTGATAATGATGTGTCAATGTAGGGTCATCAATTGCAGTAAGTGTACCCTCAGGTAAGAGATGTTAATAACTGGGGAAGCTACGCATGTGTTGGAGTAACAGGTATATAGAAAATCTCTGTATTTTCCCCTCAATTTTGCTGTGAACCTAAAAGTGCTCTAAAAATGTTTAAGTAGTTGGAAAAAAGCAAAAGAGTGTGGAAAAATAAATGAGTGCATACCAGATTAACATTTTTTAAATCTGGGTGACGGTTACATGGTATGTATTCTTACACTTTAAAATTACGAAGTATTTTAAATATTTAATAAAGTACAGAGAATGCTGAAACAAATGTACTTGAAATATACTCAATGAATGGATAATAGTCCCACCAGAAATTAAAAGAATCTCTAAGTAACTAATAATAGTTTAACATACTGCTGTGAAGAAAAAAAAAAGATTCAGTGATTAATGGAGCAAAATAGAAAGCCTGGAAATCAATCCTATTTTATGTTAGAATTTAAACACATGATTATGAGGGCCATCATAAACCAATGGGTCTCAGAATACTTATTTACTTATGGGAATACTTTTAGGTATTTAAAAAAAAATTCCAGGTGGTTAGATGCTTTTAAATCAAGTTATATTTGCTAAATATAGCATAAAGTAGAAATGAGGTATCACTTTTCTGAAGATTGATTAACAATGGGTGTTTTGTTTTGTTTTGTTTTTAGATGGAGTCTCGCTCTGTCACCCAGGCTGGAGTGCAGTGGCGCAATCTCGGCTCATGGCCACCTCCGCCTCTTGGTTCAAACGATTCTCCTGCCTTGGCCTCCCAAGTAGCTGGGGTTACAGGCCCAGCTAATTGTGTGTGTGTGGGGGGGGGGGGGGGGTGGGTGGGTGTGTGTGCATGTGTGTATTTTTAGTAGAGACAGGGTTTCATCATGTTGGCCAGGCTGGTCTCGAACTCCTGACCTCAGGTGATCGCCCCACCTTGGCCTTCCAAAGTGCTGGGATTACAGGCATGAGCCACCACACCTGGCCAACAATGGGTTTTTATATATTGCATTAAAGATCTCAAATTCTCAGGAGTAACACTAAGAATTTACTATATTAAAAGGCACATGACACAAAGAGAAATTTTTCACAGTGGAATTAAAATTAGTAAACTAAAAAAATTCAATCTCACCAATTACAGTAAAGAAACAGAAATAAAAACAATTATACCAATTAGTTTTTTTAATTTTAAATTATAATATTTACTGTTGATAAGATTGAAATTAAGTACTGTATTCATACATTTCTAATAGCAGAGTAAATTGGTACAATCTTTTAAAAAGGCAATATTGCAGTATGTTTTTAAAACATAAAATAATTATATTTTTGGATTTGGTTAATCTCATTCCTGGGAATTTATTTCAAGCAAATCATTCCAAAGAAAGGGAAAAAACACCATATTCATGACATTGTTGACAACAACACTATTTACAACAGCTCACAGACAGACACGTCCTAATGCCCATCAATGCATTTTAATAAAAATGAACTAACACCAACTGGATGGATATCGGGGCGGGGAATGTAATTCAGACACAGTCTTGCCTGGGCACAGTGGCTCATGCCTGCAATCCCAGTACCTTGGAAGGCAAGATGGGTGGATTGCTTGAGCTCAGGAGTTCAAGACCAGCCTGGGCAACAAGACAAAATCTCATCTCTGCAACAAATACAAAAATTAAGCCAGGTGTGGTGGTGCATGCCTGTAGTCCCAGCTACTGGAGAGGCTGAAGTGGGATGACTGCTTGAGCCTGGGAGGTCGAGGCTGCAGTGAGCTGAGATCATGCCACTGCACTCCAACTCCAGCCTGGGTGAAAGAGCGAGACTCTGTCTTAAAAAAAAAAAAAAAAAAAAAAGGACACAGTTTCTACCCTAAAACAATTCACAGTTTGGAAAGGGAATAAAGAAGCGTACTCACAAGGGTAATAAAGAAGGGTCATCACAAACAGTAATTATAGGGTATACAGAATTGGGGGAAAGGGAGGATGCTTAAGATAATAGTAATGAAAAGAAAACAACACGTAACAGTTTATCTGTTATGATTCAATTATGTATACATATGAACAAGGGTTAGCAATGGACATAGAGAAATAAAAATGGGGATCTACTGGAGTATCAGAATTGGAGGTATGGAGGTCTATTTTTCTTTAAATTTTGCTTAAAGTAGTTATAATTTATTGGTACAACACTGTGATAAATTTTTCATTGTCCTATCAGATTCATAATACATGAGGGCCAGGCGCGGTGGCTCACGCCTGTAATCCCAGCACTTCGGGAGGCCGAGGCGGGCGGATCACGAGGTCAGGAGATCGAGACCATCCTGGCTAACATGGTGAAACCCCATCTCTACTAAAAATATAAAAAATTAGCCAGGCGTGGTGGCGGGCGCCTGTAGTCCCAGCTACTCGGGAGGCTGAGGCAGGAGAATGGCGTTAACCTGGGAGGCGGAGTTTGCAGTGAGCTGATCAGGCCACTGCACTCCAGCCTGGGCGACAGAGCAAGACTCCGTCTCAAAAAAAAAAAAAGATTCATAATACATGAACACACTATGAATTACGTAGTCTCAGACTACAAAATACAAGTGTCATAATCAAATGAAACTGAGATCCAAGTGTATTGCTTAAAATTAATTCAAGTTTCAGCAAGTCCAAGTGGTTACCACCTACTTCGCACACCTGCGTATCTCAACAGTTGACTCTGCTACATATACAATGTGATCCTCACACACAGATTCATTTATGTACCATCCATTCCCAACAAACATGGCTGGACGCTAACCCTCTTCCCCACCCCAAGCTGTGATCAAGGCTGCAGTTGTTCTCCCCAAGCCCTCTCTCTCTCACTCCCATTTTTCCTTTCAGTTTCTGATCTCTCACCAGAGAGGCTCAGGAGCAAGATCTTCAGCCACTTCCAATCCTGAGCATGGGAAGATAAACAAAGACTGTAGCTGGCTACAGCCCGTATATGTGTGGGAGCAGGATCTTAGGATATCTTTCAGCACTGCAGGGACAGAAGTAGGAAAGAGAAGCTTGGGATCCCTGACCTCAAAGATTCTAGCTTAGGTTACAAAGCACCAATAGGGGTACCTGAGTGAGAAAGGTGGTGCAATCACAATAGCATATGGATCCTGGCATCGCTCTCTGGGTTTGAATTCTGACCACTCATACCCAGTATGCATCTGTAAAATGCTGACAGTAATAACCCCTTACCTCACACTTACTGTAGGACTGAGACAAAGCATATAAAGTCTATATCACAGGACCTGGTTCATGGTAAGAATGTAATAAATGGTAGTGTAACTACGTGTTATTTCTATTATTGAGAAGAGGACTTTCTGGACAGCCCTGTTCCTTATAACAGGCCCACTGCTCACATAAGGGAGGCGTCAAAACATCTGGGTCTCAGTAGCAAATGGCAGGCCATGCCAGCAATTTACTCTGAACATTCTCTACAACCTGCTTCCCACCACCATTTGCCTATTGTGCACTGCACCCCATTAAGGATAATCAAGGTTGCCAGCAGCAGGCAGAGCTACTGATGCTATCACAACTGGACATCGAGATTTGGCCATGAAACCAAATTGGACACTCCGGCGGGGAGCGGGGGTACCAAACTGGAGATTTCTAAGCTTGACTCCTAGCCAACTTTGCCTTAATTCACTCTGTAGACTTTTTTCACAGCAGCCCCTACACAACATGTTCCGAATTCATTTAAGAGCCTATCTTTACTGTAGTGCAACAACCTGGGAAATACAAATTACAGTTGACATAAAACACAATTACACAATAAAAACCCTTATTTAAGGCTGGGTGCGGTGGCTCACACCTGTAATCCCTGCACTTTGGGAAGCTGAGGTGGGTGGATCACCTGAGGTCAGGAGTTCAAGACCAGCCTGGCCAACATGGTAAAACCCTCTCTCTACTAAAAATACAATAATTAGTGGGACATGATGGCAGGTGTCTGTAATCCCAGCTACTTGGGAGGCTGAGGCAGGAGAATCGCTTGAACCCAGGAGGCAGAGGTTGCAGTGAGCGGAGGTTGCGCCACTGTACTCCAGCCTGGGCAACAAAGCAAGATTCAGTATCAAAACAAACAAACAAACAAAAAAAGCACGTTATTTAAGAAGGGTTCTTGATGGCTCCAGTCATCCCTCTGAGAATTTTACACTCCCAAGTTCTTGTCCAATCACACTACTTATCTCTCCAGGGCTTAATGGAGTTCTCTTTAGCTCCCAAGATCCCAGGAAAAGCAGTGCCTTTTGCCCCAACGTACTCTGACTGTAGGGCCAACAAATTCTTTTCAACTGTTCAACCCACTAACCTGACAGACTCCTGATTTGACCCATAAGACAGTCTAATGCCCTACAATTCAAAGGGTGGTTTGTGGGCTAGTGTCCATCTGTGGACTCTTTCTCACTGGTCTGTAAGTACAGAAATTGAGGATAAATGTTTAAAAATTTATATAGCATTTTACATTGCCAGGACATCCAAGCATATGATCAGTGATCTCATTTCACACAAGGTTTATACCAGTTTGGGATCCATTCAATGAGTTACATGAGGCATGAGCTATGTGTTAGTAATGTGCAACAGAAGCATTTATTTGTCTCTGAAAGATCGGTAGGGGGAGTGGGAGACTAATCCTTAACCAGAGGCAGTATGGAAAGTCCTGGTTTTAACCCCCACTCAATTTTCCAAAGATGATCCAGAAAAACTTAGCAGACTTGTGATAGTTAATATTAGGTGTCAACTTGATTGGATTGAAGGATGCCTACACAGCTGGTAAAGTATTGTTTCTGGGTGTGTCTGTGAGGGTGTTGCCAGTGGAGTCTGACATTTGAGTCAGTAGACTGGGACAGGAAGACCCACCCTCAATGTGGGTGAGCACCATCCAACTGGCTGCCAGCACAGCTAAAACAAACCAGGTGGCAGAAGGTGGGATCTTTGCTTGCTGAGTCTTCTGGCTTTCATCTTTCTCCTGTGCTGGATGCTTCCCTCTGTTCCTCCTGCCCTTGAACATCAGACTCTAGGTTCTTTGGCCTTTAGACTCTTGGACTTACACCAGTGGTTTGCTGGGGGCTCTTGGGCCTTTGGCCACAGAATGAAGGCTGCACTGTCGATTTCCCTGCTTTTGAGGTTTTCAGACTCAGACTAAGCCACTACTGGCTTCTTTCTTCCCCAGCTGGCAGACTGCCTACTATGAGACTTTGCTTTGTGATTGTGTGAGCCAATTCTCCCTAATAAACTCCCTTTTGTGTATACATATATCCTATTAGTTCTGTCCCTCTAGAGAACCCTAATACAAGACTGGTTAGCTATCTTTTTTATTTCACAAAACAGTTTTTAAAACATGAATGGTGGACAGAAGGAACAGAAATATGGCATGGCCATCATCTTATTTTCCAATAAAGGGCATCAAAAACCAATGCATAACTATAACAAAAGCATACAAGGCTTACGATTACTTCATAAAAGATAATTTTTATGCCAAAAAGAGAAAGAATGACAATGTGTAAGTTTCCAAGAACTGTGGGTCATCTTATGTATACATATACACCTCATATATACATAGATTTCTACCACATTTCCTTCATTTTCTAACTTCAAATTAGTGGAAATTTTATCATGGACTTTCCCTAGTCCACAGACTCCCATTTTGGAACTGCTGGTGGGAACTCGGAACTGCTGGTCTATCTATTTTGCCTGGCTCCTGTTTTACCAACCCTTAATTCTTCCCATGCCGTCAATGACCTTGCTAGAAAGCAGATCAACTATACGTATAGCCCTGCTTTAAACTCCTGATCAGCTTCCCCTGGCAAGAATAAAGTCAATCTCATTAGCATGGCATACCAGCTTCTTAGTAATTTAAATGCTGTTCACCTCTTCAACATTAATTCTTAGAGTAACCCTCAATTGACATCATGCTAAATATTTTCAGCTCCCTACTATGTCTGGATGGCCCAATATGCCCCAGACACAAGGAGTTCCATGCAGGCTGGTAATTACAAATAAAGGAGATTAACATAATCCAGTTGGTCTGAGCTTAATATACAGGTGGGTGAGACTGTTTCATGTGAGTACTCAGTCTCCTTTATCTTCTTCTTGGCCTGGTAACCTCTCAATCTTATGAACAGATCTAAGGACAAGTTTCCTTTTTGCCAGATATCTAGAAACAGTCCATGGATGCATTACCCATCATCCATCATCTGCAATGTAGTTACCAATAATGCACTCAGGCCATAAATACCACAGCCTGGCCCTCCAGGGATGTTTCTTCTTGCTCTCTGGATTGATGCTCCTCATCCTGGGGTTCCCAAACCTCTTTGCTGTTTAAATAAATCTGTGGACTCCATTAACTGAGGTTCTTTCTTTTCTCAGCTCACAGTATGTCTCCTCTAGACCATTTCTCTAAGTGACAATGCTGCTTTCAGCTACAAGAACTTGTTCTGAGTTCATACTTTCTAACCTTGGATAAAACGGTCTCTAAATAGGTTGTGACTATTCTGGCTCAAAGTCATCAACATCTAACTCGCTTACATTTTTCTAAACTGTAGCTTCTGGCCAAGCATAGCCTTTGACTATAACAAAGGGTAACCTTTGACTATAACAAAGGGTAACCTTTGCAAAGCATAACCTTTGCCTACAACAAAGGGTAACATTTGCAAAGGGGAGACAAGGGAAAGGGAGGTAATTCATGACCCTGTTACTGAAAATGTCATCTGGAAGCAGTCAACCTACAAAAGCTTATACACCTTTTTCATAAATAACACTGCTTGACCCAGTTATGGAGGGAAGAAAAGACAGACACATGAAAAGTAGACAGCAAATTATTCCTTTGGACCTAGAAAAGAAGTCCCCATATGGAAAATAACAAACTGACTTTTTGGAGACAAGGTCTTGCTCTGTCACCCAAGCTAGAGAGCAATGGCATGACGACGGCTCAGTGCAGCCTCAAACTCCTGGGCTCAAGTGGTACTCTCACCTCAGCCTCCAGAGTAGCTAGGACTACAGGTGTGCACCACCACACCCATCTCATTTTTTAATTTTTTGTAGAGATGGGGGTCTTGCTATGTTGCCCAAGCTGGTCTTGAACTCCTGGCCTCCAGTGATCCTCCTGCCTCAGCCTCCCAAAGTGCTGGGATTATAGGTCTGAGCCACCATGCCCAGCCATAAACTGACTTTTTGTTTAACAATTCAGTCTCCTGTGAAACGTCAAATGAACTCAGTGGCTAGTATTCATTCAATGTGGCACCCCAGATGAAATCAACCCTGAAAAAGTAAAACTGAGGACCAGTTCCCATTTACTACTGTGTTACAGCCTCCTATGAGGTCAAGGCATAAACACCTCTCTAAAAAGTCCGTTTCTGGCAGCAATATCTTCAGTTTCTATTTGAATCCTTCTCTTCCCGAGTTGAGTGAAATCACTCATTTCTGCCATTCTTATAATGTACTCAAATGGTCATGCTCTACATTTACAGTGGAAATGTTTTCATATTTCCTGACCTTTTTTCACCTAATCGTTGCTTCTTGCCCTTGCTACAACAGACAAAAACAGAAACCTACGTCCACCACAGGGTGTAAAATTGAGCAGCAAGCGTGCTGTGGCCATCTACAGAAAGGTAACAATGCAAAGTGGAGGAGGGTCCATGTAAGACTGAATGTAAAAGGCAGTATGAAATTTACAAAGGGCAAAGGGCCTATGTAAGTCCAGGAAAGATCACAGAAAGGAGGAGAGAAGTGGAGACGGCATTTGGGGGAGCTCTAGTGTAGTTTTCCTGACGTTGAAAAAAGTCTGAACTGTGACTGCAATGTTTGTCCCACACATCAAATTTATAGAAAATCTGTATACCTGGTCCTTGCAGATGTGTTTCATGCTGAGAACTAACACTAATATTTCTTTCTGATTTCTTTTGTGAATGGCTTGTATTTTCTATATGAAGTTTCTCATTACTGATTATCTCCTTCACAGAATCTTTCTCATTTTTATTCATTTCATCCCTTGTGAAATTTATTTTATGTCTCTCTAACTTGCCCTCTGATCTGCAAATTATCTTTAATATCAGGTCCCCCTCTCAGATATTCACCTGATACCATGCCACAAGATTTGTGTTTATCAGAAATTATTTGTTTTGATGTCAGATGCTCATTCTCAGCCGAGGCTTTTCCACCTGATTAGAGAAGAAGAAATACATACAAATACCACCTCTCAGCAATGCCAGAGGGAAGTATACCAGAAGTTAGCAAACATTTCTTGTAAATAACTAGATAGTAAATGTTTTAGGCTCTTCAGGCCATATAATTTCTGTTGCAAGTACTCAATCCTATCATTGTAATGTGAATACAGCCATAGACAATACATAACGAATGAACATAACTGTATTTCAATAAAACTTCATTTATAGACACTGAAATTTGAATTTCAAATAATTTTCATGTGTTACAAAATATTCTTCTTTTGACTTCCTTCAGCCACTAAAAAATTCAACCATTCTTATTTCACAGGCCATACACAAAAAGACTGGTGGTAGGACAGATTTTGGCCTATGGGCCATAGTTTGCCTGAACTAATCAGCAAGTAAGATTAATATGTCCTATTATTACACAGCTTTCGTGTCCTTATAAAATGCTCTTCTTTAAAGAGACAAGGTCTCACTCTGTCACCCAGGACTGAGTATAGTAGGGTGATCACAGCCCACTGAAGCCTTGAACTCCTGAGCTCAAGCAACCTCCTGCCTTAGCCTCCTGAGTAGCTGGAACTACAGGCATGTAACACCACACCTGGCTAATGGTATGTTTTCAGAGATGGGGGTCTTACTATGTTGCCCAGTCTGGTCTCAAACTCCTACCTTCAAGCAATCCTCCCGCCACAGCCTTCCAAGTAGCAGGGGTTATAGATGTGAGCCACCACACCTGAAATGCCTTTAGAGCATTTAGGGAATAAAGTGAGATAAGGAAAAGTCCTGAATCCCAAGAGGGAAGAGAAAGCTTTATCAGAGTTTAGAAGTCCAAAGAGAGTTCAAGATGAAAAGGTAGCTAAGAAGATAGGAGGAATCAAAAAGGGAAGGTCATGGGCCATGGGAATGAGTAGTAGTGTAAAAATACCGACAACCAATAAGGATGGGAACATGAAACAGAGGGCTCAGATACAGTAGGGAAAGAATGGAGACATAATTGGGAGGCATAAAGTTAGGAGAGAATCTCTTAATTAAGTGAAAAACAACAAAAAATATCAAATAACTCTGTATAAAGTGTTATGGCATAAATGAGAAAAGTATTACATTATTCCTGCTGTCAGAAAGCCTGTAACTTACTTGGGAAAGATAATATACATACAATAGTTAGAGAAAATAGTATTGGATTTGGAGAATGCATATCTAACCCACCACCCAAAATAACTTCACTCATGAATCATAATGTCACTAACTAAGTCTTTGCCAAAGACTAGCCAACGAAATCCAGCAGTATAAGGCTTGTACATCATTGACTATGATTTATCCAAGGAATGGAGGGTGGGGTTCAACACACCAAAATCAATCAATGTAATGTATACCATATTAATACAGGAAAGAACCAAATTTATCAGTCACAGAATATCATTTCACAAACTTTAACACTCTTCTACAACAAAAACTCAACAAATTGGCAACTTGATAACTTGATAAAGAGCATTTATAAGAAAATCATAGCTAACATCATACTTACTGGTAAAAGATTGAATGCTTTCCCCGTAAGATTAAGAATAAGACAAGAATGTCCACTCTTGCAACTTGTATCCAACATTGCGCTAAAGGTTCTAGCCAGAGTAATTAGGCAAGAAAAAAAGTAAAAGGCATTCAGATTAGAAAGGAAGAGTTTGTAAAACTCTATTTTCAGATGACATAATTTTGTATATAGAAAATGCAAGGAAATTCATCAAAATTCAAAACTGTTGTGCTTCAAAGGACAGTATTAGGAAAGTGAAAAGACAATTCACAAAATGGGATGAAATACTTGTAAACCATGTATCTGATATGGATTTAGTATCCAGATGTCAGAACCCTTAAAACACAAAAATAAAAGGAAAAGTAACCAATTTTAAAATGTGCAGAGTTTGAAAAGACATTTCTCCAAAGAGGATACATAAATGGCCAGTAAGCACATTGAAAGACTCTCAGTGTCATTAGCCACTGGACAAATGCAAATAAAAACTACAATGAGACAGCAATTCACATCACCAGGATGCCTACAGCCAAAAAAGTAGACAATATTAAGTGTTGGTGAGGATGTGAAGAATTAGGAACCCTCATACATTGCTGGAGGGAATGTAAATTGGTATAGCCACTTCGGAAAAAGTTTTGGCATTCCTCGAAATGTTATACAAAGAGTTACTGTAAGATCCAACAAGTATCTATCTAGAGTATGTACCCATGAGAAAACATATTTGCACTGTAACTTGTATACTATACTGATGCATGTTACAAAATGGATTAACCTTGAAAACATTACGTTAAGTGAAAGCCAGTGGCAAAAGGCCACGTATTGTATGACTGCATTAATACCAACTATCCCTAACAAGGAAATTTATAGAAACAAAATGTAGATAGGTAGTTGCCTAAAACCAAGAGTTGGGGATGGGTATGGTGATGATTCTTAACAGATAGAGGTTTCTAAAGATCTAAAAGTAGACTGTGGCATGCCTGCACAACTCTGTGAATATTCTAAATACCACTTAATTGTATACTTTAAATGGGTAAATTGTATTTAAATATAATTTGTATTTAAATATAATTGTATTTAAATATAATTTGTATTTAAATATAATTGTATTTAAATATAATTTGTGAATTATATCTCCACAAAGCTGTTTAAAAAAGGACATGAGAGCCTGCTTTGTACATCAAAATGAGTTATTTTAATGAATGAAAAACATTAAATCTACCAGTCTACAGAAAAAGAAAATGTGTATTTGACATCGTTTAAGGTGGCTCTTACATCAACTCCTTACTTGGAAAACTGGTATTTAAATGTCAAGAATTAAGCTTTTCTCCTGTCTTCCCAGCATTGACGATTTCGAAAAATTTTTGATACTATTCTACGTAACACTGCTTTAGCTAAGTAAGTATATCTTCTTAGTTCCAAGTATCCTAGAGAGGAGGAAAATCATAACAACTGTAAGCTTAAAATATTTCAGTATAAAAAATTATTTAAAATTGTTAATATATTAGTTCTCATGAAAAACAAAAATAAATTTTTCTACTTGTTCTGTTGGTCAGTGAACAAGATAATACTGCACCAAGTTTATCAATTTTGTAAAACTGGAGAAACTGGAAAAAAATGATCACAAATAACCAGTAAAGTATTTAGAAAAACTGTTCTACATATCCCCAAGGGATAAAAGCATCCCAGTGTGTGAAATACAGAAGAAGAGTGTTGTGTACTACGCTTTAAAGGGATGGGAAGCTATGAATAACACACCGGTCAGAAAAAATGTGATCGAGGATCCCAGTGTACTCCATGATGCTGGGCACAGAGAACACACACCTTTCATTTTGATGAAATGAAGGCAAAGGAAGAGACAAAGCTGGAGAAGAACCCTCTTGCTTAACTCACCTATCCAGCCTGCTCTCCAGTCATTCCTGCTTAGGACTCCCTGTGGCTGGGTGAAACAGGACTCTTTCCCTTGCTCCAGATGAGAGACCAAAGCTGGTTTGGAAGTGGGTGGCACTGCTCGAAAAGAAGAAAACATAACACAATAATGAGCATAGTCATAGGGGTCAAATTTAAGCCTGTGGCTACAAGAACAAGCAAGGGAGGTGAGGAGAGTAATTCCCGGGTGAGCTATACGAGAGGTACCCTAAAGAGGTACTGGGAGGGATCCTGGGAAGAAGAGTCAGGATGGTTCTTCCAAGGAAGCCTGAAACACCCTGGAAGGCAGATTTCTATTTAAAGGGCAACAAGATTTTTTACCTTCTTTGTCAGAGGATGAAAATCTCTCACTATGGGAAAAAGACAAATGGCTCCTAGGAGTAACTCCCAGAGGGAGACAAAGTGGCTGCATTCTCTTAAGATAAATTGGAGGTTCAATACTAGGCTAAGGGTATCAAGATATAGCTCAAGCCCTACTGTACTCAGAATCACCTCTGAGGCAGGTAGGGAAGGAGGGTAGCTTTTACGCTAGAAAAAGAAGGAAAGCCTTTCGCAAGTCAATAGACACCAGGGCTTTCTATACCTGGCAACCTTTGACATCGCTATTTGGGGTCAGCTAATAATTATAAAAGAGCCCTTCAACCTGAGGGCCCAAGCAGAAACCAGCAGCAGAGAGGCCTTACCTACAAAGGCCACAGCCTCATAGTTCTCCAGCATCACATCCCTGTACAAGGCCCTCTCGGCAGGCACCATGATGGCCCATTCCTTCGTAGTGAAGTACACAGCCACGTCCTCAAAAGCCACTGATTCCTGAAACGACAAGTTCCTACTTTCCCAGACCTCAGTACTTTGGTGATGGTCAAATCTGCCAATGAGAGACCTGAGAAGGGCATCTACAAATGATACGTATTCAGTATTGGGTCCTTCACGTGCCTACAGAGTTTTTGTGTAAAATTTAGGTGTGGAGGAAGAAGATGCAGAATTAAAGTAGCCAGTCAGAGTTCAGCATATTTTCCCAGTGAGAAACAAGTACACCTCCGCTATGAGCTTCTAAACATGTGACCTCCACAGACGCTGAAGCTGCTGCATAGAAGCTGGGCTTGGGCCCGATCACAGAAGTGCACTTGTGGAAGGAGAACTGACCCCCGAACATAGCTGTCAGCTTAGCTCTAAGCCCCTCCCTAATTTGTATATATCCCAGTGATTATTTGGGTTACTCATATTACTCCATTTTCCAATTCTACTTTCATTCTAATCCTTCGTTCTTGCCTATCTCCTTGCCCACTACCCCAAGCACAAAGCTCTCTGATCAGTCAATGAACTCCCACCCGCAGCCTGTCTTCATGCAGAGGTAGTGAGGTTAGAGAAACGCAGGAAAATACTGCTTACTTGAGAAAGGCTAGGGTCTAGACCAACTTGGTGCATAAGGCTCAAGATAGGCCTAAAAAGGTGTCTATTTCAAGTTTTTAAGCCCTGGAGTCAAGCTCTGTATTTCAGAAATAGAGCTCTAGTGGAAATGGTCTTAACATGGAGTATGAGATTAAGGGAACCTATGAGCCAAGTGCCAAAGAATGTTTTATCAATTACCATTTTTATGTATTTTTAATTACCTTGGAGAAAAGCCCTCCATGTTACGTTGTGTTGCAAAATTCCATGTAACTCACCAACAGTGAGTGTCATGGAATACTGGTTCAGACAGAAAATTCAACTAATAGAACTGAATAGGGATTTTAAAAACAGACACAGACATATATGTTCACCAAATGTATGACAAAGTAACTAGAGCAATTCAGTGGGTAAAAGACAGATTTTTCAATACATAATCCTGAATCAATTGGATATGTATATGGGGGGAAAAAGAACTTTGACCCATGCCTCACACCTTTAATTTGAGATGAATCACACACCTAAGTATAAAGGTAAAACAATAAATCTTCTAGAAGAAAACACAGAAGAACATCTTGATGATGTCTGAGTAAGAAAAGATTTCTTATACAAAACAAACTGATATACTGGACTTCATTGAAAGTAAAATCTATAATCAAAAGATACCATTAGGAGAGTGAAAATGCAAGCCACTGATTGGGAGAAGTTACTTAATAACACATATGTCTGACAAAGGACTTACAATAAATAAGAAACAATACAACTTAGGAGAAAAAAAGGTACAGTGTAATAAAAAATACGAAAAAATATCTGAACAGGGAGTTCACATAAGAGGATATGCCAATAAACCTATGAAATGGTGCTCAGCATCACTGCTTACTAGAGATGAGAAGATTTTTTAAACCCCAATGAGATACTGCAAACGAGTGACAACAAGTAATGGTAAGGATGTGGAGCAACTGTACACGGCTGACAGAAATATAAATTGGAATAATCATTTTGGAAAATTGTTGGGCAGTATCTACTAAACTAACCAAATGTATATATACCCTATGAGCTAAAATTTTACTCACAGAGACATACCCAAGAGAAAGAAGCATCTATGTCCACAAAAAGATAAGAATGTTCACTGCATTCTTATTCATGGTAGCCCAAAATGGGAACAACCAAAAGTCCATCCACAATAGAATGAATAAAATGTGCTATTATCACAAAATGAAAAACTACTCAGTAGTGAAAAAGAACAAATCACTGCTGTGTGCAACAACGTCAGTGAAGTTCACAGACATAACGTTGAGCAAAAGAAGGCAGATACAAAAGAATGCATGTTTAATGATTCCACTTATACGAAGTTCAAGAACAAACAAAACTTTCCTATGGTAACAGAGGTCAGAATAGTGGTTAACTTTGGGATGAGCAGTGGATTGCTTGGGAGGCAGTATGAAGGGGCCTTTTGGGGTGCTAATAATGTTCTATGTGTTTCTATGAGTGAGGTCATACAAGTGTACATAGTTCTAAAAAGTGAGCTATACTGTTAAGACTTGTGTTGTGTAAGTTAAACCTCAATGAGAAATGTGTGTGTGTACACATACACACATATATAAAAGTATGTTATATATATGTAAATGTGTAATATAGATATTTTTATGTATGTATCTAATAAACACATATGTATATACACACAGGGATATGTACAGAGATAGAAAAAAACAGCTCACCTGGGGCCTGGTTGTTAAGGACACAGCTGTCATCATCTGACCTCTTTTATTCCTTTCTGGGTAAAGGTAAAAGTCTCAGGTGCTGAAGGTAAAGAAAAAAAACATTAACGATAATAACTTTATTGACCATAAGTCCTACAAACAACCTCTGACCCATCTGTTTTGAAGGCTATATCAATAACCGTTCATTAGTTATTGCTTATTATCAATCTCACAAAGGCGAGATAGCAGGCATACAGAGAAATGCAAAAAGGAGGTAGAATCATCCACGGAATGAGTGATGAAAAAGTGGACTGAGAAAACTATAATTTCAGCTAATCCATAGAATACATCACAGGACAGGAAACAGAAAAGGAAACTAAGGTAGACAGTGGACAGAGTGTTATAGGCAGAAAAGAAAGTTGGAATTCTAAACAGTTAAGATCCCTGAAATCCATACAGTACAGATAAGAATGAGTTATGTAGTACAGATAGGAATGAGTTATATAAAAGAAATCCATTAAACACTGTAAGACCTCAGCATGTTTTTCCTCCTATGCTACTTAATATTAGAACAAGAGTTTCTATGACTGAAGTAATGAAAGTTGAACAGACTTTGAAAATAGTTATCAGAAATATTTTGATGCCTCCCTACTACTATTTTTCCCCTAAATACAAGATACTCATTCAGTTTTATAAAGGTGTTTGGAGTGGGTGATGAGAAAGAAAACATTACCATATTAAAAGAATCCATCAACTTCATAACATGTCCCAAATACTTCAAGTTCCAAATGTTATAGTATAAGGAAACAAAACAATTTCATTTCTAAACTAGTTCCAACTCTCATTCTGGGTCATTTAATTAGTTCATCATTAGGAAGTAAGTCTTTTGCCTTTCAAGAGTGAATCATCAATATTTATGCATTAAAGACAACACCTGAAATACAAAGAGCTGCCAACAGTTGGATCAGAGATATTCAAAAAGCATATAAACAAACACATAAAAGTGCATATACTCATAGACCTTAAAAACAACTTCCGTTCCAACTCCATATCTGCAGTTTGCTGTAAGTCTTAGGGTACTGCAACAGCATCAGACAAAACACTATAAAGCCAGTGCACTGCCCCTCCCTCCAATGACTCTTCTTAGTGAATCCAGAAAGCCATTCAGGAAGGTAGAGGAAGCTGAAGGTGTCAGAGAAACAGCTGTCAGGAGACGCCAGAAAAGGCATCTTGGAAGTTAACAGGGAGTCCAGTAAGGAGAAATATTTATGAGTGTAAAGAGAAGTACTTTAAAAGAAAACACAATGTAAACCTACACAAGTAATGCTGCTAAATTCATGGATGGTTTCTGTCCAAGAAAGGGTAACAAAAGCAGTGATTCATACTAAGTAAATAGTTAACCCTTGTAATTGTGGAATCTAATTCTCTAAAATCATGATACTGTCATTGTATCGGCAGTAAATGTCCCTTACAGTGGATACTTAATAGGATTAGCGTATCAAACAAAAGGACTTAAGCAAAAAGGTCTGATCTGCACAGCTGACAATCTGCGAAAGGGAAATCATCTGGAAATAGAACTACAACAGAGGTCACCCTACAAAACACAAAACACTCCCTATGGAAGTGTCTTCCTATGGGGAAAGCTAAGTGGAGATGAAACATAAATAACAAGCCACATTGGAGAACAAATCACACTCCCAACATAGTTGACTAATGGCAGGGACATCGAATGTTATCCTATGAACCTTGACAATTAAATTATGACAGTGGAGTAAAAGTTCAGAGAATCTAAAGAAAAGAATATAATGAACAATGTTAAGAGGTCAAGAAATCTTTCGACATCTCCAATCCTGTACATAGGAAACTATGTTAAACACTGGACACACATTAGGTGCATGACGGATACGATCAGTCTTTTTAGATTTAACATTCTTATGAGCCAATCCAGATCGCAGGGCTCCATATTTTCCAAAATGGGACATCCTGGGGACGGGTAGGGAATACAATTCGGTATTCTCAAATTTTTGGTTGCTCTACGACAGTAACAAGTTTCAAGACTGGTGTACACTATGGCAGGCGAAAATAACTGATCACCAACTGATTTTCAGGGACCAACTGAAAACGTGGAAACTGACAAGCTGAGGGGTAGGGTTGGGGTTTCCGCATCCGGGTCAAAGACAAGGGGGCTGGAGCGACCGAGGGGCATGTTCTGTTGATAGAAGATTCTGGAGTGTGGACAGTTAAAACTTTTTGTGGGCTTCGAAGTTAACATGCGAATGTGTGTCAGTATCCGACTCTGAGTGGGCCACAGGCTGCCCTGGGTACAGGGAAACGAGGGGGGTGGGAGCCTGCGGCCAGCGTTCCAGGCCTCTGCCAGCGCCGCATCTCGACGCTACAGAGCCAAGCTCGGGGATCGGCATGAGGACCCCAGTACCAGCAGTAGCCACACCCGCCTCCCTCGGGGCTGTTTCCCGTCCTCCTCAGACCCGCTCACCGTGGGCTCCTGGCGGCCTCTGCAGCTTTTCAGCAAGCAGAGATGGTGGGCGCCACTCGCCGATCCTCACAAACCAAAACCTCGCGCGACAAAAACGAAGGCGGCCCCGGAAGTGCGTCATCACACTGACTGGTGAACCCATACACTCTCTGGATTTCTCTCTAGGACTCGTGGAGGACCCCACATCTTGGTGCTTCCCTCCTAATTCCCGTGAGGAAAAGGGCACGCTGGCGAGATAGGCTCTTGGCGTTCCTCCAGAGCCCAGTTCTGAGTTGAGGCACCTTGCTCATGACGCTGCATCATCGTACCAACCTTGAATACTGGCTTCCAGTGCCTTTATTACTGTGCTACAATAACTGCAACTACAAGTCTTACCCAGAATATGCAAGAAAATGTGAATGGTTATACGTTTTATTGATCTTGTTAAATTTAGCATTTGGATTGTTATAGCATAATGAACGAATCACACATTATACAACCAGGACTTCTCTTGAATTGCTGTAATGATTGCACTCCTAGAATGTGATGTCTTTCAATGTTGCTGACGCCTCTCACTTCCATACATTACCACTAGCAGAGAGGATTAGCAATGGACCATGGGCAAAGTGAGAGCAGTCAGTTTACCCAAGAAATATTCATCCCCTGTCCAGCAGAGCTTAACACTGTCCCAGGAAAACAGCATGACTACATCAATCAGAGGTAAGAAAGGATACCTATCATGATGAAAAACCTGTTGAAAGCACTTAGAGGAAATAGGTGTGGCCACCCCAGAGAACTTCCTGACATGCTGTGCCAAAGCCTGTGGAGAAGGTAGAGTAACTGCTTTGATGCCAACAGCGAAGGGTGTGAAGAATAAGGGACATTTGCCCCCACCTCCATTGTCCTTGGGTGTTGTGTATCACATGCAGTATCACTGTAGGAAGACAAATGAGCACAGGCTGACACAGGGGCCCACACATGCAGCTCACATCTGCTGCAGGGGTTTGCAGTCGACCCCTCATAGCCCAGAGCCCTGAATTCACCCTGTGCCTGGCATAAGTGAGAGCCACCCAAAGTCACTGCCGTTCTGGTAGCTCAGTCTCTTTTCTTTATTTTTCAGGGTTTTTAAAAGTGTGATTCTTTTTGAAAAATCAAGAAATTCACCTTCTCACGATGTAGAAAACTGAAAAGTGCATGGCCTCACCCTTACAACAACAAAAAACAGCCAGATAATCTAAAATTTTCTCTTGAACACATCAGAAAGCTAAGATCTGGGGGCAAACGACTTAATCTAAAATCTGATGTAAGACAGGCACTTTCAAGAAGAGATGGTTGTAAGCACTTGTTTACATAGGACAGATGCCATTGGATGCCATGTAAGCTGTTAAGGAGAAATCAGCTAAAATGTTTAATGAGTTGCTGAGGTCCAAGTGTTGGCTAGCCTGAGAATATAGAGACTACAGAACTCCTGTGAACCACAGACACAAGCAGAATTTCCACCCACTTGTATATTCTTCTCTATGGACATCATCAAATGTGTGCACACACACATACACACATACAATTGAAGGTAAGGCAAGAAGAATCTTATGAAAACCTTCCCGCTAGAAAAGACATGAATCCCCATCCAGGTCCTTCTCTCCTATTTCCCCTACAGAACAAAAGCCCTAAGCCTCTGAGGATGAAAAAGCAAATCTTGTCACCCTTAGGGACTGGTTAAGATCCAGTGGAACTGAAGGGAATAAAGAGAACAAAAAGCTCTCCATTCACGAAATAGCGGTAGAATTGCATCCTGGTTCCAGACCATGGAGGTGTCCTACAGCTGAGGATAGGGCAACATCACTTAATAGACCCCACCCTTAAGTCTCAGAGACACAGTGCCTACCTAAGATTAAAGCTGAATCACAACAGAAAATGCCATCCCTTCTACCACCACCAAAATATCAAATGCTGAGTCAATAAGAACAGCAATCTACTGCTAAAAGAAGGATAAAAACATGGAGAAAGACCCCTCTCTGAGGTACAGGAATGAAGGGAAGGCCTAAAGGTAAGAGTGGTGCAAACATTGAGAAAATCTCCTTTAGCAAACCATCCCACACACTAAACTTAAGGTAATACTAGAAGAATTTGAAGCCTGTGGATAACCATAGCAACAAAAACACCTAAACACAGTTTAACTCCTGATTAGATCAACTCAAGCCTTCACAATAAAGATCTACCGAAAGAAAAAGTATGCCTGTTTCATTTTTGCCTTAGCCGCTATACGTATTTGTGTGTATGTATGTGTATGTGCATATATGGGTGTATACTATACGTGTATAGTATGTGTATATAAATATATATACATACACGAATATTTGGATGCAGCCAGAGAAAAAAGACACATTACATACAGAGAAACACAAATAAGAATTATAACCAATTTTGCATCAGAAACCATGCAAGCCAGAGATAATGTAGTAACATATTTAAAGTGCTGATAGTAGGTCAGAGAAAGGTCAGGAACTTGTCAACCCAGAATTTTATATCCCGCAAAAATATTTTTCAATAATGCAGGAGAAATAAAGACTTTTCCAGATAAACAAAATTCATTGCCACCAGATCAGTACCATAAAAAATGTTAACAGGTATTCTTCAGGCAGAATGAATATGATACCAGACAAAAACTTGGACGTACACAAAGAAATGAAGACCTCTAGAAATGTCAAGAAATGAAAATAAATATAAAACTTACTTTTTTCTTATTTAAAAATTACTCTAAAAGATAAGTCACTGTCAAAAGCAAAAATAATATCAAGGTACTATGTTAATACCACATGTAAAAGTTAAGACATGACAAAAAATAGCACAAATGTTGGGAGAGGTTTGGCAGTTTGTGTTGCAAAACCCATACACTACATGAGAAGTGATATTATTTGGAAATAGACTCTAATTATAGATATATATTGTAAGCTCTGAAAATATGCATTAAACTTTTCAGTAGAAATAACAAATCAATTATGGGGGTAACACAGAATCACAGAAAATCCTCAATTCAAAAGAAGATTTAAAAGAGAGAGAGAGAAAAAAAAGAACAGATAGAACAAATACAAAACAATTAGCAAATGATAGATTTTAATTCAGTCATATCAATAATTATATTAAAAGTAAATGCTCTAAACACACTAATTAAAAGACAGAGGCCTGGCACAGTGGCTCACGCCTGTAATCCTAGCACTTTGGGAGGCTGAGGTGGGCAGATCACAAGGTCAGGGGTTCAAGACCAGCCTGGCCAACATGGTAAAACCCCGTCTCTACTAAAAATACAAAAATTAGCTGGGCATGATGACGCGTTCATGTAATCCCAGCTATTTGGGAGGCTGAGGCAGGAGAATTGCTCGAACCAGGACCCAGGAGGCAGAGGTTGCAGTGAGCCGAGATCACACCACTGCACTCCAGCCTGGGCAATAGAGCAAGACTATGTCTCAAAAAAAAAAAAAAAAAAGAGAATGTAAGATTTGATTTTTTAAAAAAAAGCAAGAATCAACTGCATGCTGCATACAAGAAACATGCTTTAAATATAAACACATAGAAAATGTTAAGTAAAAAGATGGATGAGGTTCTAGGTAAGATATAATTAGCCTATTCTACCTAGTTGTTTCCATTAAATGCAGGTCTAAACCTTGGGTAGGATGCATACAGTAGGTATTTGACTCTGAAAGGTAAATAGGAGCAAGCTGTTCGAGGAGGAACAGAAGTGAAAGTACCACAAGATTGACAGTGAGTTTACCATTTTTTTCTTCTCATATTCCCTAGCCTGAACTATACATAGCCCAAATTCTGGAAGTGTGCATCAGCAGAGACAGAAGTAAGGGAGAAGCCCTCAAGTTCTATAATAGCTCAAGGCATGGAAAGGAGTCATCTGATGCTCTGGAAGAGAATAGAAATCCTCTGATTTCTTTTCTTTGTACTTCCATGCCCCAGTCCCAAGTAATCTGTGCTGGGGATAGAAGCAAGACTAATGGGTGTTGTCCAAAACCTAAAACTCAGAGAGAGTAAGAATCTTTCTCTCTGATCAGAGGAGCTGTGATCTCAAGAGGGTGAGAGAAACTCAAGCTGCTTTTTTTGTTTCTCGGTCCTCTCACTGCTTACTGTGACCATAAGGGAGTAGCATACAGTTTCAATTGCAAAAAGTTTATAGCAGAGAGGGCTAGATAAAACCTCAGCTTTTACCTGGAGGATCAGAAAGGAGGGGCAAGGGCCAGGCACGGTGGATCACACCTGTAATCTCAGCACTTTTGGAGGCTGAGGAAGGCACATCACTGAAGGCCAGGAGTTTGAGACCAGCCTGGCAAACATGGCAAAACCCCATCTCTACCAAAAATACAAAAATTAGCTGGGTGTGGTAGTGGGCGCCTATGATCCCAGCTACTTGGGAGGCTGAGGCACGAGAATCGCTTGAACCCAGGAGGTGGAGGTTGCCCTGAGCCAAGATTGTGCCACTGCACTCTGGCCTGGGCAACAGAGCAAGACTCTGTCTCAAAAAAAAAAAAAAAAAAAAAAAAAGAAAGAAAGAAAAAAAGAAAAGAGGGGCACAAATAGACCAGAAACTACTAGCGAAATTTCAGAGAAGGTTGAGGTCAGTAAAACAATTTGTTAAAGTTATTTATAAACTCCTGGGTTTATTCCTGAGCTACACATGCATGGATCTGACCCCAAACAGCATAGACAGAACTAAATATGGAATACATTACCTCCCAAGCCCCAGAATGGCCACTCGGTAGCCTGCACAGGGAACAGATATGGATAGTATTACAAAAAGTTTTGAAAAATGAACTGATATTAGGATTTTAAAAAATCAAAGAAAAATTGCCAGATTTTGCACCCTGAACCCAACAGGGTTGAATTACTGCTTTTTAAAAAATTAGCACTTATACTTAAAATTTAAACATGCTTCGAGGTCTCATAATATAGCATTCAAAATGCTTAGGATACAATACAAAACTACTTGGCGTACAAAAAAAATACCCAGAAAAAATATTGTTTCATTGAAAAACAAATCAACAGATGCTAATGTTAAGATGACACAGATGTTAGAATTATCTCAAAAAGACTTTAAAGCAGCTATTACAAAAATATTCAAACAATTAAGAGTGGGCACTCTTGAAATGAATGGAAAGACAGAAAACCTCACCAAAGAAATAGAAAACAAAAGAACCAAATGAAAATTGTAGAACAAAAAAAAAAAAAACAAGAAACTCAGTGTATGAGCTCAATGGCAGAATGGAGAGGACAGAGGAAAAAAACAGTGAACTTGCAGATAGATTCATAGAAATTACCTAATCTGAAAAACAGAGGAAAAAAGATGAAAAATGCAAAGTGCCTTAGGGGCCTATGAGGACAACATCAAAAGGTCTAACATTCACGTCATCAGAGTCTCAGAAGGAGAAGAGAAAGAGTGTGGTGTAGAATGAATATCTGCGGAAATGAAGGCTGAAAACTTTCCAAATTTGATGGAAAAACATAAACCTACAGATTCAAGCTTAGTGAATTCCAAATAGGATAAACACAAACCCAGGCCTAAATACAGCATAATCAAACTACAGAATAAAAAATATTTAAAAGCTAAGCACAGTGTCTCAAGCCTGTAATGCCAGCACTTTGGGAGACCAAGGTGGGAGGATTGTTGAAGTCCAGGTGTTTGAGACCAGCCTGGGCAACATAGCATGATCCTGTCTCTACAGAAAAATTTTAAAAATTAGCTGGGAGTGGTAGCATATGCTTGTGTCCCCAGCTATTCAGGAGGCTGAGGTGGGAGAATTGCTTGAGCCTGGGAAGTCAAGGCAGTAAACCATGATCTCACCACTGCACTCCAGCTTGGCCAACAAAGTGAGACCCCATCTCAAAAAAAGAAATGTATTTGAGAAAAAGAAAAAACTTGGAAGCAGACAGAAAAAAAAATGCATTATTTATAGGGGAACAATGATTCACATTACTCTAATTTTAAATGGAACAATATTTTTAAAGTGCTACAAGAAAAGAATTTAAATGGAACAATTTTTTGTGTGTGTTTTTGAGACAAGGTCTCACTCTGTCACCCAGGCTGGAGTGCAGTGGCATGATCTTGGCTCACTGCACCCTCCGCCTCTCAGGTTGAAGTGATCCTTCCACCTCAGCCTCCCGAGGAGCTGAGACTACAGGCATGCACCACCACGCCTGGTTAATTTTTGTATTTTCTGTAGAGATAGGGTTTCACCATGTTGGCTGGGCTGGTCTTGAACTCCTGACCTCAAGTGATCACCCTCCTCAGCCTCCCAAAGTGTTGGGATTACAGGCATGAGCCACCATGCCTGGCCATAAATGGAACAATATTTTTAAAGTGCTAAAAGAAAAGAAATGTAAACCCAAAATTTTATGTTAAGTAAAAATATCCAAGGGCCAGGTACAGTGGCTCTTGCCTGTAATCCCAGCACTTTGGGAAGCCAAGGCCGGTGGATCACATGAGGTCAGGAGTTGAAGACCAGCCTCACCAACATGGCAAAACCTCATCTCTACTAAAAATACAAAAGTTAGCTGGGCATGGTGGCATGTGCCTGTAATCCCAGCTACTTGGGAGGCTGAGGCAGGAAAATCGCTTGAACCCAGGAGGCGGAGTTTGCCATGAGCCAAGATCGTACCACTGCACTCCAGCCTCGGCGACAGAGCAGGACTCTGTCTCAAAAAAAGAAAAGAGAAAAGAAAAGAAAAGAAAAGAAAATGTCCTTCAGGATATTTTTCAATGTTTTACTTTTTCAGGGAGGTCTTACTCTGACAAACATTTAAAAATAGCAAACCCAGGCTGGGCGCGGTGGCTCACACCTGCAATCCCAGCACTTTGGGGGGCCGAGGCAGGCAGATCTCCTGAGGTCAGGAGTTTGAGACCAGCCTGGCCAACATGGTGAAACCCCGTCTCTACTAAAAATACAAAAATTAGCCAGGTGTGGTGGTGGGCACCTGTAATCCCAGCTACTCAGGAGGCTGACGTAGGAGAATTTCTTGAACCTAGGAGGTGGAGGTTGCAGTGAGCTGAGATCGCGCCACTGTACTCCAGCCTGGGCAACAGAGTGAGACTCCGTCTCAAAAAAAAAAAAAAAAAAAGAAATAGCAAACCCATCCCCAGCACTCACAACTCTTTTCCTTCAAGTATATGTGATTTATTCCTTTTGCTTATTGCCTTTTCCTCCTGACAACAATATGAACTCAAACACAGTCAATTCACTGTTCTGTCCTCAGCATCTGGCACTTAATAGGCACTTGTGAAATACTGTGTCACAATAGGCACTTGTAAAATACAGAAATATAGTGTAGGGTGACCACATATATAGTAGTCTGTAGACTATGTATTGTGGTCACCCCACAGACACAGTCTGGTCTCTCACCCAAAATTTGGTTTGGATGTCTAGATTTAAGACATCATGCTCACACCAAGCAGGTAGAAAAAGATTTACTACTCCCATAATGAGTAATGGCAGGCTCCCAAGCTGGTCTGAATGGCTTGAGAGAGCAGGGGAAAGGCTCTGGTTTCGGGTTCTATGGTGTTTGGAAGGTGGGGCTGAAGTGAGGGTTTCTCCATATGGGACACGTAAGGAAAGCAGCACCTGAGGTATTTTTTATCAGCTTGCCCAGATATGAAGCAGATGGAGAAAGAGGAGTGATGGGGCTTGAAATCTGTCAGCAATCAACATCAAAAATGGAGCCAGACTCCTTATTTCACTATGTAGCATGCAGTGTGGTCTTAGCATTTCCTGGTTATCTGGCTGCTGGGACAGACTAATAAGTATCTAGTAAACTCACATACACTCACCAACTATCACTGTATCTACTCACCCCAGTGCAGGGAAGCCTGAAGGCTATGGCAAAATCTGAGGCTAACACGTTTGAAGGCTCATTAAACATTTCCAAAAATAAATGGGATCACCTCTCTCCATACTCCTTTTGTCTATATATACTGCCAAAGTGAAAACCAAACATTACCAATTCCTTGCTCAAACACACTCAGTGCCTAATTCAGTTTCTCCAATCCCTCACGTAAGGATTCAGGACTCCACAGTATGTCCCAACTCATCTCCAACCTGACCTCCCTTACCTCCCTGCCCACACATTTCACTGCAGCCACACTTAAATTTCATCTGTGCCATAAATATGTTCCTGCCTGTGCCTGTTCTGTCTGCAATGCCTGCCTGCCCTTCCTTTCTTTCTATCCATATCCCCACTGCCAAATGTTCAGATGTACTTTCTCCATGAATCTTTACTAAGACCTACAACTAAATAACTTCCTTCTCCTAAATAAACCTATTAAAAACTCAACCTACCCATCCCACTTACAGAAATTATTCTCACAGTTCCAGGCATTACAGACATTTGGTGCCTCTAAGAGACTTTTAGTTGTCCCTCAAAATGTTTTTCCCTTGTTGACAGAGATAAAACAACAAGAATAAAATCCTTGTATTTAACTGGTCAGGTGAATGTTCAGAATAAAGGCATTTCCCAGATGCCTTTGCATCTAGACATGGCCACAAAATGTGAAAACCAATGAGCATGTGAGTCAGGACTCAGCAATAGTGAGCTATCTTGGGCCACACACCCCTGTTCAAAATCTGCCATTGACTTTCCTTCATACTTACAGCAGAATCCAAAGCAATTACCATAGCCTAGTGGGTCCTGTATGACCTGACCCCTGCCTCTGTCTTTGATGTCATTTCTTCCTATAATAGTTTCCTGGGGCTGCCATAACAAATTACCACAGGCTGGGTGGCTTAAACAACAGAAATTTATTTTCTCACAGTTCTGGAGACTGGAAGTCCAAGATCAAGGTGCTGGCAGGGTTGGTTTCCTCTGAGCCCTTTCTCCTTGGCTTGCAGATGGCTGCTCTCTTGATGTCTCTTCACATGGCCATGCCTCTGTGCATGTGCACTCCTGGTGTCTTTCTGTGTGTCCTAATCGCTGCTTTTTTTTTTTTTTTTTTTTTTTTGAGACAGAGTCTCTCTCTGTCACCCAGGCTGGAGTGCAGTGGTGTGATCTCGGCTCACTGCAACCTTTGCCTCCTGGGTTCAAGCAATTCTCCTGCCTCAGCCTCCTGAGTAGCTGGGATTACATGTGCCCACCACCACCTGGCTAATTTTTGTATTTTTAGTAGAGACGGGGTTTCACCATGTTGGCCAGGATGGTCTCCAACTCCTGAGCTCAGTTGATCCTCCTGCTTCAGCCTCCCAAAGTGCTGGGATTATAGGCATGAGCTACCGCACCCTAATCTCCTCTTCTTATGAGGACAACAGTCAGATTGGATTAGGGCACCCTCTCATGGCCTCATTTTGATTTTATTACCCTTTAAAAGCCCTGTGTCCAAATACAGTCACATTCTGTGGTACCAGGGGTTTGGGCTTCAACATATGAATTTTTGGAGGACACAATTCAGTCCACCTCCCATACTCTGAACCCATCCCACTCCTAAGCATTGCCGTCTCAATCTCTCTCTCTCTCTCTCTCTCTCTCTCTGCTTACACACTGCAAGCATGCTCCCTCCTGCCTCAGGGCCTTCCTATTTGCTATTCCCTCTACCTAGAATGCTATGCTCTCACTCATCAACACATCTTGCTCCCTATCTTACTCTAGTCTCTGGTTCAAATGTTCCCTCACCGGAGTTTGTCTTTGATCGCTCTATCCCTCTCTATCCCCTTTACCTGTTTTGTTGTCCTTCATAGCACTTTCTATTACTTGGCATAATAATTTATACATTGTGGGGTTCTCCCTGTGTTAAAAATATACCTGGGATTTGTTTTAATTGGTTATAGTAATTGACAGACAAAGAAACAACTGCCTTTGAAAGAATTTATTACATACAGCTCCCAAGAGGAGGGGCATGCCACACCATGCAGAGCCATATGGGAAAGTACCAAGCCAGGAGGCAAAGAAGTGAAGCAAAATCATAGCAAAGGCCTTTACTATGTAGTGGCAGGAAGCTGTTAGGTGGCAATGTCCTCTATTGTGCAGGAAGTGAGACACAGATATTGGGGTCTATGGTTAGAGGTTTATAATATGATTTCACATGCCTGTGAAAGGCTTACTGCAGGAGATATAAACAACTTTGGCCTTTAGTTTGACCCTGTGATCAATGGATGCCAATTTATCAATTATATAATCTATAAATGCTGGTTAGAACCTCTCACATTTTGATGTTTTGCCAATATATTCAAATATTAGTTCAATAAGGGATTAGATTCCCATATAAATGGTTTAGTTTGCTCTTCATGTATTTCCATGTCCTAAGGGCATCTCTTGCTGCCACCACTCTGTTTCCAGGCTTCATCCTGTCCTCTCAGGCCAGGTGCACTTCTGTGCATCTATCTCATCCTACCTGGGACCTCTCAAACGTCATCCTGCTGGTGAATACAAATGGATACATCTTCGCCTTTGGACACAGATTCAATGAAATGCCTCCATTGACTTACCTCAAAACTCAAGTGAACAGAAGTTTGAAGGAACCCAAGTTCACCTGAGGCCTGCCTATAAAAGACATAACTGTCAACCTTTGGGTTAATTCCTTTCATTGAGAAAAGTATGATTCTCATGAGCTAAAGGCAGTACATCAGCAAGACTGGACTGATCACAACTCCTGAATAGAACCTCTACCCCAGGCTCTATTTTAACATTTAACATTGTACATTGGTAGCATGACTCTACGCTCACAAAAGGGAGATAACAGGCACCCATCAGAATGCTGAGGTGAAGCACAGATGAATCTAGGTAGAAACCTGAGAATACTGTAAGTTCCATGGATCCAGACCCATAATCACAAGATCACATGATCACAGGAGAGGAGACTGGGGGAGTCAATGGATAGAGGATTTATAAGCCAAGAAAAAAAAATGGAGCCCCAAACTGTGAAATCCAAGAAGGGGGTCATGTGAACCCCAATTTATAGCCAGTTTTTCAGAAGAATAAGTGACAACCTACTACTTGTGATTGGCACTTGAAGTGGGAGGCAGTCGTGAGGGAGTTAATATGTGGGAACTAACCCTACTCTAGGTAGTGTTGAATTGAATCAAATCATAGGACATCTAGTTGGTGTTTGCTGGAAAACTGGTTGTTGGTGGAGTGAAACCCCTACATATTTTGGTGATCAGAGGTGAAGTGTTGTGTTAAGTGGTATGAGACTGGGAAAAACACTTTGGTTTTTCCTGTCTCTCACAGAATTAAAGTTTCCAAGAGAAGCATCAGAAGAGTGGAAGGTTGGGACCAGCAAACCACAAGCCCTAGGCCCCAAACTAGGGTCAAGTGGAAAAGCAGGGTATAATAGTGAAATGGCCCTCCTCTCCACTTCTGCAGCTCCAGTGACGCTGTTCCTACTCATTGTCACACTGGAATGGTTGCAGGATGAACACGATCCTCTGGAAATGGAGACATCTTCTGAAGGTAGAGGAAACTGCAGTCTTCCTGCCCCCGACCGCCACTCGCAGAGGTTGGGAATGTCAGCCTCCTCCAACCCAGTCTTTTCTATGGTATTTTCCTTACTTTGTGGGGGGACTGTAATGTTACCTATCTTTTCTTTTACAATATTGGGGGTGTTCCACCCCCACCTTAATGACCACAGGTATGCGCACAGGATGGACAGGTGAGGGGCAGCTCCCCGACCCCACTCTCCTCCCAGTTGGGGCTGGGGCACATGGACCAAGGGCCCCATGCAGCTGGCTGGCCAGCATTCCCTGCCACGCACCCACAGTGTCTTCCCCTCCCCCAGCCGAGGTGTGCAGCTCAGTCCAACAGCAATAAAATATTTCTCCCCCTGTTGGAGAAACCCACTGTCATAAGAATAAGAGGATATTCCCCCAGGTATCTTTCCCACCCTGCGCTTAAGCTGTTTTTTGTTTTTGTTTTTTTCCTTTCTCCACCCTGTTGGCAGTTAACACAGCCCTGTACTTAAGCTGTTTTTTAATCTTTCCTCTACCCTGTCAGGAGTTAACTTTTATGCAAGAGGATTTTTTTTCCTTTTAGAAGACATTTTACTAGGCCGGGACCCAAATTCACAAGACACCCTTTTCTCTCCCTTGTTGGAGGAGGGCTCAATTCCACAGCTTCACCTTAGTATTTGGCTTATGCTAAGGAGTCCGTGTAACCCCTGAGACATATTTCTGTCCCAAACTCAATTCCAAGCTTATAAACTTGAAGGCTACTGACAGCAGGGGGACAGGGTGTGCATAGGCAAGAGTGGACAATCCCACCACCTAGACCCGTTAACATGGGTGAAAGCCACACTGACACCCATGGGCAGCACCCTTTCGTGGTCAGTGGAACTTAGGGATATACGGATGGAAGAAGTAAAGAAGGCCCTTGTTTCTTCTCTTCCTCACACACCCCAGGCATTTGCTAGGAAGAGAAAGGAAACAGGGACACCTGCTTCCCTCTTTCTAAATGAGAAGCCATTCATCTTCAATCTAGTTGGCTTGGAATTGAACTTGGGGGATGGGGACCCAGAAGCCTGGCATGCCAGCAAAAGGGTAAAAGTTTTTTTTACCAGTCAGGCCTTTGGCCTCCCTCTCCCTGTGCAAACCAGTAAAAGGAATGCTAAGGATCACTGTTTATATTCTCTGTAAAGTTTTGTTTAATGAAAAAGGATTTATGAGGTTAATCTTAAGCTGTAACCAACCTGGTGTGCTTTGCATGCCTTAACTGAGACTTGTTGGTTTGACCTGTGAAGTTACTTTCGATAAAGATCAAAAGCCAGAAATATTGGCTGCTTGGTATGGCTAAAGTCAGGTAATAAGGAATTTAAAAGGACTTTATTAAAGAGCGCTCAGCTTAATTAAAAGTGGATATCCAAGGCCGGGCACGATGGCTCATGACTGTAATCCCAACACTTTGGGAGGCCAAGGTGGGCAGATCACCTGAGGTCAGGAGTTCGAGACCATCCTGGCCAACATGGTGAAACCCCATCTCTACTAAGAATACAAAAATTAGCTGGGCCTGTAATCCCAGCTGCTCCAGAGACTGAGGCAGGAGAATTACTTGAACCCAGGAGGCGGAGATTGCAGTGAGCCAAAATCGTGCCACTGCACTCCAGCCTGGGCAATAAGAGGGAAACTCCATCTTAAAAAAACAAAAGTGGATATCTGAGATCTAGGTATATTTAAAAGGCCTTTATGTTTTTCTCTTCTTGGATCTTGTTTTGCTGGAAAAAGATTTTTTTTTCTGTCAACTGAATTATTTTTCTCCATTTTGCCTTGCCACCCTTAATGCATGCATGAGAGGCCCTAAGATAATCTCTAAAAGCCTGAACTCCTTGGGAAAAATGGAAAGGCGACACAGATTCCATTTTGGGAGAAACCTCTGTTTTCCTCATGAACCCAAGGAATTAAAAGCAGATAGATCCCTCTCAAAATCTGTTTTTGTCTTCTAGCCATACCTGTTTATTGGGCCCTGGAAACAGCATGATTTCCTGGCCATGCTCTTAAAGGGTCCACCCAGAGGCCAATAATCCAATTAGGAGATTGGTAAACAAAAAATCTTATAGCTACTGATCTTCTTCTGTATATGTAGTTATATATGTGTTGTGTTTGATGTCTATTAAAAAGAGCTCTAATTAACTGGCATAAAGAAAAATAAGTGCTTAGATCAAATATATTTTGAAGGAAAAGTAAGAGCTGTAATGCCTCCTAGTTCACGTGACTTTAATCTTTGAGAAATAAAAACAGTCTTAAAGATTATTGGTAAAATATAAATGTCTTCAAAATGTAAACATGTAGTCTAAATTATGCAGTTTAGATACTAGGTTTGCTAAATGTTTTAAGGTTATGAAGTACTTCTTTGGCTTTTGAGAACTGTTCCACTTGCCTGCTTTACAGCTTGGTAAGGCCTGGGGACATATGGAATTAACCACTCCTCTCACTATACTGAAAAGAGTCAAGCCTGACCTGCCCCTAGAACATAAGTAAAACAACTTACCAGGTTTTACATTAAAGTTAAGAATTGCTAAGAGTTCGCAACCTACTCATCTGACGAAGGGCTAATATCCAGAATCTACAATGAACTCAAACAAATTTACAAGAAAAAAACAACCCCATCAAAAAGTGGGCGAAGGACATGAACAGACACTTCTCAAAAGAAGACATTTATGCAGCCAAAAGACACATGAAAAAATGCTCACAATCACTGGCTATCAGAGAAATGCAAATCAAAACCACAATGAGATACCATCTCACACCAGTTAGAATGGCAATCATTAAAAAGTCAGGAAACAACAGGTGCTGGAGAGGATGTGGAGAAATAGGAACATTTTTACACTGTTGGTGGGACTGTAAACTAGTTCAACCATTGTGGAAGTCGGTGTGGCGATTCCTCAGGGATCTAGAACTAGAAATACCATTTGACCCAGCCATCCCATTACTGAGTATATACCCAAAGGACTATAAATCATGCTGCTATAAAGACACATGCACACGTATGTTTATTGCGGCACTATTCACAATAGCAAAGACTTGGAACCAACCCAAATGTCCAACAATGATAGACTGGATTAAGAAAATGTGGCACATATACACCACGGAATACTATGCAGCCATAAAAAATGATGAGTTCATGTCCTTTGTAGGGACATGGATGAAATTGGAAATCATCATTCTCAGTAAACTATCACAAGAACAAAAAACCAAACACCGCATATTCTCACTCATAGGTGGGAATTGAACAATGAGAACACAAGGACACAGGAAGGGGAACATCACACTCTGCGGACTGTTGTGGGGTGGGGGGAGGGGGGAGGGATAGCTTTAGGAGATATAACTAATGCTAAATGACGAGTTAATGGGTGCAGCACACCAGCATGGCACATGTATACATATGTAACTAACCTGCACATTGTGCACATGTACCCTAAAACTTAAAGTATAATAATAATAAAATAAAATAAAATAAAAAAATATGAAAAAAAAAGAATTGCTAAGAGTTATCATTATAACATGTAATTGAGACTCCTGAAAATAGATTTACATGCAAGGTGTGTAAGAACAGTAAAATGTGTTTTTAGTAAAAGATTATAAGGTATGGAAATGTAAATTTTTGCCTAGGGTTAAAGGATTGTTTTAAATTAGATAAGATAAAGCTAAAGGTTTAAACAAGTTATGGAAGGTTTCTAAAAGTTAATCTTGCAAAAGAAATTCTGTGTGTGAACATTAAATTCAAGAGGGTATTTATGGTTTTTCTGTACAATTGAGCATTGAAATAAAAGCACAACAAGGTTTTCTTAAGGCACTGATCTGCTCTTCAGCAAATTGTGTAAAAGGTTATAAAAGGTTTATAAGAATCTTACCTCATGGTCAAACTGGTTAAGATTTGATAGAATGGCCTGTAAGATTTCATTTTTTAAATTGGGGCTGACATTAATAGTAAACAAATGCAAGGGTAAAATTTGGCTTTCTCTCTCTTGAACAGATTTTCATGTGATAGTAAAGGCTAAGGAAAAGTTTTTGCTTTTTCAAATTTTTGAGTTATCATTTTGGCAAAAATAATTACTTACAGTAACCTGGAATTCTATTTTTTTTTCTTGAAGATGGAGTCTTGCTCTGTCACCCAGGCTGGAGTGTAGTGCCACCATCTTGGCTCACTGCAACCTCCACCTCCTAGGTTCAAGCAATTCTCGTGCCTCGGTCCCCCGAGTAGCTGGGATTACAGGTGCCTTCATCACGTCCAGCTAGTTTTTGTATTTTCAGTAGAGATGGAGTTTCACCATGTTGGCCAGGCTGCTTTCAAACTCCTGACCTCAGGTGATCCACACACCTCGACCTCCCAAAGTCCTGGGAATACAGGCGTGAGCCACCATGCAGGGCCTGGAATTCTATTTCATAACATCAAGTGTTTTAAACATCTAATATATGTAACAGGCTTCCCAAAATCAAATTTCAGCTTCAAGGTTGTCTTTCTTACCCCTTGCTGTTGGATGCTACAGAGGGCCCCTGGAGCATCCAGAAGAGAGGTAAACAGGATTATTTGACATGTACACGGAATTGCCAAAATGATGTTTAATCTTCATATTATATTTTAGTGAATATTAATATGTTCCAAAATTGTGTGGGATGTCTACAGTTCTAATGTCTGAGTATATGCTATCAATATCATAATTAAGGTTATTATGATATTGTATCAATATCATAATATCATAATTAAGGTTATTATGTTATTGTAAACCACAGAGATAACCAAATTTTCTTTGTCAATGTTTTTAACTGTATCTACCCTGGACATTTTGTCATTCATACACAATTGTCTTATTTTGATCCTCTTTGATAAAGGATCCTTTGATAAAGGATGATTTATAATCAGCCATAAGGCTTTGACAGGTGCTCTCAAATGCAAGTTTCTGATAACCTTAGAGATCGTGACATTGGAATAAAGGAAAACATGCAGGACTCATGAAGAGCTGAAATGTTCATGAATATTAAACAGAACAAGAGTTAACAGAATGTACTGAACTAAAAGAAAACTGAAGTAATCTTTTTTAAAAGTTTTTGCTTGAAATATTGCTGTTCCTTGTTTTGTTTTCAGAATTAAGGAAATTTATTTTGAGCCATTTACAGCCTTTAATAATTGAGTAAGGTATACTCCTGTGATCAAAATTTGGAGCATATTTGTTTCTCTCCTACTTGCTTCTTCAGAATTTGGAAACTAGTTGCAAGTATTCTTAATTTATAGCAGTATATTTTTTTTGCATCAGTGCAATAAGAATCACTTTCTTTTGCAACAGGACACAATTGGAGAAACTGGTTGTTTTACCAAGGCTTTGATTGGAAGGGTAGCTTCCCTTTTAGGAATCAAGCTTGACTTAACAGAGCCGATAAAAGCCCCTTGGGAAAACTGACTTCATACCTTGTCTACACAGTCCCCATACAGGTTTCCTAACCTGCAGTAAGTAAGGAATGTCATATTCTAAAAGGCCCAGGAACCCCATATTCTTGGGACCCCAAGAAGAGAGGAATTCACCCAACTCATAGGTATTTGAGGGTACAAACTCATGGCTGGGCTCAGCTTTAAAAGTCCTAAGATTCCTTGCAGAACAGAATTCCATCAAAACCAATTTAAAAAGCCTATGTAAACGTAATTATTCTTGCTGCACTTTATGCAAATAATCAGACCAAATACAAGACTAAAGTTTATTTTGCAAACAACTCAGTCCTATCATGATTTATTTTTAACAAAAATGAGAACTGGAGAGAAATTATGTTTCAAGACTTATATATTTGTCATTAGATTTTAGACTCATTCGTTGTTTTTAAGTTTTTGCCCACATTTTAAACTAACACTGCTTATTCCTGTGAACCAACCAGCAATCTCTGGCTGCAGCTCAGAAGCAGCAAAAGGGATGAGTAATGTAAAAATCTGGATCAATATTCTAGTTCTGGGCAATTACCCTGCAAATCCTGCCAGATGATTAGACTAAATAAGGTGCCCATAACCTGGAGGTTTCTTTTTTGGGAAAATAAGACCAAGGGAGCTAACGAAAGCCAAGCCCCAAACACCCCAATCTTAGCAGGCATAACTATAGCTACCAGTTATCTGGGTGTGTCAGCAGCCTTAGGATTTTTTTTAGCTGTCCTTACCATCCCCGCTTTGTTTCATTTTGATTGTCTTCTAATAACCTGGTTTGTCTCTTCTCACCTTCAGGCCATTGAACTCTGAATGTTCATGCAATTGGAACCTCAAATGATGGCCACCTTTTACCAGGGACCCTTAGATAGGCCTCTGAGGGAGATCTCACTGCTATTTTCCCAAAACAGTGCCCCCATCAGCAGGAACCAGTTAAGATCGATCACTACCCTTATCCTTATCCTTATTCTAAGTTAGATGTACTTCTTTAGAGGGGGGAATGATAGAATCAGGAGACAGCCAAATGCTGCCCAGGTCATTGTGCACAGGGGGATTGCCTAAACATGCCCATGATGAAAAATTCCGTTCCTTAACACATACACAGTAAGGGAAATAATGTGGAGTGGCTCAGACTAAGGGCCTGCCTGCACACTGGGAGAACGGGGTGTAGCCACCAGGAATTCATGCAGGGGGAGAAGACTAGGCTCTTCAGCTCATGTGTGGTGGCCTGGTATTCAGTTTAGTGAGATGGAAAACCTGCATGCAGGACCCCTCTTTTTGTTGAGAGTTTTCCTTTTCACTTAATAAATTCTGCCCTCCTCACTTTTCAATGTGTCCCTGTGACTAATTTTTCCTGGTCATGAGACAAGAACCCAGATTTTAGCTGAACTAAGGAGCAAAAATTCCTGCACTAATGGTATGACTTAAAGCATCACTTAGTAGTATGCATGAAATTAACCTTAGGTCATGAGAGCCACCTATTTATTATTTTCATTTTTTTGAGATGGAGTTTCACTCTTGTTGCCCAGGCTGGAGTGCAATGGCACAATCTCGGCTCACTGCAACCTCCACCTCCCAGATTCAAGCAATTCTCCTGCCTCAGCCTCCTGAGTAGCTGAGATTACTGGCATGTGCCACCACACCTGGCTAATTTTGTATTTTTAGTAGAGACGGGGTCTCTCTATGTTGGTCAGGCTGGTCTTGAACTCCCAATCTCAGGTGATCTGCCCACCTTGGCCTCCCAAAGTGATGGGATTACAGGCGTAAGCCACTGCACCCAGCAAAAGCCACCTATTTAGATGCTCAACTTCCAAGCAACTGAGATGAGATAAAACTGAGAAGCTTATGAGACTACTGAGCAAGAGGAAAAGGTGACACTGAGGAGCTGTATGAGAAAACAGTGATTTCAAACACAAAACAGTATTAGTGTGGCTAAGTTGCAAATAACAGAAAACTCAACTCTAACTCGTTTGACAGATGTTTATTGGCTCACATAGCTGAAAAGTTCTGAGGTAGCTCTGCTTCAGGTAAAGCTTGGTCTAGTGGCTCAAAAGATGTCACCAAGGACCTAGTTTCTCTCTGTTTAGTCACTGTTTTCTTTGGTATTGGCTTTATCCTTAGGCTCCATATGGTAGCACCTGGAAGCTTGAGAATCTCCCCTTTTAACAGAAAAAAAAAGTTGCTATAATTCTAGGTCTCACATTTTCCTATGTGCCACACAGAGGACAGATAATATCTCCTCTGGTAGCTCTCGATGAAGAAAAGCCTCTCTTTTCCAGAAGAGCCAGTATCTCCTCATATCACAATGGCTCTGTGGCCAAGGGGATGGGATAAACTGATTGACACAAGCCAAACAGGGTCCACTCATGAAGATGGTGGTGGTGCCAAACCACATAGCTGAGAAAGGATAGCTTCCCAAAGAATACCCGGGTAACTGTTCCCAGAGAGAAGGGGAAGAGATGATGGAAACCAATAAAAGATGACCACGTCTAAAAATGTTGTTTTATAAAACTCCTGATTTCAAGTAGAATTAGTTAATTCTATAATTCTTTACTTTCCTGTGTAGACGCTACATGTTCCTCGTGTTTGTTTTATCTTTGGTCCTGGACCTAGGGAGGGCATTTCTGGCTCTGATGCCAATACTGGATTATGTGAAAACTTTTCAACTATTGACTGGATGAAGCTATCTAACAAAGCATTAACCACCACCAGAAAGTGACCATTTCTCCCTCCCTTGGCAGTGGCCTCACAGCTTATCAGAATGTAGACTATCATGGTAGTGAGGGATGGACAGACTGGAAGAGGATTTAGGATAGGAAGCAATGAGAGGGCTGGAACTATATAAATTTTTATGAAAAAAAATCTCCAGTTGAGTTTACATATTCCCAATCCCAGAATGATATCTCATAAAACAAAGGCAATGAGGTCTCTTAAGACCTGGATTGGCCAGGCGTGGTAGCTGAGGCCTGTAATCCCAGCACTTTGGGAGGCCGAGACAGGTGGATCACAAGGTCAGGAGATCGAGACCAGCCTGGCTAACATGGTGAAACCCCGTCTCTACTAAAAATAAAAAATATTAGCCAGGCATGGTGGCGGGCACCTGTAGTCCCAGCTACTTGGGAGGCTGAGGCAGAAGAATGGCATGAACCCAGGAGGTGGAGCTTGCAGTGAGCTGAGATAGCACCACTGCACTCCAGCCAGAGCAACAGAGTGAGACTCTGTCTAAAAAAAAAAAAAAAAAAAAAAAGACCTGGATTACCCTCTGCTGTTTCCCTAAATTACTTTGGTGGCCTCAAAAGGAAAGCAACTTCTGAAGAAAAGGTCTTAGAGTTCACAATTTAACTGCAATGTTGCTTCCATCAAATAAGGTTTTCAGTGAGACAGAATTATGAAAAGCAATACTAATAAACACTTGTATACAAAGAGTATCTACAGAGATACACAACCAGTAGCAGTGATTGCCTCTGGGGAGAACTCAAGAGATAGGAATGACAAGGAAATTTACTTTTCACTGAACACCCTTTTCAACTATTTCAATTCTTTTTTATCATGAGCATGTTATATCTAGTCAAAGATTAATGTTTCAGGATTTGAAAAACATAAAAGAAATGTACTGTTGGTCCTCAGAGTCATTTAGCTGGGGTTAAGATTAAAAGACATGAGACTATTAGAAAAATATAAGATGGCACATAATTAAATACTAACTTGGGTGGTACTGATTACAAGTAGAAGAGGAAGAGAGATCTTCTTAGTTGAAGGAGCTAGATCTGAGTGATGAAGGGAAACTAAAAGCACAGGAAAATAAGCAAATAAAAATGGGCAGAGACATAAATATGTACAATTAAGTAAAGAACAGTAAACTCTGCAGTCAGATAGGCCTGGCTCCAATTTCAACTCTATAACTTACTAACTGAGCAACCCTGAATGAGTTTTATAACCTCTTTCAACTCAGATTTCTCATTTGTAAAATGGGGAGAAGAGCACCTACCTTAATAGGATTGTTATGCAAATTAATGTATGTAAAGTGGTTAGCACCTGATACAGAGTAGCTGCCCAACTAAATGATGCCTTGTTAAAACATCATAGAACAGAGGGACCAGTCTTGCTAGAGTACATGGTAAATGTTCAAAAGGGCAAGATAATACTGGCTATTTAAGTTAAGGGTTACAGCAAATTGTGAATGGTCATCTCATTTTGTCTCTAGGGTTCCTGCAGCATAAGAATTATAAACAAGTATCACCATTATGCACTCTCTAATGTTCAAGAAGGTGAGAGATCTGACAGTTATAGGGTTTGTCTCTAGCATGGCGCCTCTGGTGCTTAATTAAGACAGAATTCTGACTGAAGGCCTTCCCACAGTCATTACATTTATAGGGTCTTTCCCCAGTATGGATTCTTTGATGTCGAATAAGATGTGCCTTGCAAAAGAAGCTTTTCCCACAGTCAGTACATTCATGAGGCTTGTCCCCAGTGTGGACCCTCTGGTGCTGAGAAAGATCTGAGTTCCACATGAAGCCCTTCCCACAGTCCTTACATTCGTAAGGCTTCTCCCCAGTGTGCATTCTCTGATGTCGAAGAAGGGCTGGGTTTCGAGTAAAGCTTTTCCCACATTCCTTACATGTGTATGGTTTCTCACCAGTGTGGATCCGTTGATGTTGCGTAAGGCTTGTGTTCTGACTAAAGCCCTTCCCACATTCCTTACATTCAAAGGGTTTCTCTCCAGTATGTATTCTCTGGTGACGAATCAGGTTTGACTTCCAAACAAAGGCCTTAGCACATTCTTGACATTCATAGGGTTTCACCCCACTGTGAATTCTCTGATGTGCAATGCAATGTGATCGAAAACTGAAAGCCTTCCCACATTCCTTACATCCATAGACCTTCTCTCCATTATGAGTTTTCTGGTGTTGATCAAAGTCCTCATTTTGATCAAAACACTTGCCGCATTCCTCACATATATAGAATATTTGCTCATTTAGAATTTTGTGATGTATACCAAGGAGGTTATTGACATCAGTATTCCCTGAACTCTCTTCTACTGAGATCATCTCATCCTTGACAATCACTTCTATAATATCATTTGTAGAACTTTCCATACGTCCCCCATTGAGGTAACCAGGCCATCTCCCTAACCTGCTTTTCTCTTCACAGGTTTTCCCAAACCATAATTCCTGGGATCCACACCACTGGGGTCCACTTGATAGGACCATGAGGTCCTGTGCTTCCTCAATAATTTCCTCCTTCAGAATAAAATCTTCTTTCTTCCTCTTCAACACACCCTCTGAAAAAAGAAATTGGAGCTTCAAATGTCATCATTATCCATGACACAGCGACTAAGGTCACCAAGTGGTATTAATACGTCCACTTCTCTCCAAGTGCCACCCATGTCTCAGTGGCCCTGTCCCAGCTGAAAATGGCAAAAACAAGGCTAATACACAGAAAGAAACCAAAAGTAAAGACAGCAACTAGATAGAATCCCTGCGGGCTATGATTCCTGGCACCAAACCAAGGACCAGGGTAGGCTCTCAGAAAACAGGTGAATTGAATCTAAGGAAAACAAAGTCAGAATTCCTCCTAGGTAGCTGAGTACAGTTTATACCATGAGAAGAACAGGCCAGGACTTAGGGCAGAGGACCTGTTCAGAAATAAGGAATCCTTAGTGGTATACCTGAGAACCTGGGCTTGTCACATGCAGCAGACAGTAGCAAGAATGAGCTTCCTCATACTTTTCAACACTAAAAGGAAGTATAGTCTTCTCTTTCAATCCAAGCACCAAGTTCACCATGAAACCATGGGAAGTGCTTTCTCAAACTACTCCAGGCAGAACTCGGAAAAGACTCCCTCCTCTTTGTTCTCATAGTGTCTTATTCACATTCTGTTACAGTTTCATCATTTTTCTGTAATTATACATTTATGTATCATGTCCCATGAGACTGTGAGTCCTTCCAGGATAAGGGCCATATATGACTTGATTTTTTTTATCTCTAACAACTAACACAATGAGTAAAATACAGCATCTACATTAAAAATATTGGGTGATCATAGCAGCTAGATGGGGCAGGCCATCTGTTCAGTTTAAGTCTAACGCAAAAGACCCATCCTAATTTAATTAATTTAATTAATTGAGCTTGTCCTAATGAAAGTTGGAAGCTTAGGGTTTAAGTTTTCTCTTAATTGGTTGATTTAAGGATCTGGTCCCCATATTTGTTTAGAACATGAATGGCAAAATGGACTTTTACATCTTATAAAAGAAAGATAGGAAAAGATGTGACTGAGAGAAGAATGCTCATTTCCCTCTCACTTACCCGGACAAATCAGGCTTGGACCCTCTCCTTGCAGTTTCAGGTTTAATGGCTCTTCCACCTGCTCAGGATGGGAAATCCCAGCAGGCTTTAGAAATGGATATCCTGCCAGGGTCAAGATACAAATAAGGCTGACTCAGTCAGAAGAGTGAGGCCCATCAGGAAAAGAGCAGACATGGAAGTGGTAGGGAGAGAATAAAGGTGGGTGAAAAGATTGGTAACATAGATAAGCAGAAATTTGATGGTACAGAATAATAAGGATAGGCTGGGCGTGGTGGCTCACACCTGTATTCCCAGCACTTTGGGAGGCCGAGGTGGGTGGATCACCTGAGGTCAGGAGTTCAAGACTAGCCTGGCCAACATGGTGAAACCCCATCTCCATTAAAAATACAAAAAAAATTAGCCAAGCATGGTGGCACACACCTGTGGTCACAGCTCCTCAGGAGGCTGAGGCAGGAGAATCGCTTGAACCCGGGAGGCAGAGGTTGCAGTGAGCCGAGACTGTGTCACTGCTCTCCAGCCTGGGCGACAGAGTGAGACTGTGTCTCAAAAAATATATATATATATATTTATATATATAAAAAATATATATATATATTTATATATATAAAATATATATATATTTATATATATAAAAAATATATATATATATTTATATATATATAAAATATATAAATATATATTTTATAGAAAAATATTTGTATTTTATATAAATATATTTATATATAAAATATGTATTTATATATATATTTATATTAAATATATAAATATATGTATTTATATATTAAATATACAAATATATAATATATAAATATATATTAAATATATAAAAATATATATTATAACATATAATATATAATATACAAAAATATTATATATATATTAATATATATAATATATAATATATAAATATATATTATATATATTTAATATATCATATATAATATATAATTATATATGATATATATCATATATAATAGAGAGATGGACTATATATATCATATATTTTATATATAATTATATTTATATATAATATATAAGATATATATTATATTTTTATTTATATATTTATATATATTTTATTTATATGATTATATATTTTATATATACATATATTTTTAATTTATATATTTATATATTTTTATATTTTTATATATTTATATAAAGGATAGAAAATACTGGAACAGAGAAGTTGTAATTCCATCAGTTCCCAAAGATATGAAACATATCACTCACTTTAAAACGTCAAGAAGAAATAGAAAAGATGAAGGCCTCTTCTTCACCTATCCCTAGGAGGTGAAATCAAATTCACATAGAATAGAATCAGGATAGGATGGAATTGCAAATAGTTATTCATGAGGACTTCCTGTCTAGCCAGGCTATTCTGGGAAACCGTAATCTCCTAGTTTCCTTCCTATCCATTTATTGCTTTCCATTCCACAAAGATTCAATGGATGGGGTCTCTCTATGGCATCCATAAGAAATGGACTCACACCCTCACTCAGCCATTTCCAAAAGTCACTTCTTACTCAATAACAGACACCTCTGTTCACAGAGATCTACTGTAATACACCTTACTTCTGCTTTCGCTAGAACTGTCTCTTTGTAACCTTCATCCAAAACCTCCTAAGAAACAGATCAATTCTACACCTTCAAATGACAACCTTTTCTGTTGCCAAATCCAGGGACTATGTATCCTCTGAGTACTAACTTCTGTAAGACAAAAGTGGACTTTGAGTAGGGACATGTATGTGCCAAGGAAGTCAGCTGCACGTCAGAGAGTTAGAATTTTGCTCAAGGAGTAACTTAGCTGTTGGTTTTCTACCTAAAGCAAAGAAAAGCAAAGATGAGAAATTCCCTTAGGTGGTGAGGAGAGGAAGCACTAAGAATGCAGAAGACGCTGTGGTGGTCTCCCCATACCCCTTCCACTACTCCCCACTGTAAAGTAGCTATGCCCTTTGTAGGGGGCTGGAGTGGGGAGTTGGGTATCCCAACTCCACTTCCTAGGGTAGGCTCTGACTTGGCTAAGCTAAGCAGGTTAATCCCATCCCACTCACTACATGAGAGACTGATTCAGAGATTGGCAATTCAGACCAAGTCAATCAGTGCACAGTAGTTACCTTGCCACAGGATTGATTTAGAGCTGGCATATGACTTAAGGTAGTCCATTAGAGTATACTTGGCACTTTGATTCACAATGTTTAAAGCCTAAGGAAGGCCTGCCAGGTTTCTTCACCTAGGTATGAAGCAGCAGAGTCCTGTTACTACCACCAATCACCTTACAACCAAAAGGGGAGCCAGACTGTAGACAAAGCCAACACATACGGAGACAGAGCAGAGAATGTAGTTCTGATCAAACTATACCTGCAGCCCACTCTACCTCAGACTTCCCAGTTACATGAAACAACAAATTATTTTTGTTTAAGCCAGTTTGAATTGGGTTTTAATACCTGCAATCAAGAGTATTCTAATATGAAAAGACAGAACAAGGAACTGTGAGAATGAGGAAATTTGGAGCACAGCTCAAGTCACACTGCGCCCACATAAGAGCCCTATGGGAAGATGAAATGGGGCCAAGGAGGCAACCAGGAAACACAGTTATCACTAGGAAACTAAGAGTAAGAAAGTCCTGTTGGGCCTAAAGTAATCCCAGGGTTTTCCCCTGAGGAATAGGAACTATCTGGCTGAGGGTTGAGAGTTCTTGGTTTCTAATGATAAAGATGGCCATTATATCCCAAGCTGGAAGACTGTAAACAGGCCAGGAAGTAGAAAGGGCACCCAAGATCAGAGTAAACAGGAAACTCATGGGGCAAAGATACATGGTAGCCATAATATCAGCGATGGGGAAGAGGCAAAACAGGTTAATGAAGATGGCACACAGAGGAGCCAGGATGAATAAAACAAGAACTCAAGAAGATATAAAAGCTCTCCCTCTCCCCTTCCCCCTCCCCCTCTCCCTCTTTGCACGGTCTCCCTCTAAAGCCCAGCCAAGGCTGGACTGTACTGCCGCCATCTTGACTCACTGCAACCTCCCTGCCTGATTTTCCTGCCTCAGCCTGCCGAGTGCCTGGGATTGCAGGCGGGCGCCGCCACGCCTGACTGGTTTTCGTATTTTTTGGTGGAGACGGGGTTTGGCCGTGTTGGCCGGGCTGGTCTCCAGCTCCTGACTGCGAGTGATCTGCCAGCCTTGGCCTCCCGAGGTGCCAGGATTGCAGACAGAGTCTCGATCACTCAGTGCTCAATGTTGCCCAGGCTGGAGTGCAGTGGCGTGATCTCGGCTCGCTACAACCTCCACCTCCCAGCCACCTTCCTTGGCCTCCCAAAGTGCCGAGATTGCAGCGTCTGCCCGGCCGCCACCCCGTCTAGGAAGTGAGGAGCGTCTCTGCCCGGCCGCCCATCCTCTGGGATGTGGGGAGCGCCTCTGCCCCGCCGGCCCATCTGAGATGTGAAGAGCGCCTCTGCCTGGCCGCGACCCCGTCTGGGAACTGAGGAGTGTCTCTGCCCCGCCGCCACGCCATCTGGGAGGTGAGGAGCGTCTCTGACTGGCCGCCCCGTCTGAGATGTGAGGAGCTCCTCCGCCCGGCCAGCCGCCCCCTCCGGGAGGTGGGGGGCAGCCCCCGCCCAGCCGCTGCCCCGTCTGGGAGGTGGGGGGGCACCTCTGCCCGGCCGCCCCATCTGGGAAGTGAGGAGCCCCTCTGCTAGGCCGCCACCCCGTCTGGGAGGTGTACCCAACAGCTCATTGAGAACGGGCCATGATGACGATGGCGGTTTTGTCGAATAGAAAAGGGGGAAATGTGGGGAAAAGAAAGAGAGATCAGATTGTTACTGTGTCTGTGTAGAAAGAAGTAGACATAGGAGACTCCATTTTGTTCTGTACTAAGAAAAATTCTTCTGCCTTGGGATGCTGTTAATCTATAACCTTACCCCCAACCCCGTGCTCTCTGAAACATGTGCTGTGTCCACTAACGGTTAAATGGATTAAGGGCGGTGCAAGATGTGCTTTGTTAAACAGATGCTTGAAGGAAGCATGCTCGTTAAGAGTCATCACCACTCCCTAATCTCAAGTACCCAGGGACACAAACACTACGGAAGGCGGCAGGGCCCTCTGCCTAGGAAAACCAGAGACCTTTGTTCACATGTTTATCTGCTGACCTTCCCTCCACTATTGTCCTATGACCCTGCCAAATCCCCCTCTCTGAGAAACACCCAAGAATAATCAATAAATACTAAAAAAAATTTTTTTAAAAAAAGAAGACATAAAACTATGGGAACACAGAGAAGAAATGCAATCCCACTAGTGTCTACAACACTAGATTAAAAAAACACCTATCTATGACATTTTAAAGATCATGACAAGAAAACTGGTCAGATGACCGGCACGTGTGCCCTCACTCACCTGAGGAGATGCCCCTTGGGGCCTCTCCATCCAGAGCTCCCCGAGGAACCGAGCACCAGGGTGTTTCCCCTCGCTCCAGCTGGGAAATCAGAGCCGGTTTGGGAAATGGAAATGCTGCTTAAAAGGAAAGAAATGGGACAGGCAGGTGAGTGGCATGGCACACAGTAATCCCAAGGCTCCTCCCAGGCCAGTGTCTTCAGGGGTAGGAGGGGAAAAAAACGGAAATAACTAGGAAGAACAAGAAAAGGAATTCCAGGGGAAAGGACAAGAGAGGGGCCAGGAGACTTACAAAGGTCAGGAAGTTGACAGACGACTCAGTAACTGTTTGAGTCAGCAAATGGATGATTTCACTCATTGAGGAATTGAGTCCTCAATTCTTACCTGTCCTCTCCCTCTTAGAGCTCTCAAGTTCAGACATCCTCATGAGGATGCTTGGAATTAGGCTGGATCTTGCAAACCGAGAGGGGAGGGAACTGAAGGCTCAGTGGAGCACCATGAATTTGCTCTCTTCTCACTATACCCACAACACAAGGGTAGGGGTTTGGCACCTCTCACTCTGGAGCAAGGAAGTCCTGTATAAGGCCCAAACTGATACCAGGACTTCCTACTTTCCAACGGCTGCTGAGGTTAGGTCATTAAAAATCCAAGAGCCTGAAGCTGCCATTGAGCTGAGGGTTATCAACAACTCCTGAGCCTTTGAGAAAAAAGGAGCCAGCAAACTCTCAAGGGTGGAGGCAGGGCCCAAAGGGAGAGACCCTTACCCAGGGAAGCCACAGCCCCATAATTCTCCAGCATCACATCCCTGTACAGGGCTCTCTGAGCAGGGCCCAGGCCGATCCATTCGTTCTCAGAGAAGTAGACGGCCACATCCTCGAAGGTCACTGACTCCTGAAACAACATGTGTTTAAATGCCCTAGGACAACCCCAGGACCAGGCCAAGAGGAAGGGGAGACAGGGCATCAAAAGGTACTGTGGGGGTGCCTGTGGGGATTCTGGATTCTGAATGTCTACAGGAACTCTATCAGCAGAAGATTTTTGCCTCCTATGTACAAAGAGACAAGGCATCAGCCATCAATTTTCTCATGTCTCTTCATCTTTATTTCAGCAAACATTTTCTCCTCTTTTTCATGAGTCTGCAAAAGTTTTCTTGTTTCATCCTTATACCCCAAACCACATCTGTGCTCTAGGTCCCATCCTCTCTCCACAATGTGTCCTCCTTCAGAGGTCACCCACCCTTGATAACAACTATCATTTATTAAGCCTGTGCCAAGCACTTGACATATATTCTTTGTTATGTCTCATAGCCTACTATCAGATCCGTTTTTTAGAAGAGGAAACTGAGACTCGGAGGGATTAACTTCCCCCAAAGTTCCAGAACTGAGACAGAACCCAGGCCTGTTTGACTCTGGCTCTTGCCTGTTATGCCACACTGCCTTCCGTCCCCATTCCTGCCATCCCTGCTGCCCCTGTATAGGACTCTTCCTCCTTTGTCCTCCCCAGTCACTGCCACCAGCCACAGAGGCAGCTAGGGCTCCTCAGAACATTCAGGTTGCTCTGAACACTGTACTCAACAGGGCAGATCCTCGTTGTGACTTTACTCCCTGCACCCCCACCACCCGCAACACTCTCACAAAGATCCCACCTCACTTGCTTACCCACGTCCCAATCTCCATGTCCCCATTTTCTATATCTCTAGGAGTCTCAGCTCCTGCACCTTCTTTCTCTCATCCTCTTAAGAAACAAATACTGCTGACCTCCAGCCGTTGGGACTTCCCGTAATTCTCAGCCACTGCCTCCTTCAGGGTCTCAGTCTCCACACTGTGGAGGAGCCCATTCTGGTCCACTGCACTTCAGTCCTTGCGCACTAGAAAGTCTCCACAGCTATTTATCCAGCACTCCAGGGCTCCAAGGCTTTGGCTGGCTCAACTTTGTCTGCCTAATAGAGTCCACATTCCTCTGCACTACAGACAATTCCATTCACTACTCACAGACCCAGCTTTCCTGGCCAGGATCATCAGCCACCACCACTCTCATCTCCGATCCTCTCACCATTGCATTGGGAAACCAAACTCTTTCCTCACCCTGTTCTGTGTCCTTGCACCTGCGGCTACTCTTGCCTGAATATCCAGTTCTTCCTTCCTGCTCCTGCATTGCAAATTCCTTTTCAACCTAATACCCAGCTCAAACATAACCAGCTCTGTAAAGGCAGCTCTGAAATTCTGGCCATTCATCGCCCCCGACAGCACTCTGTGCGCTCTGCCCCAGCAGTCGGCTCAACCCCGTGCCGCTGCACGTCTGCTCTCCTTGAGGCTCAGGTCCAGGGGTGTCGACTCCGCTGTGCTGCCTGTCCCTCGAGGCCCCTCACTCTGGGTTGTACCCCCATTTCCCAGCCGCCGCACCACCCCGTCTCCGGGCCTAGAACCCAGGGCAGGGCCAAGACTGCTTCCAGGCTCCGGCCCCGCACTCACCCGGCGCGCCCGGGGCAGCGCGGGCTGTCCCGGGAGCAGCTCGAGGACAAGGCCGAGGCGTGTCCCGCTCGCCAGCGCCACGGCCGCCATAGCCCAGGTCGCCCTCTGGGAAAGCGAGGGCGCGCCAGACCGGACCAGAGGCTGTTGGGGTCGCGGAAGAGCGCTCTGCACCTGGGCAGGCCTGACACGGCTACCCTGCGCCCTGCAGCCACCGGAGTAAGACCCCGACTCCACTCCCTGCCCGCCCCACGCCCGACTCCCCGTGCTCCACACCCGCCAGGCCCCAGCATCCGGGAGGCCGGGGCTCGGGCCGCTCCGGTTGCTCTAGGACGGCGGAGGGCGCCGCATCTCTGTGGTCCTCCTTTCTCGCTCGGGGAGGGAGGGGAGAGCGGTCCGGTTCTCCTGGAGACACGGACGATCCCAGGGACCGCTACCGGGGTAGGGGTGCAGGCGGCTGGGGAGGAATCCTTCCCCTGCGCTCTAGGCCACCCCTTCCTCTCCAGCTCGCTGCACCCTAGGTGGACAGATATTTGCTGATAGGAGGTAGCGGGTACTTCACTAGACTGCACCTGCTCTTTTATCTCTCCTTTTACCAGTTTTTGCATTCCCAGAGCAGACCTGTATTTTATGTCTTTTAACATTCTCATCTTTGTGCCTCTAACATGCGCCCGATGTCTAGCACCTCCTGGGGAGTTATTTCTTTAACTGCCAAGGAATATTTGTAGAATTGTCCACGAAAAGTCAAACTGTAAAATATTTGAAGGGATTTATCCTGAGCCAAATATGAGTGACCATGGCCCGTGCCACAGCCCCAGGAGATCCTGAGAACATGTGCCCAACGTGGTCGGGCTACAACTTGGTTTTACACATTTTAGGAAGACATAAGACATCAATTAATACATGTAAGATGTACGTTGGTTCGGTATGGAAAGGTGGGACAACTGGAAGAGGAGGCTTTCAGGACATAGGTGGATTCAAAGATTTTCTGAGTGGCAATTGGTTGAAAGAGTTAAGTTATTGTATAAAGACTTAGAATCAATAGAAAGGGATGTCTCAGTTAAGATAAGGGCTTGTGGAGACCAAAGTTTTATCATGCAGATGGAGCCTGTAGCAGGCTTCAGAGAATAGACTGCAAATGTTTCTCATCATTATCACACTACCGGATAGTCTGTGAGACTTAAAGAGGCTGTTCTATCAGTCTTAAGGTCTGTGTTGATGTTAATGCTGGTCAGCTGGTCCTGAATTTCAAAAGGTAGGGGAGCATAATGAGCCATGTCCAACTCCTCCTTCCCATTATGGCCTGAACCAGTTTTTCACGTTAACTTTGGAATGCCCTTAGCCAAGAGGAGAGATCCATTCATATGGTCAGAGGGCTTTGAATTTTATTTTTGGCTTACGGAATAAAAGAATGAATAAATGTTGAACCAGTTTTTCAGTTGAAGAAAGTAAGGCCCAAAGAGAGAAAATGGCTTACCTAACATTATGCAACATGCCAGGAAATTAAATTTTTTAAGAAGTGTGAAAATAAAGATTATTCAAATGAGAACAAAGACTATTATTCAGAGCTTGCTATATATGACAAGAGAGTCAGCCCTCATCACTTGCATTCAGCAGACTGAAAGTCAGGCAGAAGAGTGGGGAAAGCTTCACAGTGGAAAAAAGGAATGGCTTCAGGTATTCCCTTATTGGAAGTTGCTGGCATGGGGAAACTACAGGCGGGCTAACTAGAAGCAGGGAATCTTATGTAATTGGTAGGGGGAAATTTTTGGCTTTCTCTGTTTGGTCCTAAGTTGGAAGTAGTATGGGAAAAAGTAGGGAATCTGATAGTTTTTAATCAAATTGCTACCCCATCTCTACAAAAATAAAAAAAGAAAGAAAGAAAGAAATAAAGAAAAATAGCCAGCTCCTGGCTACTCAGAAGTCTGAGATGGGAGGATCACTTGAGCCTGAGAAGTCAAGGCTGCAGTGAGCTGTGATTGCACCATTGCACTCCAGCAAGAACCTGGAAAGAAGAAAGAGAAGAAGAGAAAAGAGAAGAGAAGGAAAGAGGAAGGAAGGAAAGGAGGGAGGGAAAGAAAGAAAGAGTGGGAGGGAGAGAGGGAAAGAAAGAAGAGACGAAGGAAGGAAGGGAAGGAGGGAAAGAGAGAGAGAGAAAGAAAGAAAAAGAGAGAGAAAGAAAAAGAAAGGAAGGAAGGAGAAGGGAAGAAGGAAGGAAGGAAAAGGAAGGGAGGAAGGAAGGAGGGAAGGAAGGAGGGAAGGGAGGGAGAGAGGAAGGAAGGAGAAGGGAAGAAGGAAGGAAGGAAAAGGGAGGGAGGAAGGAAGGAAGGAGGGAAGGAAGGAAGGAGGGGAGGGAGGGAGGGAGGAAGGAAGGAAGAGATCAAATCCCAGCTGTTTGGGGTCAATTGCTACCAGGGTTATTGTTTTGATTAGTGGACTGGTTGCCACAGATAGTGATTTAGTGGTTTGACTTCCTAGAGTGGTTACCATAGAAAATGGGTTGGCTTCCTGGACTGGTTGCTACAGATTGTGTGACACAGTCCTGTTTTTCTATGTAGTATGGCCATTGCCCATTTGTATATTCAATGTCTCGGGGTGAATAAGGTAGGAAGATAAACATGGAATTCAAGTCCACAGGCTCAGATGCTCTGATGCCTGAATAGCTCCCCAGGTACTAAGCACTTACAGATACCATACCTGTGAAAAGTCACAGAGCAAAAGAGACCTCAGATGGGCTCCCAGTCTTGTTTGTATGCAAGAAGATGATAGAGAGGTTCATAAATGGACACTACCTGATAGTCTGTGAGTACTGAGATGGAAGCAGTAACTCTTACCATGGGGAAGATCACTAGGTAGGTTGAGCATACAATGAAGTCTCTTAAGATTTTCTTGGTGACAAGATGGAGAAAACTGGACTGGGTGACAAAACAATTATGAGGGTTTTAGCTCAGAAAAAGGAGCCCTGGAGATGCACGATTACTAAGTCATCGTCCACCAGAAGGAAGGTCTCTTATGGCTCTGAATAGTGTTTTTGTTCAAAACTTTTAGAAATCTGAAAAGGAGAAGAATAGGTAGTCTATTATATTTACCTATATTTTTACTCATTCCATTGACCTTTCTGTCAAACACACACAGCAGGCAAAGCCATGGCCTGACTGATTTGGCTAATAAAGATAAAATAGGCAGGGTGCAGTGGCTGACACCTGTAATCCCAGCACTTTGGGAGGCTGAGGCAGGCAGATCACCTGAGGTCAGGAATTCCAGACCAGTCAACATGGCAAAACCCCTTCTCTACTAAAAATACAAAAATTAGCTGGGTGTGGTGGCATGCGCCTGTAATCCCAACTACTCGGGAGGCTGAGGCGGGAGAATCGCTTGATCCTGGGAGGCAGAGGTTGCAGTGAGCCAAAACGCCACTGCATGCCAGCCTAGGCAACAGAGTGAGACTCTGTCTCAAAAAAAAAAAAAAAAAAAAAGATATGATAAGCCATTTTTAGACTCATACAATGTATTATTTGTAGACAAACAGGCCAGCTCTCCAGGTCTTCATCCTACCTGCTAAAAAGAATGCCATGAAACAAAAGGGAGCTGGATGCCTGCAATGAGTTGTCGGATACCCCATTTCTGAGGAGCCAATTTTAGACTGCAACAAAGTAGACTATAACACTACTTTTTGCAGTCTAATATTGGCTCCTCAGAAATGGGGTATCCGACAACTCACATTGGGTTGAGTGATGAACCAATGTGGTGGCTTATGCTCTTGAGAATTCTTAACCATATGTGTGGTAGGTTGGGAGGTGGAATTGTGGACCTGGGAGGACCCACCCTCCTCAGGATATAACTGCAGACTACAACATTACTTCCTTCTGGGGGACGAAAGTCTCATGCTTCATCAGAACCTTGGAGGCAATGACAAACTGTCTCATGACAGCCTCCCATAGGAGATAGGGAAGGGAGTGAGGGATGACCTTGTAAAGCTCCTCTCATCCCCTTGTGTTCTGGAGGATCACAAGACAATCTGCTAAGACTTAGATTAGCTGCTGTTCATGCCTTTTCCTGTGTGGCCTATGTAGATATGTGCAAGATAGCCAGGGTACCACAGCAGAGTCATTCACCTACAACTCTACCTCCCAACTTATCACACATATGGTTTAGAATTCTCAGGCGCATAAGCTGCCACTTAGGTTCATCAGATACTCTAGTTAATTGTACTGATAAAGGCTTGGACCAGATCCACTCCATTTCTCCTAGGCAACATCAAATCAGAGTAACCATGATTACGAGTCCCTATAGTTTAATCAGGCCCACTGGATGGTAGATATGTTCCCAATCCAGAACCAAGCTAGTTAATACGGCTGAATGCAGGCGAGGCAAGAGGTGTTGGTAATGGCACATATCGCACCTGAACTGACCAGCAGGAAATCCAAAACAATACAATTATCCACTATCAGTCATGCTAGAGAATTTAGAACAATAAGTGGTCTGTGAAAAATGTACAAAAGTGATAACAGAATGAGGCTAAAGGGAATAATATCAACTTTCAGAAAGTTAACCTTGTTATGTTATATCTTAGTGAGGCTGTTCCCCTTCTGGAGCCAGTGGCTTTGGGAAGATTCTGATAGTTTTAAAATTAAGATTGTTTGTTGGCCAGTGGTCAAGTTGATAGTGGTAGCAGAAGTCTAGGTTAAATTGGCCAGATATCCTGCAGATAGTAGCGAAGAGAAGTTAATTGACCTTCCTTCTGAAACCACCTTTGCAAAAATTATAACTGAGAAAATTATGACGGTGAAAGAGATCTGAATTAACCGACTCCATCTTGCTTTTAACCTCCAAGCTGTCATTGTTCATTCCTGGGCACAGGCCAAACTAACTTTGGGAGGAACTTAGTTTATAATTTAACTTTGAAACAAAGATGGTATCAGCCCTTTCCCAAACAAACCCCCTTCCTGCCTGGAGACTAGACTGCCCTTGCAGGACTAAAAAATTAGCCACAAGATTAGAAATTATGGTTTAAGAGTCATGCAGCTGGAGGCTGGAAGATTCTAAACCTCCCCAAATTGTTCCTGGGGATAATATCACTCTTATAAAACCTAAGATCAGTGCTTGAGATGTTTTGCAGAACCTGCACGCAGTGGATCAGCTGGCACCACCCAGACTGGTAAACTGGCCCATCTGGTATTGTGGCCCCCACCCAGGAACTGACTCAACACAAGAGGACAGCTTCAACTCCCTATGATTTTATCTGTGACCCGGCCAATCAGGACTCTCCACTTTCCAACCGCCTACCCACCAAATTATCCTTAAAACCCCAACCCCCAAGTTTTCAGGGTAATTTGAGTAATAATAAAAACCCCAGTTTTCCATATGCTGGCTCTTTATGAATTAAACCCTTTCTTTATTACAACTACCATGTCTTGATAAATCAGCTGTGTCTAGGCAGCAGGCAAGGAGAACCTGTTGGGCGGTTCACCTCTGCCCTGACAACCCAGAGTCTAAGATGTTCTCTTCTTACCAATCAGGGTTGTCGTTCCTCTCATTCCACAGCTACGTGATCAATGTGACTAGTCTCTGCAACAATCACTCCACCTATTTCCCAACTCTCCTGTGTCTTACCCACACCATACACTCAGACTCATCTCTAGTTAGTTCAGTAGTTCCTTTCTTACATAATTTGTAGCATCCTAGAATGTCTCCTACCCTCTGAAATGTGAGCCATGCCAAGACCACCTTAGGAGTTGCCTTCTCATATTTATGATTTATGATCACTATAATCATTATCTATAATTGCCCAAATCCAATTAGCACAGCTGGGTGGCAACACACACACACACACACACACACACACACACGGTGTCAGTCTCCCGCCCCCTGGCTCTTATTTCCTACTGTCAAACTGCAGTAGTTCAGTTTCCCAGGGTTAAGCATAGGAGGGGAAAAAATAGAGAATAATTAATTATGTGCTTATGTCTCTTGCAGTCAGGGCCTTCTCCCACTCCTGAACCTTGTGAAAGTGTTACTGACAGTGAGTCTGCAAACAGTGGCGAATCCGCACTGATCCCAACCCTTGTCTTCTCAGAGGAAAGATTTCAACTGAAAGACCGAGGCAAATTTTAAAGCAGAGGCAAAGGTTTATTAAAAGAAGCAAATCACACTTGGAAGAGGGCCAAGTAGGGAACTTGAGAGATCAAGTGCCCCCCTCAGCCTTTGGCTCAGGATTTTTATAAACTGGCTTTTGGTTCCGGGGTTTTTCTTCTCCTCCCTTGATCCCTCCATTGGGGTGGGCTGTTGCTCAGTTGTGACATGTGCAGTGGCCTGCTAGTACTTGGGAGAAGCCACATGCACAGTGTGTTTACTGAGGTTGTGTGCATGCTCACTTGGAGCGATTTTCCCTTACTGGTTGATCACCTCCAGAGGAAGGTCATATACCAGTCAAACACCACCATTTCCCCCCCTACTTTTGCCCCATGCTTAAGACCAGATCAGGGGCTGGGCACGGTGGCTCACGCCCAGCACTTTGGGAGGCCAAGGCAGGTGGATCATTTGAGGTCAGGAGTTCAAGACCAGCCTGGCCAACATGGCAAAACCTTGTCTCTACTAAAAATTTTAAAAAATTAGCCAGGTGTGGTGGCAGGTGCCTGTAATCTCAGCTACTGGGGAGGCTGAGGCAGGAGAATCACTTGAATCCGGGAGGCAGAGGTTGCAGTGAGCCGAGGTCGTGCCACTGTACTCCAGCCTGGGTGACAGAGTGAGACTCCACCCCAAACAAAACAAAACAAAACAAAAACAAACAAAAACCTGATCAGGGAATTGTGATTTGCTGGCTCCAGATGTTTTCTATCTGTTGCAGAACTCCTCTCTGTCTTGGTCCCAGTCATGGCCACTTCTCATTTCAGAGGGACAGTTTTATGATAGCTTGACCATTACCCAATGAGTGCCTGCCATTTCCAGAACCCTCTCTACTGCCACCTCCTGGGTCAAGTGAATGGCCTCTAGTAGCTCTAAGATTTGGGGCCCCTACTTAGTAGGAGTATCCCAAGTTGCTGGGTACTCCCTTTCCTTCCAGATAGTGGCTTGGGCATGAAGCACCAAAAAGGCATATTTGGAATCTGTATAAATGGTTATTCTTTTCCCTTCCCCTAGTGTTAGGCCTGTGGTTAAAAGATGAGTTTTGCTAGTTGTCCTGAGGTCCCCAAGGATAGAGCTTTAGCCTCTGTGTACCCTGCATATATAGTTTCATTCTGAACAAAACTGCTCCCATCTGAAAACCATATTTTGACCAGATTGTCCAAGGGCTGATCCTTTAAGTCTTCCCATCTGGCATAAATTTGGTTAAGTATCTCACAACATGAATGTGTTGAGTCATCCTCTCCTGGTAATGGCAGTAAGGAGGCTGGGATGAGGGTGGAGCACCACTCAACTGTTACCTGTGGGATTTCTAACAACACTTGATACTTTAGCAATCTGTTGTCAGTGAGCCATTGTGGCACTTTTATGTCCAGTAAGGGGCTTATTTGTTGGACATCAGGAGCTGGATTGATTGTATCATGGTGATTTTGAGGACCTCCTCCAGTAGGAGGGCTTGTGCAGCCACTACCTTGAGGCAGTGTGGCCACCTGTGTGCTACTGGGTCTAGGTTCTTTAAAAAGTAACCTACAGGACATTTGATTGACCCAACAGTTTGAGTTAGGACTCCTAAGGCTACACCTTGGCTTTTGGTGATGAAAAGCTAAAACAGTTTGCTTAGTATGGGTAGCCCAAGGGCTGGGGCTTATGAGAGAGCAGTCTTTAGCTGCCTAAAGGCTTGCTCCTGATCTTTTTCCCAGAGAAGTGAGTCCCTATCAGTCCCTTCTTTTAGAGTCTAATATAAGGACTTAACAATCCCACCATAACCCAGTCTAAAGTCTGCAATATCCTGTGATCCCTAGAAAGGCCTGATGCTGATTTTGGGTGGCTGGGATAGGTATTTTAAGGATGGCCTGTATCCGTTCTGGGGAGAACTTATGTTCTCGAGGGATCAGGATTATCCCCACGTATTGGACCTCTTGTCTGAGAAGCTGTGCCTTGGCCTTGGATGCTTTGTACCCTCTGTCTGCAAGAAAATGTAGTGTCTGGACTAGATGTTGGATTCCCAGTTGTCTTGTGGGGGAGGAGATTAGCAGGTCATTCACATACTGTAGGACACATCTGCCCCCTCAAGAGTCAGGTCTTGAAAATCTTTAGCCAAGGCTTGCCCAACCAAATGGGGACTATCTCTAAAACCTTGCAGAAGCACAGTCCAGGTGAGCTGTTGGCTCCTTCCTTTTTCATTTTCCCATTCAAAGGCAAATAGCAATTGGGAAGATGGGTCTATGGGGATACAAAAGAAGGCATCCTTCTGGGGTGTCTGGGTCAAGGTTAGTATGTTTCACTTGGGCCTAATGTAGCCTCTCTAAGAAAGTAGTGGGATTTTCAAGAGAGTCTTGATCTATTAAGGCCAATTTATTGTAGTTTACAGGCTTTCCTCTGCTATCCTTCATCCCCATTATGGGGATGTGGTTCACTGCCCATATACCCCCCTGGGTATTGTATTCCCAGTTGGGGGCCAACCTGGGGAAGGGCAGTGGCCCTCACAAGGTAGCCACCAGGGTCAGTCATGTGCATTGCACTTGCAAATTGCTGGGCTGCCTCCATAATGGAGTCATGTTCTCCCTTAGAGTTTGGCCTAGTGTGACTGTGAAGTCCTCCCAAGTAAGTTCAAATGTTAAGCCTAGTTAATGGAACCCTTCAATGCATTAGTCAGGGTTTTCCATAAACTTCCATAGCTCCATTTTAATCTGGCTCAGGTCTTACATAGTGAATGGAGTCTGGACTCTAGTTGACCCAATAGGGCTGCTAACCTCCTGAAGTGGGGATAACTTAAGGGGGTGGTATCCAGAGGGTGGCCCTGGGTAGGGAGGGGAAGGCTATGGGACTGGGAGACTTGGATATAATGGGAATAAAAGAGGCAATGTTTGAACTAAATTCCACCTTTGGTTCCTCTGGGGCTTGAGCCCTGTGCAAATCTGATAAAGGGTCTCCCAAATCTACTGGAGGAGGTTGCCTGGTGATGGCTGCTATCATCACTGGGTCCATTTTACAAGCCCAACAAAGGTCAGGGTTGTCTCTTACGGCCATGAAAGCCTGTGCATAAGGGATTTCTGTCCATTTTCCCTGCTGGCAGCAAAACGAATCTAGTTGATGGATAGTATTAAAATTAATACTTCCATTTTCTGGCCAAGATTGCTGGTCCCCAAGTCCATATCAGAACCAGGCTGTGTGACAAAAAAAATTAGCCTTTTCCTTTTTAGAGCTTGTGGGTCAAACTTTTCCCAGTTCTTGAGGATGCATCCAAGGGGTGTGTCCTGTGGTATGGAGATGTGATTGCCCATCTGCGAAGAGAGAACAGAGGAGAGAAGGGAAAAAAAGATACCCCCTTGTTTCCCTTCTATCTTTTGCCTGCATTTATGGCATCAGAGTGAAGAGGCCATCCTCCATTCATTCTAGGGGTTCCTAGGGGTTCCTTCACATACACAGACCAGAGTGAACAGGGTATCCCCATTCATCCTTGGGGTTCCTGCACTTATGGCAGACCAGAGTGAATAGGGCATTCCCCCATTCAACCTACGTGTTCCGGAATGAACCAGTGCTTACCAGGTACCCCTAACTTTGGTTCCATCTTGTTTTATGGAGGCACGATTACCCACCTGTGAAGAGAGAACAAAGGAGAGAAGGGAACAAGAGGACATCCCCCCTCATTCCCTTAATCCTGCCATATGGCAAACCAGAATGAGCAGAGTACACCCTGCCCCATTCATCCTTGGGACTCTGGAATGAACTGGTACTTACTGTGTACCCCTAACCCTGATCCCATCCCATTTTGGGGATCAGCCTTCATCTCTGTTCTATGGATAATTTGGTCTCCTGAACCTGTGGCCTTGGGCTGGCCTGTATCTCTGTCTACAAGACCTTGTAGTGACCTTTGTCTGGAGCATTCTTGCAATGAAATGGTTTCCTATCCTCTCATGTTCCCATTCCCCATGTCCTTTTAGGTAAATGAGGACCCTGTTCCCAGCCAATAGCCTTAAAGAGACTGGGCTCCTTTTTCCCTGCATGCAGCCTTTGAGATCTAAGTGAGTGTTGAGGATGGCATGAAGGGGGACAGAGAAAGGTAGGAAAATTTCATCCTCTGTAGGCAACATGCAAAAGTAATGTTTAAACAAGCAGGGCAATTCTTCTGCAACAGGTAGGAAGGGAGGAAGCATTGGGGCTGCTTGTGGAAAGCCTTTGTTCTTTCACAGAAACAACAACCCCCAGTCCCTAGGGGACAGTACTTGTCTACCTTCTTGATATAAAGGAGAAAACTCCAGAGAACCAGGGAATTTTGAACAAGGGCTGTTATGGTGACGTTATGGTCACCATAATGGTGAAAATGGCAGAATAGGGACCTCTAAAAATTTTCTCTTCTAAAAAAAGTGATTAGAAAACTAGCAAAAAAAATTGTCAGAATCAACTTTTCCAGGATTCTAGAAGTTAACCTAAGGCTTGTAGCAACCTAGAGATGATTTATTCAAGAAAACAGCTGAATCTTGGTAGAAGCAACAAGCTTTGTGGTGTTTTAACTTGCCCTATTCCCATCCCCCCTCTCCAGTTTTGCAGTATCCTTGAAAACCAATAGCCCACAATCATAGTGAAAATCAGCAGCCTGGCAGCCACCAGAGGGGGAAGATGGGGTTGGAGTTCCTTCAAAGCCTCATTCCTGGAAAATTGTCATTATTTGACCTGTCTAGTGGTTCCCTGGAAAACCCCACTTGGGGTTTAGATGAGGGGGGTTAATGAGGTTGGATTAGACCAACCTCATTATACCCACTCCCTTGCTAACCACAATTAGGCTTTCTTCCCTAAAAGTAAACAGAAACCAGACCTTTCAAAATACTCCACCTCTGATATCAACCAACTGCCTAATGCTATCACTCCTTTTTTGACTGATTAAAAACCACCAACCATTGAGTGGTTCTGGCCATTCTACAGAGAATGCACAGTAAGGGTGAAGCACATCCTCTGCTTCACCTTTTGACATCAGAGGGCCAAAAACTTCATCTTCAGATCATGCTAATGATGCCATTTTTTGAATATGGGTCCCATGGAGAACAAAGTTCAATTGTGCATGTGCAAGTGTCTCCTCAAAACTACTCATGACTCTTCCTATAGATTACTGAATATGTATATTTGGCTGTCTTGCTCAGCATAAATTCCTATTTCCTTTTCACCTCCCTCAAAGTGTGTTTCTGGCTTCTGGCTGGAGGCTATGCCTCCCAGCCTGTCAGAATGGCCACCCTGTAAGCTGCAATCCTTTATGAGAAATAAAGGTCTCCTTATCAAATGTATGAACTTCATTATTCTTTGGTTGACAGTATTTTAGAAGCACATAACTTGTTTAATTTCACAGGTTTATAACTGGAGGAGACTTTGCCTCAGGATGAATCGCACCTTTGAGTCTCACTCATATCTGATTTAGATGACAGTCTGGACTTTAGACTTTTGAGTTGATGCTGGGACATGTTAAGACTTATGGGAGTGGCTGGGCACAACGGCTCATTCCTGTAATACCAGCACTTTAGGAAGCCAAGGCAGGAAGATCACTTGAGGCCAGGAGTTCGAGACCAGCCTGGGCAACATAGTGGGACCCTATCTCCACAAAAAATTTTTTTAAAAATGAAAAAACAAAAAGACTTATGGAGCTATTGGAATGGAATGAATGTATTTTGCCTGTGAGATGGATATGAATGTTGTAGGGCCAGGGGCAGAATGCTGTGTCCTTCCAAAATTCATGTTGAAACTTAATCTTTTTTTTTTTTTTTTGAGACGAAGTCTCACTCTTTGGCCAGGCTGGAGTGTAGTGGTGCAATCTTGGCTCACTGCAATCTCCGCCTCCCAGGTTCAAGTGATTCTCCTGCCTCAGTCTCCCTAGTAGCTGAGATTACGGGCACGCACCACCAGGCCCAGCTATATTTGGTATTTTCACCATGTTGGCCAGGCTGGTCTCAAACTCGTGACCTCAAGTGATTCACCCGCCTCAGCCTCCCAAAGTGCTGGGATTACAGGCATGAGGACATGCCCAGCAGATGAAACTAAATATTTATTGTTATGGTATTAAGAGGCAGGACCTTTTGGGAAGTGGTTAAGTCATAAGAGCCTCATGAATGGGACTAGTGCCCTTATAAAAGGTTGAAGGGAGCTCTCCAACCCCTTCTGCCATATGAGGACACAGCAACAAGGCACCATCTATGAAGGATGGGCCCTCACCAGATACCAAATCTGCTGGTACTTTGATCTTGTACTTCCAGAACTACAAGCAATTGATTTCTATTGTTTATAAATTACCCAGTCTAAGGTATTTTTTTATAGCAGCAGGAAAATACTAAGACAAAGGAGCCCCCTGCAATTAAATATGAATTTGAGAATCAGCTTTTCTATGTCTGTGAAAAAGTCTATTGGAATTTTGATTGGGATTGCATTGAATCTGTAGATCACTTTGGACTGTATTAACATCTTAACAATGTTAAGTCTTCCTTCCTATTCATTAACATAGGATAGTTTTTCATTTATTTAAGTCTTTAATTTCTTTCAGTAATAGTTTGTAGTTTCAGGATACAAGCCCTTCACCAGCTTGGTTAGATTTATTCCTAAGTATTTAATTCTTTTAGATGCTATTGGAAATAAAATTGCTTTCTTAATTTCCTTTTTGGATTGTTCATACCTGCTATATAGGAACACAACTGATTTTTGTTTTGATTTTATATGCTGCAACTTTGCTAAATTAGTTTATTAGCTCTACTAGTTATCTTTTGGACTCAGATTTTCTGTATACAGGATCATGTTATCTGAGAATATAATTTTCCCTCTTCCATTCAAATTTGGATGACTTTTTTTTTTCTTCTACTATTGAGCTCTATCTTTATCCTGTTTGGGATGGAGAAGATATGTATAATATCTATCTTTATAAATCTATTAAGACTTGTTTTGTGGCCTAACATTTGGTCTTTCTGGAAGAATGTTCCATAAGCATTTGAGAAGAATATGTATTCTGCTGTTTTGGGGTGGAGTGTTTTATATTTATCTGTTAAGTCTAGTTGGCTTATTGCATTGTTCAAATTCTCTATTTTCTTATCCTCTGTCTGAATGATCTATCCATTATTGGAACTGGGGTAAATAAGTCTCCAACTATTACTATAAAAATATATTTATCCCCTCAATTTTGTCAATTTTTGCTTTATGTATTTTGAGGGTCTATTATTAGGTGTGTAATGTTTATAGCTGTTTTACTTGCCTGCTGTATGGAATATTTTATTAATATATTGAAACTGCCATGGCAAAATTATAACTGATACAGTGAAAGAGATCTGACCTAACCAACTCCATCTTGCTTCCAACCTCCAAGCTGTCCTTGTTCGTTCCTGGGCATAGGCTGAACTAACTTTGGAAGAAACTTAGTTTATAGTTTAAAACAAAGATGATACAGCCCTTTCCCAAAACAAACCTCCTTCTTGTCTGGGGACTAGACTGCCTTCATAAGACTGTCAAATTAGCCACAAGATTAGAAGTTATGGTTTAGGGCCAGACACAGTGGCTCACGCCTGTTATCTCAGCACTTTGGGAGGCCGAGACAGGCAGATCACTTGAGGTCAGGAGTTCAAGACCAGCCTGGCCAAAACGGTAAAACTCCGTCTCTACTAAAAATACAAAAATTAGCTGGATGTGGTGGCAGGCGCCTGTAATCTCAGCTACTTGGGAGGCTGAAGCAGGAGAATTGCTTGAACCCGGGAGGCAGAGGTTGCAGTGAGCCGAGATTGCACCACCGCACTCTAGCCTGGGTGACAAGTCTCAAAAAAGAAATTATGGTTTAGGAGTCATGTAGCTGGAGACTACAAGATTCTGACCCTCTCCAAATTGCTCCTAGGGATAAAATCATTATTGTAAAACCTAAGACCAGTGCTTCAGATATTTTGCAGACCCTGCACTTGATGCATCAGCTGGCACCACCCAGATCAATAAACTGGCTCAGCTGGTGTTGTAGCCCCCACCCAGGAACTGACTCAGCGCAAGAAGACAGTTTCAACTCCCTGTGATTTCATCTCTGACCAATCAGCACTCCCAGCTCACTGGTTTCCCCCTGCCCACCAAGTTGTCCTTAAAAACTCTGATCCCTGAATGCTCAGGGAGACTTATTTGAGTAATAACAAAACTCTGGTCTCCTGCACATCTGGCTCTGCATTAATTACTTTCTCTATTGCAATTCCCCTCTTTTGATAAATCAGCTCTGTCTAGGCAGTGGGCAGGGTGAACCCATTGGGCACTTACAATATAATATACTTCTTTGTCTCTTATAACCTGTTTGTTGTATAGTGAAACTATACCCATTAAACACTTAATCCCCATTTCCCCCACACTTCAGCTTCTGGCAAACACCATGCTTTCTGTCACTATAAATTTATCACTCTAGGAAACTCATTTAAGAGGAATCATACAATGTTTGTCTTTTTTGTTACTGGCTTATTTCATGTCGCATAATATCTTCAAGTTTCATCTGTGTTGTAGGAAGTGTCAAAATTTCCTTCATTTTTAAGACCAAGTAATATTCCACTGATGCATATATACCACATTTTATCCATTCATCTGTCACTGGTTACTTCGTTGCTCCCACCTTTTGGCTTTTGTGACTAATGCTGCTATGAACACAAGTGTGCAAATATCTTGAGTTCCTGCCATCATTTCTTTTGGATATATACCCAGAAGCAGATCATGTGGTAATTCTATGTTTTTTGAGGAATCATACCATTTTCCAGAGGCTGCATTTTACATTCCCACCAGCAATACACAAGGGTTTCAATTTCTCCACATCCTCACTATCACTTGTTATTTTCTTTTGGTTTTTAAAAAAATGATAGTTTTTCAGAGTTTATCTTACTTGGAGTTTGTTGAGCATCTTGAATTTGTAGATTTGTATTTTTCATTGAGTTTAGGAAGTTTTCAAGCATTATTTCTGTGGCAGGCCAGGTCTCACTAATGCAGGCCTCCATAACAACTGTTTTAGTACTAAGTGGTTAAGTTAAATATTCAAAGCTGAAACAGCCAATGCCCTTTATACAAAGGCTGGAATGTAAGAAATGCCCACCAAGGGTTTTGCCTAGGCCTTTCCTGGGCCTTAAAGCATTACAAAATAACAAAGGAATTCTTAATAGGACCCATTTAGAATTAAAAAAGTTTTACCGGGGATCTGAAGGAACTCCCCAAACCTCTGCGATTTAGCAGGAGACCAGATAAGGGTAATTACCTCCAGCACCTGGACCCATTTAGATTAAGTAAATTTACTGAGGCTCCAGAGGAAGGTCTTCAAGACTCAGACCTTAGTTATAGATTAAAAGAAGCTAATCACTTATGTCTTTAGATGAATGCACACTTACACGTAGACATATAGCTTAGAAGGTATATAAGCTTTGGAAAACTTTGTAATTTTGAGTTGGTCTGGCAATAATTTCCAGGCCTTCTCCCTGTAACCGGTTACAGAAATAAAAAAACTCTCTTTCTCCCCAGTTCATTTGCATCTTGTTATTGGGCAGCGAGAAATAGCAGCCCGACCCTCAGTTTGGTCTGGGAACATTTCTTCAACTAGTCTTTCTGCCTCTTTCTTTCTCTCTTTCCTTCTGGTATTCACATTATGCATATGTTTGTCTGCTTGATAGTGTCCCCTGGGTCCCTTAGGCTCTGTTCACTTTTCCTTTTTTTTTTTTTTAATTTAAGACATTTATTCAGCATCACCATTAGGCTATTGCATTTAGCAATCAATATCATGGGTGCAAAAAATAAAACTACATTAAAACCCTTTGTTGGAATGCTTTACACTTTCCACAGAACAGAAACTAAAATAACCTGTTATGCAATTATTCACAAATACACTCCTCAAGCTTTTTGCCCATACACATGAGCATTTGTCTAAAACATGTCTTCTTTGTAGCAGCTAAGCCCTGCCATCACCATGCTTGGCTGAGTTCACAAATCTGTTGTAACCTGTAGCTTCCATCACTTCTCTGGCTCCTCTGTCTTACTAAGCTTTGTTTCCTAATTAAAATCTTCTGCCACTGACATATCTACTGCTGCTACTGGAACCGCCATAGCCACCTTGGTTTTGTGGTTTGGCAAAGTATTGGCCTCCACCACCATAGGGGCCAGAGCTTCTGCCTCCAAAGTTTCCTCCCTTCATGGGTCCAAAATGTGAAGACTGATTGTTGTAATTGACAAAATCATTGTAGCTTCCACCACCTCCATCATTACCAAATCCATTATAGCCATCCCCCTGCCACCATATCCACCACCACCATGGCTGCCACCAAATCCACCATGACCACTGAAGTTTCCTCCACGACCAAAGTTGTCATTCCCACCAAAACCACCTCCACGACCACCACCAAAGTTTCCAGAACCACTTCGACCTCTTTGGCTGGATGAAGCACGAGCCATCTCTTGCTTTGACAGGGCTTTCCTAGCTTCACAGTTGTGGCCATTCACAGTATGGTATTTCTGAATGACAGTCTTATCCATGGAGTCATGGTTGTCAAAGGTTACAAAGGCAAAGCCCCTTTTCTTGCCACTGCCTTGGTCAGTCATGATTTCAATCACTTCAATTTTCCCATACTGTTCAAAATAATCTCTTAGGTGAAGTTCTTCAGTGTCTTCTTTAAGGACACAAATATTTTTTTCACAGTCAAGTGGGCACCTGGTCTTTGAGAATCTTCTCTTGAGACAGCTCTCTTTGGTTCCACAGTTCTTCCAACCACCTTGCATGGCCTTGCATTCATGGCTGCATCCACCTCCTCCACAGTGGCACATGTCACAAACCCAAAGCCCCTGGAGCGCTTGGTGTTTGGATCTCTCATTACCATGCAGTTTGTGAGCATTCCCTATTGCTCAAAATGGCTCCTCAGGCTCTCATCAGTTGTTTCAAAGCTCTACCCTCCAATGAAGAGCTTCCTCAGCTGTTCGGGCCCTTTAGGAGACTCTGACTTAGACATGATGGCAGGGAGAAAAGAGACTTTAATGATGCTTCTTCGGCAGTGTCCACAGGCAAAGGAACAAGCTGATGAATTTATCTGCCAGCCTCTCTGTTCACTTTTCTTCATCCTTTTTTCTTTCTGTTCCTCCAGTTCAATAATTTCAATCATCCTATCTTTAAGTTTGCAGATTCTTTATTTTACTTGCTCAAATCTGCTTTTAACCACCCCCACCCCCATCCCAGTGTATTTTCCCTTTTTGTTATGATACTTTTCAGCTCCAGAGTTTCCTTTAGGTTTCTCCTTATCATTTCTATCTCTATTGATATTCTGATTCTAATTCGTACATTGTTTTCCTCTTTGTCCATGATTACCTTTAGCTCTTTGAGTATCTTTAACCCATTTCCCATTTGCCGTGAAAATATTCCCCAGTGGCCCTTGCAGTGCAGTGAATACACCACAATAACTCATGGATTACAGTCCTAACCTTACCCCCAAATTCTGCCCACTTATTAAATACTGTCATCATATACATTTCTGTTACATTAGGATTAGAAAAAAGTTCTGTTTGGAAATAACTCCAAGAACAGTTTTTATACTTTATTTTCACATTGAAGATCAGTCTGATTTGCTTCAGCCTCAAAGAGTGTGTTTATGTAAAATTAAATGAGTACTGGCGGCGAGCTGCAATTTTTTTCTAAACGAGAAATGGGTTAAGACAGTCATTCTAAAGTCTTTGTCTATGAAGTCCACTATCTGGGCTTCCTCAAGAACATTTCTTATTGATTTCTTTTATTCCTTTGAATGAGCCATACTTTATTGTTTCTTTGTATGCCTTGTGATTTTTTTTGTAGAAACTGGACATTTGAATTTTACATTGTGATAATTCTGGAAATAATATTATCCCACTTATCCCAGGGTTTGACTTTTAAGAAATATTTTAGAGTGTCTGTGCTAGGGATCATCCTGAGGTGAAAGTTTAAGGTCTTTTCTGAACCTATGTCTTTCCCTGGGTATGCACACATGGCTTCTAAATTCCCCCATACACACAGTTGTTTTTGAATGTAAAAAAAAACAAAACAGGCGGAGAGGTGGCTCATGCCTGTAATCCCAGCACTTTGGGAGGCCGAGGCAGGTGGATCACGAGGTCAGGAGATCGAGACCATCCTGGCTAACACGGTGAAACCCCATCTGTAGTAAAAATACAAAAAATTAGCCTGGCATGGTGGTACATGCCTGTAGTCCCAGCTACTCAGGAGGCTGAGGCAGGAGAATCGCCTGAACCCGGGAGGCGGAGGTTGCAATGAGACGAGGTCACACCACTGCACTCCAGCCTGAGCAACAGAGCGAGACTCCATCAAAAAAAAACAAAACAAAACAAACAAACAAAAAACCCAAAGGTGCAGCTCCTTTTAATGTTTTAATGCCCTAGAGACTGCTTCAGCCAATGGAGGTGAACCAATGGCAGCCAGCCTCTGTAGCTACACCTCATTGATAAGAAGCAGCTATCAGCAATTATAACACAGAGCCCCAATATCTGGAGGACAAAGTCCTAATTTCCCACTCTGGCTTCAGCAAGCCATGTCAGAAACATGTCATGGCTGCCTGCCATGGGACTTATGGGTGGGTATCCAATACAAGCTGAAATCAACCAATATTAGCCACAATTTACCAACCAACCTTTCCTTTGGAAGCTGCAAGTATTCAAATTGATCCCAGAGTTCCAAAATAGTCACTTTAGACAGTTCTGCCAGTACAATGCTCTCTAGGTGATGAGATGGATTTTTGGTGCTTCCTCTTCCACCAACCTCTCTGCTCAGAAGTCCTCAGTAGTTCTCCACCGCCTGTCAAATGAGATCCATGCCTCAGGTGAATTCAAGACACCCCAGAATAGGCACCAAGCCATCTTTCCAACTGTTTGCCAGATCCTACTGCACAACTGTCACAAGGATGATAGCGATCGACAGGAAGGTAACATCACACATGGACAAAGGATACTAATCCAATCTCTTCATGGAAAGTCATGCTTTCCTGGCCCTCAAATTCCCCATGAAGGTGCATGATTGCTAAAGATACTGCTTGATTGCAGTGGAATGCAGTGGAAGTTCAACCAAGTATTTTACAAAGTTCTCCTTGCCTTGGGTTGCAGGGGGTGGGGGGACTTAGACTCTCCAAGCTACTCTAGAAACTATGGCATTAAGATCACATCATTTACACTTGCAAATGCATTGGTCCCCTCGTACCTGCAATTTCACTTTTTGTGGTTTCAGTTACCCACAATCAGCCATGGCCTGAAAATATTAAATGGAAAATTCCAAAAATAATTCATGTTTTAAGTTGCACGCTGTTCTGAGTAGTATTATAAAATTTCACACCACTCTGCTCCATCCCACTGTACACCAAAAGTATCTGAGAAAGGACTTAATCAATTTTGAAGTTTATTTTGCCAAGGTTAAGGACATAACCCAGGAGACAGGTATGTGTCTTTTTCCAAAGATGATGTTGAAGTCTTCAATATTTAAAAGGGAAAAGCAGGCTGCAGGGGAAAGACAGAGGTTATGGTCATTACTGAATCCACATGTAAGAGAAAAGGAGCAGGTAGGGGAATATTTAATTATGTATTCATCTCATGCTAAGTAAATCTGCAGGTTACATAAGATAAGGTGAACATAGAGTAGCTACCTGTGGAGATTTTTTACCTTTTATCTGTAACTATCTGCTTAGGAACAAAAGGAAAGGCAACTTCTTGCATGACTCAGCTTTTAGCTTGACTTTTTCCTTTCAGCATAGTGAATTGGGGTCCCAAGTTGTTATTTTCCTTTCACACCACCCAGGACATGAATTATCCCTTTGTCTAGCATATCCACACTGTATATACTACCTGACCATTAGTCACTTGGTAGCCATGACAGTTATCACATTGACAGATCACAATAAGAAGGGTGAGTACAGTACAATAAAATAGTTTTAGAACGAGACCACATTCACATAGCTTGTATTACAACTTATTGTTATAATTGTTCTCTTTTATTATGAATTATTGTTGTGGATCTCTTACTGTGCCTAATTTATAAGTTAAACTTTATCATAGATATATATGTATATGTACAGAAAAAAATATAGTATATATAGAGTTCAGTACTATTCATGGTTTTAGGCATCCACTGGGGATCTTGGGATGTATCCCCTGCAGACAAGGCAGGACTACTGTAACTACTAACAACTCTAATTTTCTTGAGGGTTTGGTGTGCATGTGGATTGAAGGTTAGTTTCCTGGATAGCATGTTCATTAGAGTTATAGTCTTCAGGCCTGCCTGAGTTGTACCTGCATTGACATATCAGATGAACTGGACTTTCTTCTTCAAGCACATCTCACCACCTCTTTAGATGCCTTTCTCCACAGAGTTGATAGAAATGAGACAGCCAAATGCTGCTCAGGTCATTGTGCACAGGGGGCTTGCCTAACATGCCCACAGCGAAGAATTCTGTCCCTTAACACATGTGCAGTAAGGGAAATAAATCAATGTGGAGTGGCTCAGACTAAGGGCCCACCTGTGCACTGGGAGACTGGGGTGTAGCCACCGGGAATTCACACCTTATGCGGTGGGGAGAAGCCTGGCCTCTTCAGCTGGTGTGTGGTGGCCTGGTATTCAATCTGTGAGGTGGGAGCCTGTTGGCAAGACCCTCTTTTTTTTCTCTGAGCTTCTTATCAATAAATTCCACTCTCCTCACCTTTCAATGTGTCCATGTGCCTAATTTTTCCCAGTCGTGAGACCAGAAACCAGATTTTAGCTGAACTAAGGAGCAAAAAATCCTCATCAGCGTTTGCCTGAAATACCTTACCTTTCCATTCACAACCTGACCCTATATATTCTTATTAGCCCAACTCAAATGGCTTATTTTTATAAACCCCTTTCTGACCCTATTCCCTTTCCCCCAACAAAATGTGACACTGCTCTCAGAATCCATTGGCATTTGGCTCATACTGCTTTAGTATTGTACATTTGATATTACGTGCTTATCCCATTTAATCAGTGAGATCCTTGAAGGATGATTTAAAAATCCAATCAATCTTTGTCTCCCTGAGACTAAGATACTACCTTGCATATGCTTAAGCCTGCAATAAATTATTTGTTGCTATGAACTATGGAACTGTATATGGACAACTTGTTTCTCTAGCTCCAATTTCTCCCATTTTAGGTTTCTCTGACCCACTTAGCAGTAAAGCTGGCACAAACTGGCTGTATTAAATGTTTGGCTCTACCACTTAATAAATGTGTGCCCAAGGGAGAGTTCCTCACACTCTGAGCCCCATTGTTCTCATCTCTAAAATAAGACTGAATGCCTGCAACAGTAATCAGAGATGGAATTGGAGAATTATTCGTCCATTCAACAAACATTTATAGAGTATTTACTATGTGCCAGGCAATGTGCTAGGTCTTGAGGATACAGCAATGGACAAGACATAGTCCTTGATTTTAAAGAGTTTATTGTGGTGCCAGCACACACTGACTCAGGAAAGCTGATTATCACAGGTAGCAACTATCTGGGGCTGGTGGTGCAGGTGGTAAAGGAATTTACCAAGACAGCTGTAGGTAAAGAAAGACAGATTTATTACAGAAAGTATAAAAATATGTTGCAAAGTTGCAACAGGCAGCACAGCAGGAAATGGGCTGTCTACAATGAGGCAGGGGCTGGAGGGAAGTTTTATAAGGTTCTGCTCTTGGGGCCACTTGCGGACAGGACAAGTCATTGTGCCCACAGGTTATTTGTGATTAGCCATCTCTCAGAACAACTGTTCATTGTTCTTCCCCACCTGGGGTTCTCCCCTACCTAAGGTCCCTTCCTCATTGTTGCTTACTTATCAGGACTCCATGCTGACGATGCACATCTCTTTCCAACTCCTCCTTCAGTGACCTTATATGGGTGCCTGAAATTGGCCAGGGGCAATGTATTTACAATATGAAACTGGCCAACTCTACCAATCAAGACTTTTTTTTCTTACAGTGCCAATTTACCAGCACACCACTGAGGAAGATTGACTTTTTCTTTTTATTTTATTTTATTTTATTTTATTTTATTTTATTTTATTTTATTTTATTTTATTTTGAGACAGAGTTTTCCTCTGCCACCCAGGCTAGAATGGAGTGCAGTGGTGCGATCTCAGCTAACTGCAACTTCTGCCTCCCAGGTTCAAGTGATTCTCCTGCCTCAGCCTCCCATGTAGCTGGGATTACAGGATGCGCCACCACACCCGGCTAATTTTTGTATTTTCAGTAGAGACAGGTTTCACCATGTTGGCCAAGCTGGTCTCAAACTCCTCCTGACTTCAGGTGATCAGCCCGCCTCAGCTTCCCAAAGTGCTGAGATTTCAGGTGTGAGCCACTGCGACTGGATGAAAATTGATATAGAGAATAAAGAAAGACACTAGATCATTTCACATAATTATAAATGTTTTGATGAAACTAAAATAGGTTAATGATACAAAGTACTTTAAAAAGAGACTACTTTACATAGAGTAGTCAGGGAGGGCCTTTCTATAAGGTGTAATCTGAGTTGAGGCAGTGAATAATTGAAAGAAACCAAGCGAGGCATACAGCACATCCCTGTAGTCCCACCTACTTGGGAGGCTGAGGCAGGCAGATTGCCTGAGGCCAAGAGTTGGAGGCCAGCCTGGACAACATAGTGAGATCTTATCTCTTAAAAAATGAATAAATAAAATAAACCAGTTGTATTAGTCCATTTTCACAGTGCTGATAAAGACATACCCGAGACTGGGTAATTTATAAAGAAAAAGAGGTTTAATGGACTCACAGTTCCACGTGGCTGGGGAGGCCTCACAATCATGACAGAAGGCGAAAGGCATGTCTTACATGGTGGCAGATGAGAGAATGAGAACCAAGCAAAAGGGGTTTCCCAGTACAAAATCATCAGATCTCATGAGAATTACTCACTACCACGAGAACAGTATGGGGAAACCGCCCCCATGATTCAATTATCTCCCACTGGGTCCCTCCTACAACAGGTGGGAATTATGGGAGCTACAATTCAAGATGAGATTTGGGTGAGGACACAGCCAAACCATATCACCAGTCATGCAAATAGCTAAGGAAAGAACATTTCAGGCAGAAAGAACAAAGACAAAGGACTTGAGGAAGGCCCTGGGACTGGCAATATGGCAGCGGATGAAGAGCTGAAGTTCTGAAGTAAACAGAGTGATTAGACTCTTGGTTGTACCACTTGCTAGTTGTGCAACTCTAGACAAGTTACCAGCCCTTGAAATCTCAATTTTCTCCTCTGTAAAATGAGGGCATTTTTGCTTCATATGGTTGGGTGCATAAAATCACTAACATAGCAAGTCAGAGACCCAAAAAAAGGCCTGCTTGCAAGGTAGGCCCCTGGCTAGTGTCTGGGAACTTCACTTTCAAAGTGCGTCCAGTCAACACTTAACCAATAAGAGTAGTTCGTTATGCCTTGACTATTTGTACAAACATGATTTATAATGAATATCTGCTTTCCTTCTAGGAGTCTGGAATTTTGGTATGTGCTAGGCAGAAGGTGCCTACATGACCAGTCCCCCGATAAAAACCTTGGGCACTGACTAATTTTTGAGCTTCCCTAGTTAGAAACATGGCACATATGTTGCTGCGTTTCCATTGCTAGGAGGAGTAAGCTTTGTGTGATCTCTCCTGGCAGGGAGAAAGAACTCGGAATCCTGCACATAGATTCCTCCAGACTCCACCTATGTCTTTTTCCCTTATGATCTGGTTATGTATCCCATCAGATGGACAGGCAGAGAATTCTGGCTCTTCCTCAGGCAGAGGCTGGCTTGCCCGTGGGAATTCAGCCCACGTGGCTGCCCTCCCCACCCTCCCAAGGGGCTAGGGACCAGCAATCCAGTTGTAATCAATCTTAGTCATGATTACAACTGTATTCTGAGTCCTGTGAGTTCTTCTACGGAATCTCTGAACCGGGTTGATATAAGGGTTAGATGGCAAAATACGTGAATTTCGTGTAATATTAGCTCAAGGTAAGTTCTCAAAATAAGAATGGTGATGGTGTTGGTGGCGATGGAAATGATCAGCATAGAGCCATCCCCTGGCTAGAAGCTCAATGCCAATCATTCCAATTCCCACCCTATCCCTCCACCCTCTCACACTATATGCCCTCGTTATCTCTTGGCAAATTAGTGAATGTACAACCCAATACCTTTATAATAGCATCTCACTGCTGGCGAGTACGTCAAATTCAGTACCTCTTATTTTGACACATCAGAATAAAGGTCCAGAAGGGTAAAACAAAATGTTCTGGGTCATGCCATAAATTGGTGGAAAAGTTGGGACAAGAACCCAGGTTTGCCTTTTATGTCCTACACTGGTTCTACGACAACCTGGTATATGTGATTCAGGCTAGCAGTAAGCATAGTGACCCTTGAGTCAGGCTGTCAAGAACCCAGGCTGCCATGGAGGGGGTTCCTTCCCCTCCAGGAAAAACAGAAGGAACCTGGAAAGCTAGAAAGAAACAAAAAGGAGCCATACATAAGCCCTAAGTGAAACGATTATTACCTGCTCTAAAGGCAGGGTGAAATAATTTCTCCCCTGTATTTCCATTTCAATGGTACTACTTACTGCTGGGGGCGAGGCAGTGAGCAAGAGGTGGCACATACTGGGGGAGCAGTCAATATCATCCAGAATTAGAAAAAGGGGCAAACAAGACTCAGGGAAGAGCTAGTGCATCCGGACTAGAGAACCCACAGCGGAGAACCCCAGTAAAGGAACCACAGCAGATAAATAGAATCCTCAGGTCAGTGCCCAGTTGCTCAAAATTCTGGGCCATATATAGAATGAGAAGTCATGACATCAGACAGGAACATGGAACTACTAGGGCCCAGTGTAAAAAACTCAATCCACTGTCCTGCCCACCATGGAATGTGCAAATGAGGTTAGCAATAAAGGAGCTAACCCCCAAAACCCCCCAGGACAACCAAAATGATGCTCTTGCCGGGCTTATGCCGTGAAAACTGCCAGGGGCGTGGGCCGAGGGGTAGTGGTGGGTTCAGCGCGCGAGTCGGAAACAGCTGCGGTGGGGAAGGAAGAAAGCAGCGCCATCAGCACGTCCTCCCGTTGGCCCGGAACCACGCCCTTACTGGGGGCTCAGCCGCCGAACTGACACTCACCGCTCCTGAGCACAAAGAAGGTGCGAAGTGCCGCAGAGCGACCGCCAGAGGTCAGCAACACACTGCCTACTCCCCGCCGCGCCTCCCGGAGACTCCCTCGCTGAGGCTTCGGGGGCCGGAAGTGCACCCGCCCCTTTCCCGAGCGCCCGCGGGCCCTCTGGCTGTCCCGGAGGCCGCCTCCGTGTGTCTTTGGTCCTACCTGGCCCCCTAGCCCACCATCGTAACCCCGCCCCGGCCCCTGACAGTTCCCGGACCGAAGGGGCGAGGAGGGGACGTGCCGCCCGCTCCCGGTGTTGGCTTGAGTTGCTGGTCCCCAGCCCCTCGGGAGGGAGAGGAGGGCAGTCCCGTGGGCTGACTTCCCAGGGGCAAGCCAGTCTCCTCCCGAGGAAGAGCCCGTATTCCCTGCCTGTCCATCCGGCAGCCCTGCGTGGCCCCCGTGGGCTGGCCCCGGACACAAGCGTGGCTGGGCCGGCTGGCGTGAGAGGGGTTCAGTGCCACCGATGTGTCAAAGTCCTAACCCGCACAGAGCCTGCCGGTTCTGCACCCTGTGGAGATTCTTCCCCCTTCTCCGAGTGCCCTGGGCTCATTGGCCCCAGGGTGGATATGCTCTCGGTACCTTGGGACCACCCTGCTGCATCCCCTGACCAGCACCCCTCTTCGGCCGCTAGCACCTCCACCACACACAACACACATTGACTGGGTCTTGTGGTCCTCCAGGCCTCCGCTGAATCAGTGTGGCCCAATCAGTGTGGCCTTCCTGACTGCCACCTCCCTTCATGCTCTGCTCTTCTTTGCAGCATTTGTCACAATTACAGCCATACCGCGAAGATATTGCGGGTTGGGTTTCAAACCTCCATAGTAAAATGAGTCGCACGAATTTTGTTTCCGGGGAATATAAAAATTATGTTTAGACTATACACCATTAAGTGTGCAAAAGCATTATATCTAAAATACATATATATACCTTAATTTTTAAAAAAAACTTTATTGCTAAAAAATGCTAATGATCATCTGAGCCTTCAGTGATTCCTGTCTTCACCCTGGACTGATCAGGGTGGTGGTTGCTGAGGGCTGGGGTGGCTGTGACAATTTCTTAAAATAAGACAACAATCAAGGTTGCCGCACCAGTTGACTCTTCCTTTTAGGAAAGATTTCTCTGTAGCATGGAATGCTGTTTGATAGCATTTTACCCACAATAGAACTTTTTTTCAAAATTGGAGTCAATGCTCTCAAACTCTACTGCTGCTTTACTAACTTTATGTAATATTCTAAATTCTTTATTGTCATTTCAACAGTGTTCCCAGCATCCTCGCCAGGATTAGTTTCCATCTCAAGAAACCACTTTCTTAGCTCATCCGTAAGAAGTTACTCCTCATCCATTCAAGTTCAATCAGGCGATTGCAGCAATTCAGTCACATCCTCTGGCACTACTTCTAATTCTAATTCTCTATTTCCACCCATCTGCAGCGACTTCCTCCACTGAAGCCTTGAACCCCTCAAAGTCATTCATGAGGGTTGGAATCAACTTCTTTCAAACTCTTGTTCATGTTGATATGTTAACCTCCTCCCATGAATCACAATTGTTCTTAGTGGCTCTAAAATGGTGAGTTCTTTCCATAAGGTTTTCAATTTACTTTGCCCAGATCCATTAGAGGAATCGCCATCTACAGCAGCTATAGCCTTACGAAATGTATTTCTGAATACTAAGACTGAAAAGTTGAAATTACTCCTTGATCCATGGGTTGCAGAATGGATGTTGTGTTAGCAGGCATGAAAACAACATTCATCTCTTCGAACATCTTCCTCAGAGATCTCAGGTGCATTGTTAATGAGTAGTAATACATTGAAAAGAATCTTTTTTGTGAGCAGTAAGTCTCAGCAGTGGGCCTAAGTAAACCATGCTGCAAACAGATGAGCTGCCATCCAGGCTTTGTTTTGTTTGTTTTGAGACAGGGTCTCACTCTGTCGTCCAGGCTGAAGTACAGTGACATGATCTTGGCTCACTGCAGCCTCAACCTCCCAGGCTCAGGTGATCCTCCCACCTCAGCCTCCCAAGTAGCTGGGACCACAGGCATGCACCACCATACCTGGCTAATTTTTGTAGAGACAGGGTTTCACCATGTTACCCAGGCTGGGCTCCAAGCTCTGGGCTCAAGCAATCCACTTGCCTTAGCCTTCAAAATTGCTGGGATTGCAGGCGCGAGCCACCACACCTAGCCTTGCTACTTATAGAGTACAGGCAGAGTAGATTTAGCATAATTCTGAAGGGCCCTAGGATTTTCAGAATGGTCGTGAGCTTTGGCTTCAACTGAAAGTCACCAGCTACCTTAGCTCCTAAAAAGAGAGTCATCCTACCCTTAGAGGCTTTGAAGCAGGGCATTGACTTTGCTCTAGGAAAGTCCTTAGATGGTCTCTTCTTCCAATATAAGGCCGTTTCATCTACATTAAAAATCTGTTGCTTAGTGTAGCCATCTTCATCAATTATCTTAGCTACATCTTTTAGATAACTTGCTGCAACTTCTTCATCAACACTTGCTGCTTCACGTTGCACTTCTATGTTATAGAGATGGCTTCTTTCCTTAAACCTAATGAACCAACCTATGCTACCTTCAAACTTTTCTCCAACTGCTTCCTCATCACTTTCAGCCTTCATAGAATTGAAGAGAGTTAAAACATTGCTCTGGATTAGGCTTTGGCTAAGGGAATGTTGTAGCTGGTTTGATCTATGCAGGCCACTAAAACTTTCTTCATATCAGCAATAAAGCTGTTTTTCTTATTATTCATGTATTCACTAGAGTAGCACTTCTAATTTCCTTCAAGAAATTTTTTCTTTTGCATTTACAACTTGGATAACTGTGTAGTGCAACAAACCTAGATTGCAGCCTATCTTGGCCTTCCTCACTAAGCTTAATCATTTCTGGCTTGTGATTTAAAGTGAAATTTAAAGTGATTTAAAGCGCAGCTCTTCCTTACACTTGAACACTTAGATGCCATTGTAGGGTTATTAATTGGCCTAATTTCAAAATAGCTGTGTCTTGGGAAACAGGAAAGCCCAAGGAGAGATAGAAAGAGGGGAGAACAGCTGGTCAGTGGAACAGTCAGAATACACACAACATTTACCAATTAAGTTTGCATCATATATGGGCCCAGTTCATGGTGCCCCAAAACAATTACAGTACTAACATATCACAGATCGCCATAACAGCTGTAATGATAATAATGAAAAAATTTGAAATATTGTGAGAATTACAAAATGTGACACAGAGACACAAAGTTAGCACACACTGTTGGAAAAATGGTGCCAATAGTTTTCCTCAATGCAGGGTTGCCACAAACCTTCAATTTGTAAAAAACATAGTATCTGTGAAGTGCAATAAAGCAAAGCACATTAAATGAGAAATATGTGTATAATTACTTTGGGCAGTGATTTAATATCTTTCTCCCTCCATTAGACCATAAACTGCAAGAGAGCAGGGACTGTGTCTATCTCATTCATGATTATAATCCCAGATCGTAGCAACATTTCTGCCAGTAAGTGCCCAATAAATATCTAGTGAATGGATAGATGGGGCTTCTCCAAGGAAGGAGGGAATGAATAGATGAGTGTGGGTTAATGAATGAGGTAAGAATGAATGTGAAATAATGGTTCATCCATTAAAAACTAGGGGACACGGTTCAGTTCATTGGATTTGGCCCAGTTTCAGACCGAATTCTAAGGTTGAGGAGAGTTGATGATGCCAAGTACTGTGGTGGTCCTGAACAATTAAAGAGGGATTCTGGGAAGCAGAGTGTGGACAGTTCCAACTCCCTGCCAAGGGGAAGCTCATAGGCAAAGGAAGCTCACTCCAGAGGGGATATGGAAGTTCCATACCCTCTTTTGTCTGAAGAGCCGAAGTCCCTGTTCTCAGGTCGTTAGGAAGTTAAAAAGTAATTTGGAGGTTATCAGAACTGATTGAATTGAGTTTGAACCTCACCTATAGCAACAATGGGCCAGGCTGCTTGACTAATGCCTTGGCGTCAATGGTACAGTTTTCTCCCTCTTGAGCTGCTGGCAGGGACCTGGGCTGACATGTCTCAGAAGGCCCTTAGTCAATGATTAGCTTATCTCAAGGCCCCAAGCCAGGGCAGCTGTCAAAGAGGGTCCCCACTGCGTTCTGCACCTAGATCCTCATTGTGAAATGAAGTATGAAGTGATTGAGTGAGGTCTCTATTGTCTCTGACATTTTACAATTCCAGGATTCTGCCTTCTTGTCAGAGAAGTGTATAGGCAAGCAGTTGGGCAGGTGAGAGGGCTCCGGGTGAGAGGCTCAGAGACTGAGGGCTCAGCCTCTGCTTGAAGAGTCATCATCTGGGAGGCTCTGTGGCCTCCTCAGATGAGTTCATTCACACTCATACCCCAAGATGGAGTCAACACCCCCTCCACCATCTCAGCCTTCTCAGCATCTAAAGCCCCAGCATCAATGCCTCTTTTTTTGGGTTAGGGGTCAGAGCTGTTGTGGAAGGGCATACAGTCATTCTTCACTTGCCTTTGACTGTGTACTCTGTGCACATGGAGGTAGGAGCAGACATGACTTCAACAAGGTCATGCCCCCTTGGCAAGCATCTTTGAGACCAGAGAGGAAGACAGACTAGGGAAAGAATGAGGAGATAAGCACGGGCTGCTGTGAGGTCCAGGGGAGCAGGCAAAGGTAAGAGAAAAGGCTTTAGGATACTAACTAACATATATGGAGCACTAGCATGAGCCAGGCACTATTCTAAGTGCTTTTCAGGTGTTATCTCTTTTTGCCTCACAACAGCACCTACAAGGCACTGTAATTATCCCTACTTCACAGATGAGGGAGTGGAGCCACAGTGAGGTTAACTTACTTGACCAAGGGGGCCAAGTAGGAATGGAGGCATTTGTTGAGTCTTCTAAAGATGAGGAAAGAGTGGAAGTGAGATTTTGTAAGTGCTTGATTCATTTCTACCAACTGAACTGGCAAATAAATAAAAGCATGAGTAAATGGGGGTATAAATAGTCTGTCAGCTATGGGGGTGGGAGTGGGCTCAAGGCAGGCTTAGAGAGAAGGTGCAAGAGCTGTCTGAAAAGGTCAGAGCAAAGCATGAAGCTGGTGAGCAGCTGTGACCATAGCTGGAAGCTTCTCTCTGAGCTTTCTCCTGGTTACCTCCTCCTCCCCTACGTGACCAGTCAGCCAAGTGTTAAGTCCAGGGGAACATTTTGCTGCTTCCAAGTACTGTCTCACTAGTGTTATTTGCCATAACTTGCGGCCACAGGGCAAGGTCCAGGTGCTCAGACCTTTACATCCTGGACTTTCCAAGGCCTCCCAAAGCTCTCTGGCACCCAGGGAACAGTGTGCGTGTCGAGAGCTTAATCCGCAGGAGCATAGCCATGGTTCTCTGGGGTCCAGTGCTGGGAGCTCTGCTGGTGGTCATTGCTGGATACCTGTGCCTGCCAGGGATGCTCCGACAACGCAGGCCATGGGAGCCCCCTCTGGACAAGGGTACCGTGCCCTGGCTTGGCCATGCCATGGCTTTCCGGAAGAATATGTTTGAATTTCTGAAGCGCATGAGGACCAAGCATGGGGATGTGTTCACAGTGCAGCTAGGGGGCCAGTACTTCACCTTCGTCATGGACCCCCTCTCCTTTGGCTCCATCCTCAAGGACACACAGAGAAAACTAGACTTTGGGCAATATGCAAAAAAACTGGTGCTGAAGGTATTTGGATACCGTTCAGTGCAAGGGGACCATGAGATGATACACTCAGCCAGCACCAAGCATCTGAGGGGGGATGGCTTGAAGGATCTTAATGAGACCATGCTGGACAGCCTGTCCTTTGTAATGCTGACGTCCAAAGGCTGGAGTCTGGATGCCAGTTGCTGGCATGAGGACAGCCTCTTTCGCTTCTGCTATTACATCTTGTTCACAGCTGGCTACCTGAGCTTGTTCGGCTACACGAAGGACAAGGAGCAGGACCTGCTACAGGCAGGAGAGTTATTCATGGAGTTCCGCAAGTTTGACCTTCTTTTCCCAAGGTTTGTCTACTCCCTGCTGTGGCCCCGGGAGTGGCTAGAAGTGGGCCGACTCCAGCGTCTCTTTCACAAGATGCTCTCCGTGAGCCACAGCCAGGAGAAGGAGGGCATCAGCAACTGGCTGGGCAACATGCTTCAGTTTCTGAGGGAGCAGGGGGTACCCTCAGCTATGCAGGACAAGTTCAACTTCATGATGCTCTGGGCCTCCCAGGGGAACACGGGGCCTACCTCTTTCTGGGCCCTCTTGTACCTCCTGAAGCACCCAGAAGCTATTCGGGCTGTGAGGGAGGAAGCTACCCAGGTCCTGGGTGAGGCCAGGCTGGAGACCAAGCAGTCCTTTGCCTTCAAACTCGGTGCCCTGCAACACACCCCAGTTCTAGACAGCGTGGTGGAGGAGACGCTGCGGCTGAGGGCTGCACCCACCCTCCTCAGGTTGGTTCATGAAGACTATACCCTGAAGATGTCCAGTGGGCAGGAGTATCTGTTCCGCCATGGAGACATCCTGGCCCTCTTTCCCTACCTCTCAGTGCACATGGACCCTGACATCCACCCTGAGCCCACCGTCTTCAAGTACGATCGCTTCCTCAACCCTAATGGCAGCCGGAAAGTGGACTTCTTCAAGACAGGCAAGAAGATCCACCACTACACCATGCCCTGGGGTTCGGGCGTTTCCATCTGCCCTGGGAGGTTCTTTGCACTCAGTGAGGTGAAGCTCTTTATCCTGCTTATGGTCACACACTTTGACTTAGAGTTGGTGGACCCTGACACACCACTACCCCATGTTGACCCGCAGCGCTGGGGTTTTGGCACCATGCAGCCCAGCCACGATGTGCGCTTCCGCTACCGCCTGCATCCTACAGAGTGAGCTTGGCCAAGCCAGCTGCAAACCTGGCCAGAGGAGTTCTATTGCATCTCTCACCTGTTCTCACCCCTCTGCAGCCCCAAGACCCCACTGGCCACCCCTCCCTCTGGTCCTGTGGCACCCCCTACCTCTGTTCTGCCTGTCCTCGCTCTCTCCCCGCCTAGTCATCTGACAGGCTTATCATTCTCTTTAAAATACCATCTCTCAGAGTGGGTTCTGCCGAACCCTCCTCTCACAGGAAGTCCAGAGGAAGGGGGAGTATCTGTGGGCAACTTGGTTTGGGAGATGATGCCTGCCTTGAGAAGTCCTGAGTACAGAGACTGGTTCCCCCCAGACACGAGTAACATGGCATCTTGCAAACATCAGCCTCCACTCTCCCAGCTTGCTTTAGTTTTTTCAGCAACACTTATCCCACATCCTATGGAATTCAGGTTCTAGAACAGTGTCATCCAACATAAATATGAAGCAAGCTACATGAGTAGTGGGGTTTTTTGGTTTTGTTTGTTTGTTTTGAGACAGAGTCTTGCTCTGTCGCCGAGGCTGCAGTGCAGCGGTGCGATCTCTGCTCACTGCAACCTCTGCCTCCTGGGTTTAAGCAATTCTCCTGCCTCAGCCTCCCCAGTAGCTGGGATTACAGGCACCTACCACCTTGCCCAGCTAATTTAGTTTCCTGGTAAACACATTTTTAAAAAGTAAAATGAAACAATTCATTTTTATAATATACTTTACTTAATCCAATATATCCAAAATATTGGCATTTCAACGTGATCACTATTAAAAATTTTAACGTAATAGTTTTTACCTTCCCTTTTTCATCCTGTCTTCAAAGTCTGGTATGTACTGTACTTTTGCAGTTCTTCCCAGTTCAGACTAGCCACATTCCAAGTGCTTAATTGCCGTGTGTGGCAGGTGGCTGCCCTATTGGATAGCACAGGTCTAGAGAAATGATACCTTTTTTTTTTTTTGAGACAGAGTCTCACTCTGTTGCCCAGGCTGCAGTGCAGTGGTGTGATCTTGGCTCACTACAACCTCTGCCTCCCGGGTTCAAGTAATTCTCCTGCCTCAGGCTTCTGAGTAGCTGGGATTATAGGTGCGCACCACCACACCCGGCTAGTTTCTGTATTTTTAGTAGAGACGGCGTTTCACCATTTTGGCCGGCCTCCTCGGCCTCCCAAAGTTCTGGGATTACAGGCATGAGCCACTGTGCCCAGTCAGGATGTCTTTAATGTAGGAATCATTCAAGATCCCTCCTCAGTGCCCATGTCTCCCCCACCTCAGGGTGCTGTCAACCCTCCCTTGGTTTCCATGATCATTGCTGAACTCAGAGCTTTCTTCTATCCCCAGACCCACATGGGAGTCTCCCAGCACCTCTGACTCAGCTTGGCCAATGCAGAACTTGGCATCTGAACCCCTGCCTCTTCCCTGAACCACTCCTCCTCCTGATTTCCCTGCTCTCTCTGCTCAGAACACTACCATTCACCCCATCTCCCAGAGACACTCTCCCTCCTCCTCTTTCACCTTCATACAAGCAGGCCCCCGTCCTATCAGTACACCCCCCTGTGATGCCTCTGAAATATGTACCCTCCTCCCCTCTCCTACTGTCATTCTTATACCTGTGATCTCTGCGTTTCTCTTCTACACTGCTGCCAGAGGCCTTTTTGCCAAAAGCACTGCTGATTGTCACTCTTTTACTTTCCTGGTTCCCCTTTGACTTCACACACTTGACGTTTACATTTTGTCACAGTTGGTCCCCCTTGCCTTCACATACCTGATGTTTAAATTTTGTCACGGTTAGTCTCCAAACTTCTCAACTTTGCCAGCTTTCTCCAATGAAACCATCAGTAGAGACATTGCTGTTCCTGCCCATCCCAGTGCCAGCTACTCCTTCCTGGAAGCCTTCCTGGATTTCACGCATCCCATCCTCTGGCCAGAAATGGCCTCCGAACTGTGCAGCTCCTGCAGCACCATTTGTATCATAGCATATCTGTTATGTGTCGTTGCTTTCTGTGTCTTGGTTTCTGCCTGCTGCCCACTTCCCTAGACTGGAGCCTACTGGGGCATGGTATTTTATTCATTTCTGACCTCCAATTCCCTAAGTGGAGATTAAATGTTAGAAACCTGACTTCCAGTCTCGGCTAATTTACTTTCAGTCCTCAAATCATTTCCTGGCCTCAGCCCTCCAATCTATGAAATGAAGACAATCCCCCTTCCCAGCGTGCTTATCAGTGCTACAAGAGGGTGAGGGGGTGGCTGCCATAGCTGCAGCTGGCTGATGGCAGGGCTCCAGCTGGAGCTGGGACAGGAGGAAGAATGACTGTGGGAGCTGGATAGAGTGTCTTGGAGGAGGTGGGCCCAGGCTGCATGGACCCCCCGACCCAGCGACCAGCCAGTGGAACTTCTCTCTGCTACTTTTATCTTACATCTCTGGCAGCCTCACATTTCTCCTGAGGCTGGCTGCCTGTTCTGCTCTGCCAGGAGAGTAGGCAAGGGCCTGAGCTGGGGTGACAGTCTGTCTCCAACTAGCTATGTGACCCTGGTCCAGGGCCTGCATTTCTCTGAGGTCAGCTGCCCGCAAATGCTGATGTCTGCCTAGGGCTTGATAGAGCTCTGCCTGGTTAGGAGAAGCTGAGATATCCCATCCTATTCTACAAGGACCAGGAGCACAAGGAGAAGAGTTGAGTAGGGGGCATAGAAGGAGGAGAAATGGGCTGGAAGGTGGAAGACTATCCATGGGAAATGTACCAATGACATCTCTGCCCAGCCAGGCCCTGTGCCCAGTACAATGGGGCTGGGGCTGTGGGGAAGCAGGAACAGAGCCTTAACACACCTCCTTGGCCCTCCCTAGACCTTGGTGCTGTGTCTCCTTTTGTGCCTCACACCCAAAGGAATATGGGCCAGGAGAGTGGCCTATGGATTGGCTGGGGTGAGGCTGAGGGCTGGAGTTCCCTGAGTCAGGACCAGAAGGTCTCAACTGAGAGTGACCATGTGCAGATAGGAACTTAATGGACCCTGTGGCCTGTCTGAGAGCTCCAGAGGAGATGCTTGGGACCTAGAGAAGCCTCAGCGGGTGAGGTGTGAGGTGAATGCAAGTGTACCATCCCACAGTCAGGGATATCCAGCATAACAACAGGCCTCCCAGGAAGCAAGAGCCCCCCAGGATTGGAGTGTGGGCAGGGATCCCAATGCCCCATGCCCGCCTGCTTGCATGGGAGGGGCCCATGGGCCATATAGCTCTCTGCCCCCTGCATGAGGACTGCTGCAGCCAACCCTGGCAGAGGCCTTGAGGCAGGAGGAAGACTGCGACCGCCAAGGATGCCTCTAGTCACCACCCACCCAACCTGGTCATTCTGTCCCCAATTCCTCATTTCTATGCCAAATATTTTCTTCCTCTCATCCTTTTCCTCATCAGGACCTCAGAGGAAAGCCCACTAAATGCGTTCTCTCTGAAGATAGTTTATAATAAAGCAAGATCGGGGTGGCTTTCCAATGGTGGAATTTCAGGCACCTGGGAAAGAAAAGAGATGCTTTTCTCATAGAGAATTAACTGGAGTCAAAACATCACATTTCGTGGCGTTCAGCACAGGCAGCAGCCCTGCCCACAGGCAAAGCAACTTCTACACTTCTCCCTAGGTTGGCCCATGGGAAGAGTCCACCTTGCCTCAGAGCCTGAGGGTCAGAGGAATTCTGATTGCTTTCCTGAGACCCCTGGGAAAGGTTTGAGCAGTGCAGTCAGGGAGCCAGACTTTGTCAGGCCTCTGGGAAGACAGAGAGCAACAGGAGGGACCAAGGCCCAAACCCGGAAGTAAGGCTGGGGTGGAGAGGGCTTTATCCTGGCCTGGGCTGTGAGAGCTGCTGAGCTGCTCTCAAACTATATTGCACCTAAGACAGTGACAGAGAACCAGGTACCTGCAGCTAGCTCTTGCCCTCTCCTTTGGACATAGGCTTCAGGGCACTACTTGTTATATTCCTGCCTTTTGCGGCAAGTACACACTCACACATACACAGAGAAAGGCATGAAAGACAAATAGGACTGGGCGAAGTGGCTCATGCCTGTAATCCCAGCACTTTGGGAGGCCGAGGTGGGCAGATCACTTTAGCTCAGAAGTTTGAGACCAGCCTGGCCAACATGGCGAAACCCTGTCTCTATTAAAAATACAAAAATACAAAAGTTAGCTCATGCCTGTAATCCCAGCTACTCTGGAGGCTGAGGCACAGGAATTGCTTGAACCTGGGAGGCAGAGGTTGCAGTGAGCTGGGATCATGTCACTGCACTCCAGCAAGACTCCGTCTCAAAAAAAGAAAGAATAGGAAAGTTGCAGGCACATAACCAGACCCACTTGGACACAGTGATACAGCTGCATCATAACCACATACACAACCATATATACTACACACAGCCCACATAGCACACGTACTTCCCAGACAGATAGACACACACACACACACACAAATCCACCAATGCTGGTGTGACAAGCCCTGCTGGGTGTCCCTTGCTTGACATCCTATCTGTGCATCATGGGCACAAAGTCAGGGCCTCTGAGCACCTAGACCCTGTTGGTGCAGCTCAGGCTGTATCTCACCAGCCAGGCTGGCATACGAACAGAAGTTCCTTGTAGGACAAGATTTCCGGAGCTCTAAAGTAGAATTCCATCCTCCGCGTCCTCAAACAAACATCCACCTTCAGATCTAGAGCTTCATTTCCCAGGGAACTAGGAAGCTCAGAGTCCTTCCTCATGGTGGGGAATTGGGGGCCTTGAGGAGAGAGAACTAAAGGCAGAGCTGAGAGAGATTGGATGTGGGGAAGGCACAGGGCAACTGGTGCTACATCAAGAGACTGCCAGATAGCATGTGACACATGTGCTATAACTATGCCATCAAAAGCTCAGGGGAAGAGAAGAAATAGCGGGCAGAATACTGCTTGCCTGCTCAATCCTCTATCAGCCATTCGCTCCAAAAAACAAAACAAAACGAAACAAAAAAACTTATCCATTCATTCCAAAAAAAGTCTACTATGCTCTGAGCATGTGTTGAAGCACAGGGGATGCAGAGTTTACACATGGCAAAGTCCCTGCTCTCATGGAGCTTACATTCACCCAGCCGTCTGTTCTCCTACCCTCCATTCCATCCACCAAAAAGTTTCCTTTCCTGTGTGCCAGGTTCCACGTTCAATTGTGCAGGGCAGACATGCTGGGACGTGGGCAGGTTGCACCAGGTAGTTCTATGAGGTGGGAAGAGCAGTGGGTGCTTTAGAAGCTCGGGAGAGAGAGATGCCATGTGGGCAGGCAGCTCCCTGGGGAAAGGCTTCTCAGTGGATGTGTCAGGGGGCAGGGAGAATGCCAAGCATTAGAGATATGAAGAGAAAAGCACTGGGCACAGTATATCAGTCAGGAATCTTTAGGTTGCAAGTAACAAAACAACATGACTCCACAAGGAAAGGAATTTATTGGTTCTTGTAACTGTCGAATCCAAGATTGGGACTAGCTTCAGAAGTGCTTTGATTCTGAGGCTCAAACAGTGCCCTCGGGATCTGCTCACTCACATGCACTATCTCCTTCACCTTCTGAAGTTTGGGTGGAGGAAGGAGTAGCTCCAGATCTCAAACCCTCTCAGCTTCGGTTTCATGCCTCTCTTCTCACATGTTCTAGTGATATTGCACTTCATTGGCTCTACCTAGGTCATGTGCCCACCCCTAAAAAAATCACCGTGACCAGGGAAATGTGAAGGCAGTAAATGGCCCATGTCCCATGCTCCACCCAACCTCCTCTCAAAGCACAGGGCAGAGTGACCAAGCAGTGGAGTCCCAGAGAAAGTGGGATTCAGTTGTAAAACAAGGGTGAGGGAATACCTGGCTGGAAATTATCCTAATTACATGAGGGAGCCCACAAGAGCAAAGGCATAGAAGTTGGAATGTTCAGGAAATGAAAAGGGAGTGGAGGAGTATGAGGGCTGGAAGATGTATGGGATCCTATTTGCAAAAGCCCTAGCCTTGACATCAGACAAAGATTTTGGACTTGATTGTGCAGGTCCCAGGGAGATGTGAAGGCTCCTGAGATGGGGCCTAGGCCAAGTGTGTTCACTGCCTCCTTCTGCAGACTGTATATGGTCCTGGGACATTCCCTAGGCAGAGTACTTCAAGGCCCTCCTGATTGCCAGATGCTGGGTCCACCATCAAGGCTACGAGAATGGTCCTTTTAATAGCATTTCCCAGCTGGACTACAGAGAATGTGGAACCCTGGTGAGTGGAGGGCCTTAGGTTCTTTTTCCCCAGCAGTGCCAGAAGGAAAATGCTCCCTCCTCCACCCATGCATTTTACAGATACTTTCTGAAAACCTACACACCAGGCCCTGTGTTAGGGGGTTGGGTACAGCAGTGAGCCTAACCAAGATCCCTACCTTGTGGAATTCACCTGGGACAATGTGGGTGGGGACAGTAGCCACTGAACATCACAAATAGGAGAAACATATACAATGTCTGAAAGAAATAAGCACTATTGAAAAAATTTAAAAATAGAGCATCAGGAAGATCAGGAGCGTCAGAGATGGGCCAGTTTGTGTTAAATAGGTTGGACAGGTGAGTGAAAGGTGGTATCTGAGCTAAGACCTCAGAAGGTGAGAGAGTGAGCCAAGCAGACAGCTGAGAGGAGAGCAATCCAGGAAGAGGAATCCCCAGGGGGATGTGTCAGGAGTATTTGAGATCAGTTGTGTCTGGAGCACTGGAGGCTGGTGGACATAAGGGCAAAGAGTGTAGCCAGGGTGAGGGCAGATCACATAGGCCTTAAAGGATTACCGTAAGGAGTTGGGCTTGTTAAGTAAAAACTATGGAAGGCCATTGTTTTGGACTAACCTCCTGCACTAGGTCCCAGCTGACCAGACCAAACCAAAATGGAATCTGTCGTATTAAAGTTCCATGTCCTCAAACCAAAACTAAGTTGTTATCTGACCTTTGAGACTCCTGGAGACAGAGTTAACAGCCAAATTCCCAAACATGACAGTTTCAGTTGGCGTAATAATGCAGACAGTAACCATGCTCATGATAATGAAGTTCCCCGTTTTAATCATTATTAAAAAGTAACCTGAAGAAAACTGATGTCAACCACCCTGTTCCGGCCGCATATAGAAAGTAACTTTGAAATGATGAATCTGGCCCTGTGCAGTGGCTCACGCCTGTAATCCCAGCACTTTGGGAGGCTGAGGCAGGCAAATTGCTTGAGCCAAGGGTTTCCAGTCCAACCTGGGTAACATACTGAGACCCTGTCTCCACAAAAAATACAAAAATTAGCCAGGTGTGGTGGTGTGCTCCTGTAGTCCTAGCTACTTGGGGGCTTAGATGGGAGGATCACTTGAGCTCAGGAGGTGGTGGCTGCAGTGAGCCATGATTGTGGGATTGGACTTCAGCCTGGATGACAGAGTGAGATCCTGTCTCAAAAAAAAAAAAATCAATCTTTTTTTTTGTTCTTCATTTCTTTCTGCCTTTGACAGCCCCTTCCTGTCTATAAAACTAACCTCTTCTACCCAGCTCATTGCAGCACTCTCTGTATTTTATGGAGTGAATCTGTTCCTGATTCAATGAGTCTGTTGCCTGATTCTAGAATTGCCAATAACGCTAATTGAGACCTTTAAACTAAATTTGTTGTAATCTGGTGTTTTGACAGGCTGCTGCTCTGAGGGAGGCGGAAGTAAAGGCCGAGAGTATCAGGATCACTCTGGCTGCTAGGTGCAGATGAGATGGGAGGAGAGCAAGAGAGAGGAAGGACAGGGGCCAGTTGGAAAACTATTACAGCAATTCTCCAGCCTGGCCAACATGGTGAAACTCTGTTTCTAATAAAAACACAAAAATTAGGGCCAGGCATGGTGGCTCACACCTGTAATCCCAGCACTTTGGGAGGCCAAGGCGGGTGGATCCCAAGGTCAAGAGATCGAGATCATCCTGGCCAACGCAGTGAAACCCCATCTCTACTAAAATTATAAAAATTAGCTGTGCGTGGTGGCACGCGCATGTAGTTCCAGCTACTCAGGAGGCTGAGGCAGGAGAATCGCTTGAATCCGGGAGGTGGAGGTTGCAGTGAGCCGAGATCGCGCCATTGTTGTCCAGCCTGGGCAACAAGAGTGAGACTCCGTCTCAAAAAAAAAAAAAAAAGAAAAGAAAGAAAGAAAGAAAAAAAATACAAAAATTAGCCAGGCATGGTGGCAGGTGCCTATAGTCCTGGCTACTTGGGAGGCTGAGGCATGAGAATTGCTTCAACCCAGGGGGAGGAGGCTACAGTGAGCGGAGATCTCGCCACTGCATTCCAGCCTGGGTGACAGAGCAATAGAGCAAGACCCTGTCAGAAGGAAGGAAGGAAAGTAGGAAGGGAGGAAAGGAGGAAGGGAAGAAGCGAGGGAGGGAGGGAGGGAGAGAGGGAAGGAAGGAAGGAAGGAAGCAAGGAAGGAAGGAAGAAAGATTGTAGCAATTCAGAAAAGAAAGCGTGGTATCCTGGAAGCAAGTGAAGAAAGTGGAGGAAGAAGGCGGGGCGAGCAAATGCTGCTGATGGCTGAGAACTGAGAACTGACCACTGGGTTTAGCAACACAGTCACTGAGGCCCCTGGAGAGAGCACTTTGAGTGGACACCCAATTGAGCTGGTTCCCATCTGTTCCCACCAGACCAAAATTTGGTCACTCAGGCTGATTTATTCCCCACATCCTCCTTGTTAGGGTAGTTCTCAGACTGCCTCTCTCCAAGGTCATTCATGCCAGTCATTTCCTCTTGGGCAGTAAGTATGCTGCTCTCAGAACAGCTGGATAATGAGGCCTGGGCAGTGCCAGGTGCCAGGTGCCATCCAAGCACGGCAGCCAGGAAAGCCTTCAGGTACTGGCGGAAGCGGTGACTGGAGAAGGCATACAGGATGGGGGAAAAGCAGCAGTGAAGGAAGGCGATGCTCTCTGTTACCTGGAGTGCGTAGTCTAGATGCTGGCTGACCTCACAGTTCCCGAATACTTGCAGGTCCAACAGCGTATGCAGAAACAAGGTGAGATTGTATGGGAACCATAGCACGAAGAAGGCCACCACCAAGGCTGCAGCTATTTTTAAAGCCCGGCCCTGGCCTGCGGGCCTCAGCCTCACCAAGACACAACCAATACGGGAGTAGAAGAAGATCATGGCAAGGAGTGGAAGGAGAAACCCTAGGAGGTTCTGCTGGAAGCGGAGGAAGAGCTTCCAAATGGTCCCATGCCCGCCGAAATCTGCGTGGCAGTTCCACACACCCTTGGGATTTTCATGTGTCTGTACAAAGACCATATCAGGGATGGAGACGGCCAGGGACACAGCCCATACTATGGTAGCAAGGAGCAGGCTCTTGGCCCGGGTCCTCAGCCTGTGGTAGGGCTGAGCATGAACGATCTCCAGGTACTTGTCCAGGCTCATGCAGCTAATGAAAAAGATGCCACTGTAAAAGTTAATAGTATAAAGAGTGCTCACCATCTTGCACAAGAAACTCCCGAAGACCCAATGCCAGGCCACGGAGATGCCCCAGAAGGGCAGTGTCACCAGAAACAGAAGGTTGGAGATGGCCAGATTCAGCAGATAGATCTCAACCATCCGCCTGCGAGGCACGTAACGGAGCAAGACCATGAGAAGAAGGAGGTTCCCGCTGAGGCCCAACACAAAAATCAGGCTATAGAAGACTGGGAGGAAGACTTTGCCAAAGGACACCACTGCATCCTTCCTGCAGAGCATGAAGGCCACTTCATCCAGGTAGTCATAGTAATAGAAGCTGCTATTCTCAGAATCGGCATCCTCAGTGGCGAGTGGCTGCGGAGAGGCAGTGGCGGCCATGTTGGAAGGAAATGCCCAGTCCCGACGTCCTGTAGTGCTGCGGGGGGAAAATATGGTGAGACCTAGCATTCTCTACCTTTCTCTAAACCCACTTTTGCTGCTGCCCTGGGATGTCCAATAGACTCTTCAAATCTACATCAGTACCTGCAGTCCAGCAAGTAAGAGCAAAAGCTTAGGGAGCCATCTGCACCACTTAATAGTTATGTCACCAAGATATCCCCTCACCTTTGTCTTATAACTGAATCCCACTTACTCTGGGACACTTACTCTTGGATAAGTGACTAACCTTCAGGTGTTCTCAGAGTATTTAATTATTTCATTATGGTTTTGTTTCTTCATTTAAAAAGACCTATAGTGTCTTTCAAATTCTTCTTTATTCTTTAGGGATATCAATTCATCTATTTAATGTGTCTCCTGACCCTTCCTCATGTATGGTTTATAATTTCTTTAATGACAGCTTAGCTTCAGTGGGGCTTTTTTAAAAAATTTTGTTTATTATACTTTAAGTTCTGGGATACATGTACAAAACGTGCAGGTTTGTTACATAGGTATATACATACCATGGTGGTTTGCTGCACCCATCAATCTGTCATTTACATTAGGTATTTCTTCTAATGTTATCCCTCCCCTAGCCCCCAATCCCCCAACAGGCCCAGATGTGTGATGTTCCCCTCCCTGTGTCCATGTGTTATCATTGTTCAACTCCCACTTATGAGTGAGAACATGCAGTGTTTTGTTTTCTGTTCTTATGTTAGTTTGCTGAGAATGATGGCTTCCAGCTTCATCCATGTCCCTGCAAAGGACATGAACTCATCCATTTTATGGCTGCATAGTATTCCATGCTGTGTATGTGCTACATTTTCTTTATCCAGTCTATCATTGATGGGCATTTGGGTTGGCTCCAAGTCTTTGCTATTGTGAACAGTGCTGCAATAAGCATATGTGTGCATGTGTCTTTATAGTAGAATGATTAATAATCCTTTGGGTATATACCCAGTAATGGGATTTCTGGGTCAAATGGTATTTCTGGTTCTAGATCCTTGAGGAATCACCACACTGTCTTCCACAATGGTTGAACTAATTTACACTCCCACCAACAGTGTAAAAGCATTCCTATTTCTCCACATCCTCTCAAGCATCTGTTTTATCCTGACTTTTTAATGATCATCATTCTAACTGGGGTTAGATGGTATCTCATCTCATTGTGGTTTTTATTTGCATTTCTCTAATGCCCAGTGATGATGAGCTTTTTTTTCATATGTTTGTTGACTGCATAAATGTCTTCTTTTGAGAAGTATCTGTTCATATCCTTCACCCACTTTTTGATGGGGTTGTTTTCTTCTTGTAAATTTGTTTAAGTTCTTTGTAGATTCTGGATATTAGCCCTTTGTCAGATGGATAGATTGCAAAAATTTCTCCCATTCTATAGGTTGTCTGTTCACTCTGATGATAGTTTATTTTGCTGTGCAGAAGCTCTTTAGTTTAATTAGATCCCATTTGTCAATTTTGGCTTTTGTTGCCATTGCTTTTGGTGTTTTAGTCATGAAGTCTTTGCCAATGCCTATGTCCTGAATGGTATTGCCTAGCTTTCTTCTAGGGTTTTACGATTTTAGGTCTTATGTTTAGGTCTTTAATCCACCTTGAGTTTATTTTTGTATAAGGTGTAAGGAATGGGTCCAGTTTCAGTTCTTTGCATATGGCTAGCCAGTTTTCCCAACACCATTTATTAGATAGAGAATCCTTTCCCCATTGCTTGTTTTTGTCAGGTTTGTCAAAGATCAGATGGTTGTAGACCTGTGATGTTATTTCTGAGGCCTCTGTTCTGTTCCATTTGTTTATATATCTGTTTTGGTAGCAGTACCATGCTGTTTTCGTTACTGTAGACTTGTAGTATAGTTTGAAGTCAGGTAGCGTGATGCCTCCAGCTTTTTTCTTTTTGCTTAGGATTGTCTTGGCTATATGGGCTCTTTTTGGTTCCATATAAAATTTAAAGTAGTTTTTTCTAAGTCTGTGAATAAAGTCAGTGGTAGCTTGATGGGGATAGCATTGAATCTATAAATCACTTTGGGCAGTATGGCCATTTTCACGATATTCATTTTTCCTATCCATGAGCGTGGAATGTTTTTCTATTTGTTTGTGTCTTCTCTTATTTCCTTGAGCAGTGGTTTGTAGTTCTCCTTGAAGAGGTTCTTCACATCCCTTGTAAGTTGTATTCTTAGGTATTTTATTCTCTTTGTAGCATTTGTGAATGGGAGTTCACTCATTATTTAGCTCTCTGTCTGTTACTGTTGTATAGGAATGCTTTTGATTTTTGCACATTGATTTTGTATTCTGAGACTTTGCTGAAGTTGCTTATCAGCTTAAGGAGATTTTGGGCTGAGGCGATGGGGTTTTCTAAATATACAATCATGTCATCTGCAAACAGAGACAATTTGACTTCCTCTCTTCCTATTCGAATACGCTTTATTTCTTTCTCTTTGCCTGATTGCCCTGGCCAGAACTTCCAATACTATGTTGAACAGGAGTGGTGAGAGAGGGCATCCTTGTCTTGTGCCGGTTTTCAAAGGGAATGCTTCCAGATTCTGCCCATTCAGTATGATATTGGCTGTGGGTTTGTCACCAATAGCTCTTATTATTTTGAGATATGTTCCATCAGTACCTAGTTTATTGAGTTTTTAGCATGAAGGGGTGTTGAATTTTATCGAAGGCCTTTTCTGCATCTATTGAGAAAATAATGTGGTTTTTGTCATTGGTTCTGTTTATGTGCTGGATTACATTTATTGATTTGTGTATGTTGAACCAACCTTGCATCCCAGGGATGAGGCCGACTTGATGGTGGTAGATAAGCTTTTTGATGTGCTGCTTGATTTGGTTTGCCAGCATTTTATTGAGGATTTTTGCATCGATGTTCATCAGGGATATTGGCCTGAAATTTTCTTTTTTTGTTGTGTCTTTGCCAGGTTTTGGTATCAGGATGATGCTGGCCTCATAAAATGAGTTAAAGAGGATTCCCTCTTTTTTCTATTGTTTAGAATAGTTTCACAAGGAATGGTACCAGCTCCTCTTTGTACCTGTGATAGAATTCAGCTGTGAATCTGCCTGGTCCTGGGCTTTTTATGGTTGGGAGGCCATTAATTACTGCCTCAATTTCAGAACTTGTGAATGATCTATTCAGGGATTCGACTTCTTCCTGGTTTAGTCTTGGGAGGGCGTATGTGTCCAGGAATTTATCCATTTCTTCTAGATTTTCTAGCTTATTTGTGTAGAGGTGTTTATAGTATTCTCTGATCGTAGTTTGTATTTCTGTGGGATCAATGGTGATATCCTCTTTATCATTTTTTATTGTGTCTATTTGATTCGTGTCTCCTTTCTTGTTTATCAGTCTGGCTAGTGGTCTATCTATTTTGTTGATCTTTTCAAAAAACCAGCTCCTGGATTCATTGATTTTTTGAAGGGTTTTTCATCTCTCTCTCTCCTTCAGTTCTGCTCTGATCTTAGTTATTTCTTGTCTTCTGCTAGCTTTTGAATTTGTTTGCTTTTGCTTCTCTAGTTCTTTTAATTGTGATGTTAGGCTGTCGATTTTAAATCTTTCCTGCTTTCTCCTGTGGTCATTTAGTGCTATAAATTTCCCTGTAAACACTGCTTTAGCTGTGTTCCAGAGATTCTAGTACATTGTGTCTTTGTTCTCATTGGTTTCAAAGAGCTTATTTATTTCTGCCTTCACTTCATTATTTACCCAGTAGTCATTCTGGAGCAGGTTATTCAGTTTCCATGTAGTTGTATAGTTTTGAGCAAGTTTCTTAATCTTGAACTCTAACTTGATTGCACTGTGGTCTGAGAGACTGTTTGTTATGATTTCCATTCTTTTGCATTTGCTGAGGACTGTTTTACTTCCAATTATGTGGTCAGTTTTAGAATAAGTGTGATGTTGTGGTATCAGGATGCTGAGAAGAATGTATATTCTGTTGATTTAGGGTGGAGAGTTCTGTAGATGTCTACTAGGTCCACTTGGTCCAGAGGTGAGTTCAAGTCCTGAATATCCTTGTTAATTTTCTGTCTTGCTGATCTGTCTACTATTGACAGTGGGGTGTTAAAGTCTCCCATTATTGTGTGGGAGTCTAAGTCTCTTTGTAGGTCTCTGAGAACTTGCTTTATGAATCTGGGTGCTCCTGTTTTGGGTGCATATATATTTAGGATAGTTAGCTCTTCGTGTTGCATTGATCCCTTTACCATTATGTAATGCCCTTTTTTGTCTTTTTGATCTTTGTTGGCTTAAAGTCTGTTTTATCAGAGACTAGGATTGCATCCCCTGCTTTTTTTTTTTTTTTTTTTTTTTTTGCTTTCCATTTGCTTGATAAATATTCCTCCATCCCTTTATTTTGAGCCTATGTGTGTCTTTGGACGTGAGATGAGTCTCCTGAATACAGCACACCGATGGGTCTTGACTCTCTATCCAATTTGCCAGTCAGTGTCTTTTAATTGGGGCATTTAACCTGTTTACATTTAAGGTTAATATTGTTATGCGTGAATTTGATTCTGTCATTATGATGCTAGCTGGTTATTTTTCCCATTAGTTGATGCAGTTTCTTCATAGTGTCAATGGTCTTTACAATTTGGTATGTTTTTGTGGTGGCTGGTACCAGTTTGTTCTTTCCATGTTTAGTGCTTCCTTTAGGAGCTCTTGTAAGGCAGGCCTGGTTGTGACAAAATCTCTCAGCATTTGCTTGTCTGTAAAGGATTTTATTTCTCCTTCACTCATGAAGCTTAGTTTGGCTGGATATGAAATTCTGGGTTGAAAATTCTTCTCTTTAAGAATGTTGAAGGCCAGGCGCGGCGGCTCACGTCTGTGATCCCAGCACTTTGGGAGGCCGAGGTGAGCAGATCACAAGGTCAGGAGATCGAGACCATCCTGGCTAACACGGTGAAACCCCATCTCTACTAAAAATACAAAAAAAAATTAGCTGGGCATGGTGGCGGGCGCCTCTAGTCCCAGCCACTCAGGAGGCTGAGGCAGGAGAATGGCGTGAACCCAGGAGGTGGAGCTTGCAGTGAGCCAAGACCGCGCCACTGCACTCCAGCCTGGGCAACAGAGTGAGACTCTGTCTCAAAAAAAAAAAAAAATGAATGTTGAATATTGGACCCCCACTCTCTTCTGGCTTGTAGAGTTTCTGCAGAGAGATCAGCTGTTAGTCTGATGGGCTTCCCTCTGTAGGTAACCTGACCTTTCTCTCTGGCTGCCCTTAACATTTTTTCCTTCATTTCAACATTGGTGAATCTGAAAATTATGTATCTTGGGGTTGTTCTTCTCGAGGAGTATCTTTGTGGTGTTCTCTGTATTTCCTGAATTTGAATGTTGGCCTGTCTTGCTAGGTTGGGGAAGTTCTCCTGGATAATATCCTGAAGAGTGTTTTCCAACTTGGTTCCATTCCCTCCGTCACTTTCAGGTACACCAATCAAACGTAGGCTTGGTCTTTTCACATAGTCTCATATTTCTTGGAGGCTTTGTTCGTTCCTTTATATTCTTTTTTCTCTAATTGTGTCTTCACACTTTATTTCATTAAGTTGATCTTCAATCTCTGATATCCTTTCTTCTGCTTGATTGATTCAGCTATTGATCCTTGTGTATGCTTCACAAAGTTCTCATGCTGTGTTTTTCAGCTCCATCAGGTCATTTATATTCTTCTCTAAACTGGTTTTGCTAGTTAGCAATTCCTCTAACCTTTTTTCAAGGTTCTTAGCTTCCTTGCATTGGGTTAGAACATGCTCCTTTAGCTCAGAGGAGTTTGTTATTACCCACCTTCTGAAGCCTAGTTCTGTCAATTCATCAAACTCATTCTCCATCCAGTTTTGTTCCCTTGCCTGCAAGGAGTTGTGATCATTTGGAGGAGAAGAGGTGTTCTGGTTTTTGGAATTTTCAGCCTTTTTGCACTGGTTTTTCCTCATCTTCATGGATTTATCTACCTTTGGTCTTTGATGTTGGTGGCCTTCAGATGGGGTTTCTGTGTGGATGTCTCTTTTGTTGATGTTGATGCTATTCCTTTCTGTTTGTTAGTTTTCCTTCTAACAGTCAGGCCCCTCTGCTGCAGGTCTGCTGGAGTTTGCTGGAGGTCCACTCCAGACCTGTTTGCCTGGGTATCACTAGCAGAGGCTGCAAAACAGCAAATATTGCTGCCTGTTTCTTCCTCTGGAAGCTTCGTCCCAGAGGGGCACCGCCAGATGCTAGCCAGAGCTCTCCTGTATGAGGTATCTGTCAACCCCTGCTGGGAGGTGTCTCCCAGTCAGGAGGCAAAGGGGTCAGGGACCCACTTGAGGAGGCAGTCTGTCCCTTAGCAGAGCTCAAGTGCTGTGCTGGGAGATCCACTGCTCTCTTCAGAGCCGGCAGGCAGGAACATTTAAGTCTGCCAAAGCTGCGCCCATAGCTGCCCCTTCCCCCAGGTGCTCTGGCCCAGGGAAATGCGAGTTTTATCTATAAGCCCCTGACTGGGGCTGCTGCCTTTCTTTCAGAGATGCCCTGCCCGGAGAGGAGGAATCTAGAGAGGCAGTCTGGCTACAGTGGCTTTGCCAAGCTACGGTGGGCTCTGCCCAGTTCGAACTTCCCAGTGGCTTTGTTTACACTGCGAGGGGAAAACCGCCTACTCAAGCCTCAGTAATGGCAGATGCCAGTGGGGCTTGTTTTATCCATAAATGTCCAATGCATCCACCCTGGCTTTGGGTTTTCTTTACTCCTGTCACCTGAGGATTTCCCTTGCTTTTTGAGAATTTTTAAATATTTTATTTGTAAATAGTTTCATATCAATATTTTTAATGACAAATATTTAATATTTTAAACATTTTATCCAATATTTCTGTTCGCAGCAGAAAGGTGTGATCCATCATGTTGATGGGCTCAGAACCTACTAAACTTTTCTCCCTCTTAGTTTCCTTATCTTTAAAATGAAAATAATAACAGTGCCTGTCTTGTGAGGTTCTTGTTATGCTTAAATGTAATAATACATGCAGAGCACTTTAAGTTCTACAAAACTGACTGGAACACAGCAGACATTCAATAAATGCGAGCCTAAATTATTGCTTTGCCCAGAACTGAGTTCATCATCTCCCCACCAGCCCCTTTCTTCTTTCCTAGGCCTATCTAACTGAATGACTCCACCAACTACTCAGTCACCTAAGACTGAAATATGGGATACCTTGCAGATTCTTTCCCCATCATCCTCACCACCACCACCCTGTGAGTCTCTCCTCTTGAATCAGCCCACTTATCTCTAAGTCCCATAAAAATATGTACAAGATACTCTTTTAATAAAATTAAGACAAATGAAACAAAACATATATACTTTGAAGGAGTACAAATAGATGACAGGAAGGCATAGGAATGAGAGGCACCAAATTCAAGACGGCAGGTGCCTGGGCAGAAGCCAGCAGCATGGGATTGGGGTGGACCATGGAGATGGGACAAGTCACTGTCCACGGTTAAGTGTCCTCTAAGGCAGTGACATCCCAGGATTTTATTGCATTATTTAAAATAATTTTTTGATGAGAGCTTCACATAAACCAGTGATACAAGTATGTCATGAACTAAGAATTAGGCTCAAACCTGTAGTGTGTTCCAGGAGAAAGACAGGGAGAGAGAGAGACTTCATATTGAACAAAGAGCATTCACCAATGGGGAAGGGGGCTTGAGGAGGAGAGAGGAAGGAGATAAAAAGGAATTTGTGGTCCAAGCAGGCAATCGTGAAGAGCCACTGAAGAGAGGCCTGTAGACTGCTGATGGTCACGGGCCACAAACTGAGAAATGCAAATCAGCTCTACCCCGTACTTCTGAATTTTACTTTTTAATATTTTACTTGCATGAGCTTGAACTTTTTAATATGTTCAATACCCCCTTGTATTTCTTCTGTAAATTATTTATTCTTTTAATGGGTGGGATGCTCATTTTATGAGGTCTTATAATAGTGAGGATGTTAGCTTTTTTCATATGTATTGCAAACATTTTCCTTAGCCCTTTCTGATAAAAGTTTTATCCCCTTTTTTCAGGCAGACTTCGAAAGAAATGTTGACTCGGGTCCTCAGTTGACCCAAAGTATCTATGATACCATGATCTCATGGCTGATGGAACTATTCAGTGCTGCTGAAACAGAACCTCTCCTGAGGGAGCCCTGGAGTCCTCCCACTCTGTGAGCTTCTGCCCCACCCTTGGGCTCCTATCCGATGGCATCTGGACCAGATGCTGTGGAAACCACACATGACCTGCCCCCACCCCAGGAGCTCAGCCTGAGTGGCTTTATCTAAGGCCCAACTCTGTTCCTGATCAACCTTAGGAACTTTACCCAGTGCCTTTTTCTGCTGGTCTTCCTGTCCTCTCCTCTGCACCAGGGGCCTCCTGGCCTTCAACTCCTCCCTTTTCTGGGCAGCAGTAAGGACACTCCTAGCACATGGCTGGTGCTGGGAGCCTGTGAGCTGCTGCAGAAGGAGGATGTGAGGAGTATACTCGGGTCTTATCAGGGCTTATTACTCAGGAGTTGACATTGATTAAACACCAGCTCTTCTGAGCTGCTGACATGGACCTTGATCTTGACTTGATTTCTCGAAGTCCCCTGACTTTTGTTTCAGCAAACAACCAAGTCTGATGAATGTTTCAATCAAAGCCAGAGGTCAGAGTCAGCAGAACCTGCTAGTCCAGGCCACCTTTGTTCTCTCTCTACATGGAACACTCTATTCCCTTCCCACTCGAGGTCTTTAGCCTCCTGATCTTTCACTCTGGGAATCTTTTCTGGTCATCCTCACTTCTGGAGCAACCATCCTCCTATCACTTTCATCAGTAAAGCCAACAAGAATGACCACAGCCATCAGGCCTTTGCCCTCCTGATCTCTCACTCTGGGAATCTTTCCAGGTCATCCTCACCTATGGAGCAACCATCCTCCTATCACTTTCATCAATAATGCCAACAACAGTGGCAACAGCAATCAGGCCTTTACCCCTGATCTTTCACTCTGGGAATCTTTCCAGGTCTCCCTCACCTCTGGAGCAACCATTCCCTCCTATCACTTTCATCAATAATGCCAACAATGACAGCAGCAGTCAGCACTCCCATATGCATGTTACAGCTGGCCAGACACCTTCATATGCACTGCAGCAGCCTTATAAGGCAAATTGGGAAGGAACCATCAGTCCCATTTAACCCAGGAGCAAAGCAACTTTACCAGGGTCACTAGTCAAGTTGCATCTGAAATCCAAGTCTTCAGACTCCAGGCACATGGTACCTTGTCCCTGGTCCCACCTCATCCTTAGCCTCTGTTCTGCTCTACCTAGCAGTTACAAAAAGGAGTCACTGAGAAAGGTGTGATTGAAGGCTGGGTGTGGTGGCTCATGCTTGTAATTCCAGCACTTTGGGAGGCCAAGGTGGGTGGATCACCTGAGGTCAGGAGTTTGAGACCAGCCTGGTCAACGTGGCGAAACCCCATCTCTACTAAAAATACAAAAAATAGCCGGGCATGGTAGTGCACACCTGTAATCCCAGCTACTTGGGAGGCTGAGGTAGGAGAATCACTTGAACCCAGGAGGCAGAGGTTGCAGTGAGCTGAGATCACACCATTGCACTACAGCCTGGGCAACAAGAGTGAAACTCCATCTCAAAAAAAAAAAAAAAAAAGAAAGGTATGATTCAGTCTTTGCTGGTTGCCCAGGATCTTACCCTCACTGGGAGATATCCAGGGCTCACCTCCCTTAGGTCTCTCAGGAAAGTCGCAGTTGAGGCAACAAGAGGAAAGATATTGTGATGAGGATGCAGCATGTTAGTTGGGCTCCTTCTATGAGTTGAACACTAACATGTAATTTTCTCATCCTATCTTCACCATAGTCCTGGGAAGCAAAGTGATTATAATCCCCACTTTCCAGATAAAGAAACAGGTGTGGATAGGTGAAGCCCAATTGTCCACAGCCTCAGATTAGCAAATGGGGGGCCGGGGATTGGATGGCCCTCACAACGTGAGGTGGAAGTGACGACCCCTTCCCCCCCACACTCCCTTTCAAAATGGATCAAACTTAAATTCGAAGGTTGAGGTTCCGACAGTGGGACTTCTGGCCTCGGCAACTAGTGGCAGGAAGGTTCAAAGCCAGTGGTGTGCTGAGAGCCAGTCATATGGCATCTGGGAGGCATTAAACAAATGATCATGGAATTAACCAACTCTGCGTTCAGTGATGTTAAGTTGGTAACCTGAAACTGGGAATATTTACACCATGGCAAATGCTATAAATCAAGGCTTTCCTCTCCTCTGCCATCCTACCTCCCCTGTGCCCCCAGCCCAGAGCTTCTTGTCAAACCTTCACCAGCATTCCCCTGATCAGGCCCCCACAGAGCTTGACCAAACCCTGCTTGACTCAGCGAACCCTCTTTTGTGTCTCCCACCATCTCCCCTCTTCCATCTTAGACATCAATTTCACGGCCGCCCTACCTACAGCCAAGAAGCCTATGGACAGGGTCATGTGTAGGTCCCTCAGGGGCTGAAAGCACACCCATCCTGAGTGTACTGTTCACAGTGCAGCTGATTCAACATGCAAACTGATCAAATAAACAAGACTGAATGTGATCTCCAGAGGCCACACCAGCCTTTGAAATATGAAGCCAAGGACACCGTTTGAGATCACTTCTAGTGGAAAATACTTTTGCTGGCTTCCTTTGAATGTGGAAATCATATCCTCCTTTAAAATACAATCTAGGGTAAGGGCTTTAAATATATTAATTTATTTAATCCTCACATTTACCTGATAGAAGTAAATACTATTATTAGCCCTGTTTTAGAGCTGAGGATGCTAAAACACAGGGAAGTTAGAGAACTGGTCCAAGATCACAGAGCAATTGAGTAGTAGAGCCAGGATTTGAAATGGGTGTCCATGCTCTTAAATGCTAGGTTACAATACCACTCAAAGAAAATAGTAAGCACAGCCAGGTGCAGTGGCATGCACCTATAGTCCCAGCTACTTGGGAGGCTGAGATTGGTAGATTCCTTGAGCCTAGGAGTTTGAGACCAGCATGGGCAACATAGCGAGACCCTGTCTCAAAAAAATAACAATAATAACAACTAGGTTGTAGATCCCCTTCCCTGAGCTTTATATGTAATAATGCACTGACTTCTCACAATAACCTTATAAAATGGGCCCCATTTTACAGATGAGGAACTGAGACTCAGAGAAGGGGAGTAAAGTGCCCAAGGACACACAGCAAGTATATGGCAGAACTGGAAACCAAGTTCCTGCAGCTGGCTCCAGAGCTGGAGCCCCAAATCACACACTGGGAGTTCAGCCTGTGTGCACCCCTTCCTCGGGCTTGCAGGATGAACAGCTGCCTTCTGGATGGTCTGCATGGGAAGCATATTCAGATTGTGATTTATAAAACACAATGAAGATAATAGAAACCAGCCCTGACACTTACACAGGGCTTTGTGTTTCCAGATACCTTTTTTTATCCCAGTCATTGCTGTGTCTTCCTGGCTCCCTCGTGAAGGGGTGAACAGGTATCGCCTCTCTAGTTTCCCAGGAAATCCAGGGCCACACTGTAAGCCAGGCACAGCTGGCCAGAGGAATCAGCTGGCCTCTGATTCCAGATCACGGCACACTCTCTCTCCTTACTTTTTTAACATGTTATTTTTTCCTGATTGCCATAATAATATATATTCAATGTAAAATGTGGAAATACAGTGGAAAAATAGAAAAGAGGCCAAAAAACAAAAACAAAAGTCCCCTGAGATGCTACCACTGCAAAAATAACCCACAGGAACATCTTAGTGTATCCTGTTTGTCTGTTTTCATGCCCAGAGCCACGTCTGGTACACCAGATTACACAAAGTCTGGCTGGAAGGGAGTGGCCTTGTCCATTCCTCAGCAGGGCAGGAGTCCCCTTGCAGCTTCCAGCTAGACATAGCTGTCTGCTTCTCCTGAGATATGTGAGGCCTGCCTGCTCCCCACGCTCCCTGGGACCCCACATCACTCAATGTTTCCTGGCCTGGTCAGGAGATAGAGATGTTTGTGACATATATAAAATCACAAGAGTAACCCTCCTCCCAAAACTTATTTCAGCTAACAAAAAGTAAGCACTTTCAGAGCCCGACCCTTCAAGGAGCTGCTGCTGCAGAAGGTGAGACTTTCATGTCTTTCCCAGAATGTTTTTTGATGTTTTGTTTTTTGCCTCTGTACTTGTTGCCTGTAATGTTCCCATGAGAACTCCTTGCGTGTGTATTTCAGCATGAAAATGAAACCCCACTATCCCCAGGAAAGGCAGGACACTCAGCATGGTAGAATAGACAGAATAGGCAGGGTAGAACAGACAGAATATAGCTTAACTCACTTCTTAATGGCTGTGCAACTCCGAGCTCATTATTTAACCTCTCTGATACTTAGCTTTCTCACCTATAATCTGCCTCCCTTGCAGGGTTATTATGGTAAACTAAGGGCCTGGCATATACTATTGGTTCTCTTCCAGCCCCTAAAATGAATAAACTCGCTGATTAAATGACATTTGATTCAGGCTGGGATGCATGGGAGGAGATCCAGGGACTATTTGAATCTGGAACTGTTTTGGGCAGAAGGAAGGGGGCCAAGAATTTGGGAAAGGAGCAGGATGGGGAGAGGGTGGACATGTGCAAAAGAAGAGACCACAGAGCTGTGAAACTTTGGCCCTGGGAGAGAGGCCCTTAAAGACCATCTCATCTGCCCCATTATCTTACAGCCGGGAACACTGAGGCCCAGAGATGGAAAGGAATGCCTGAGCTCCCCCAGCCAGGTTGGAGAACCAACTCTCAGGGGTTTTCAGAATCTGCAAAGCAGATTCTCAGAGCCAGAGTCAAGGAAGGGAAAGAGGTCAGAAGACCCATCACTCTCCAGGTGCTGGAAGCAATTGCTCCAACAGCTGCCCTGGAGAGAAAGCTCTGCACTGACTTAGCACCTCCCTCTTCCCAGCACCTGTGCCCACTCCCCAAGCCACTGGGTTCAGTCTCTCCCTGTGTCCCCTGGGAAGTCTCACCCCCACCCCACACCCCGAGTATGGCTATAACCTACCGGAGCCAGAATGACTTGCTTGAGAATGTCCACCACAAGCCTGGGAGGAGAGCGGCAGCGCCAGGTGCCTCTTCCTCAGGGAAGTGCAGACAGAGTGTAATTCCTTTCCATGCGCTCATCCCCTCTCTGGACAGCAGCCTATGTATATCCTGCTTTCAACTGGAATAAAAAAAATCCCTTTGCCCTTGCCCCAGCCCTCATCTCAGCTGCATAGCCATGAGCTATTTCTCTCATTGATAAGAGTCAAGCTCAGATGACTCCCACCCCATAAAAGAGCATCCCCCAAAGATAGTGTTTGGAAAGCATGTATCCCCTCTCTGGAATGATTCCCTAGTAGCTGGGTCAAGTACACTAACAGCCCATCCCAGAGGTCCAGGCCTTTGTTTACCCTGTGTCTACCTGAAGGGCCTTCCCAACATCACCTTCAGCTTCTTCATCCTGGATACCTTCTCAGCAAGATCTCAGTCCCATTCTGCCCCAATTCTAAACTCCACCCAATCTCTTTTTCTGGCCATAACTCCCACTGAGCAGGGCTGTGTCTGCTACACCCACTGTGTCACCAATAGTTTCATCTCCCAGACTTTCCAAATCATCTTCCCTCTTTCTTTCCCTTCTCCCCGACTCCCCTTCATGGCATCTCTGTATGATTAGCTGCCTATTTAACTATCTGTTCCCCTGCTGGGTCAGGAGCTCTCAGGGGAAGGACCATATCTGACCCACCACCCAGAGCCCAGGGACAGGCAAGAGCAGAGACTGAATGAATGAATGACTGTGGATATATGATGCATTACCTGACATATGCTTAGCAGTATGAGGGTCTGCCTTCCCAGGACAGCACCTGTGGTCCAGGATCAGTACCTCAGCCACCCTCACCTCCAGTCCCACTGCCCCCTTGACACACAGCAAGTGCTTGGTGAATGCCTGTTGTCTCCACCTGGACTGAGCAATAATAGAGTAGTAATGTCAGGTGGTTAAAGGCATGGCATTGGAGTCACACACAGCTGGGCTTGGACCTGGCTCTGCATTTACTGGCTGTGTGACCTAGAGATGGTGGCTTCACCTCTCTGGGCCTCGGTTTTTGCAAGTTTATTGGGGGTACAGATAGTCCCTCAGACAGGCGTCAGAGAACGGAATGTCCCAAGAAGATGGATATGGACTTAGACATTTGCCTTTCTCTGGGGTCCACAGGCTACCAAGAATGGACATTAAGACTATGATGGGTTTTTACTCAGGCAGAAGGAAGCAGGGGACCTTTCAAGTGAGGCCTCCAAGTTTCTCTAGGCCAAACACTAGTTTCCAATAGAGAGACCCAAGGAGCTGCCCAACAAGAGCCACAGGGTCCTCGGTCCCTCCCACAGAACAGCTAAGTTCTAGGACCTGGGCTCCTTTTTTATTCTCCCTCACCTCCCCCCTTTTGTACATCCTTATTTTAAAATAATTTTTAGACTTGCAAAATAAAGCACGAGATTCCTGGATACCTGTCTGCCAGCTTCCCCTAATATTAACATCAGTTAAATTGCATTTAGCCTAAGGCTAAACATATATTTTTATATACTTTTAATATATAAGACATGTATTTTATACATTTAATATATAAAACTTACATATTTTAAATTTGGCGTAAAGATTTCTCCACACATAATGAACTGTAACCAAACTGAATGTATAAACAGGCTATAACCTATTCTTGTGCCAATTACAGAGTTTCAGCCAATCGCATGTGGCCAACCATTCAAATGGTGTTCAAATAAGGCAAACGCCAAGCTGTAACCAATCCAGCTGTTTGTCCCTCACTTCCATTTTCTGTCCATCACTTTCCTTTTCTGTCCATAAGTCTTCTTCCACATGCAGCAGCACCCAAGTTTCTCTGAACCTAATCTAGTTTGATTCTCAAATTGTTCTTTGCTCAATTAAACTCCATTTACTTTGCCTAAGGTTTTGCTTTTTTTTTTTGACAGAGTCTCACTCTGTTGCCCAGGCTGGAGTGCAATGGTGTGAGCTCGGCCTCGGCTCACTGCAACCTGTGCCTCCCAGGTTCAATAAACTCTCCTACCTCGGCCCGGTGGCTGGGATTACAGGTGCCCACCACCATGCCCGGCTAATCTTTGTATTTTTAATAGAGGCAAGGTTTCACCATGTTGGTCAAGCTGGTCTCCCACTCCAGAGCTCAAGTGATCCACCTGCCTCAGCCTCCCAACGTGCTGGGATTCTAGCCACGAGCCACAGCAGCCGGCCTCTAAGGTTTTACTTTTAACACATCTACATAATCACAGTACTGACTAAGAATCTAAACAAGGAAATTAACATTGACATGATACTATTGAGTAATCTACACACCTTATTCAAATTTCAACAGTTGTCCCACTAATGTCCTTTCTCTGGCCCAGGATCTAAACCAGAATGCGCTTGGTTCTTATGTCTCCTTTGTCTCTTCATTCTGGGGCAGTTCCTCAGTCTTGCTTTGTCTTTCATGACCTTGACAGTTTTGAAGAGTACTGGCCAGTTCATTTGTAGAATGTCCCTAAATTTCAGTGTGGTGTTTCTTCAGGATTAGACTGAGGTTGTGTATTTTGGGCAGGAACAACACAGAAGTGATCTTATGTCCTCAGTATACGTATCAGAGGTACATAATTTAAAGATGTCTCTTTCCTGGCAATGTTAACTTTGATCACTTGAAAAATGTGGTATCTAACAAGTTCTTCCACTGTGAAATTACTATTTACCTTTTGTAATTAGTAAGTATCTTGCTACTTTGAGACTACACAAATATCCTATTTCTCATCATGCTTTTGTCCACTAATTTTTGCATCCATTTATACTTTCCAACAGTAATTATTACTGTGGTTTTTTCCAAATGGTGATATTCTATTTCCATCATATATTAATTAGAATTCTTTCTACATGTATTAATTAGAATTCTATTATAAGAAAGAGCTGGGCCTGGCACAGTGTCTCTTGCCTGTAATCCCAGCAGTTTGGGAGGCCAAGGCAGGTAGATGGCTTGAGTCTCAGAGTTCGAGACTAGCCTGGGCAACATGGCGAAACCTCATCTCTGCAAAAAACACAAAAATTAGCCAGGTGTGGTGGCATGCATCTGTAGTCTTAGCTACTTGGGAGGCTGAGTTGAGAGGATTGTTTGAGCCCGGGAAGTGGAGGCTGCAGTGAGACAAGATTGTGCCGTGCACTCCAGCATGGGCAACAGAGGGAGACCCCATCTCAAAAAAAAAAAAAAAAAAAAAAATTTTTTTTTTTTAAAAGAGTTAGCCTTTCTTCTTAAGTATTTATATTAGTATGAACTCATGGGTATTTATTTTATCCTGTTACTCTCATTATTTATCTTGCTGTTCAAATTGTCTCATCCTCTTTTAAAATATTTCAACCCATCTGTTTCCTGTTAAGCTGCTTTTCCTAATGAGATGTGGCCCACGGCTAAGTCACTCCCTCAGTGTCACCCCCCAGCCATAGCACGTCAGACACTCCCTGGTATGCAGGGCAGGTGGTTGGGAGACCTCTGAGCCTTTGTGTGAGCAACTAGGTTTCCCGTTTCCCTGAAACTCACTGAGGCATCTTCCCAACAAGGGCTGGGCTTTTTCCTGGAATGGGCAGGTTGCAGTCGGAGGAGTCAGTCCTAATTCCACAGGCAAAGAGTTCCAGGAAGGGCTGAGCCTGGCCAGGTAGCCCCAGATCCCCCACCCCCACCCCTGCTCTCCATCAGGCATCCTCCCTCCAGCACCACCAAGCTCATGCTCTGATTGCCCCTTCTTGAGTCTGGCAGCTCTTGACAGCCTGGTTTTTGATGGGAGAGCCCTGGGTTGGCCCTGCCTCATCCTCTGTCTCACTGTTTCTTTTTCTTTTATTTCTCTGTCTTCCTTGGGCAAAATTCACCCCATTCTGGCTTAACTCATGAGAGAGTCAGTCCAGTCCTTCTCTAGGGCCTTAAAACTTTGAATTCCTAGGCTACAAACTTGCCCTCCAATTTAGAAGCCTGGTTAGAGCCCACATTTACTCACTTTTATTTGCTGTTATGCCAGAACCTCAGATCTTCCTAACATGCTCCATTGACGGCACAAAAGGAAGGAAATGATGCTCCTCTCACCTCTTCCACTTCCTCTTTCTGTGCTGTCCCCAGCCTGGCCCCCGCTGGCCACTCAGACTGTGTTATCTCCTCTTTTGTACATCTGCCCAAGGCACCCTTCAGCTAAGGGGTTATGTATAATCCTTTCCCCAACTGCCAGTCCCTTGCCTTGCTACAAATGCATTTGTTTGAAATCAATATATGTATTCATTTATCAAAATATCTTCACTTACATATTTACTACATGTTAGAATTACAGAGTGGTTCTCCAGACATCTGCTTTGTGGGTTAGGCCAGGCTGAAGTTATCACATCCATTTTGCAGACAGGGTTGCCAGGATTCAGAAACCCCGTCACTTGCCCAGAAACACAGTTGATAGCAGCCACATGGACTTTCTGACTCCTACTCCGGTGCTCTTTTGCTCATTGTCTTTGTGAATATTCTGTGTAATTATTTGCTCCTTTTTGCTCCCCAGCCCCTCCACCTCAGATCTGGTTAGTGATTCCAGGACAGAATTATTGCTTGCTCATCTGAACATCCCCCACTGCATAGCCCAGCCAGCACTGGACACACAGTAGACACTCAGTAAATGTTTGTTGGGAGAATGCAGGCTTTGATGTAGAAAGCCTTCCTAGAATTACTTGCTCTTACCTAACAGTGGTCTTACCGCTTCTTATACAAAGACTCCACCACCTGAGGCTTTCTGGGACTCAGTTTCCCTGTCTGTAAAGTGACTATAGAGCAAGCTTATCCAACCAACAGGCCGCATGCAGCCCAGGACAGCTTTGAATGCAGCCCAACACAAATTCTTAAAATTTCTCATAACATTATTAGTTCAGCCCAAAGCCAGGGACAAAAATAGCAGCAGCTGGATGCACCCTCGGGTTCCAGGCAAAGAAGATCACATACTGTAAGGCTAGGAAGTTGGTGTTTGCAGGTGACCCTGGAAGTGGGTAAGTGTCATGGACAGGATGAGCTGTCAGCTTTCTGGAGCCAGTTTCATTTCTTGGGAACTATTTTCTTTTAAATATTTTCAAGGTCTCTGGAAACTGAGAAAGCTGACAGCTAATCAACAGTTGAGAACTGGGGACCTTGCCTGACCACCCCTTCACTTTATCACCCCATCTGTCCATCCAGGAAGCCCTTCCTGAGGGCCTGTCCTGGGTTTCATTCCAGACAGGGCACTAGGGGCCGAACAATAATGCTGATGCTTACATGGCACTTGGGCTGGACAGGACACTGTTTCAAGTGCATTACATGTATTAATTTGTCTAATCCTCCCACGAACCCGATGTTATAATGAGGAAAATCAGGCACAGAGAGTTAGGTAACTTTTCCAAATTGCAGCACTGGGATTTGGACCAGACTACCTCCACCCCCACCCTCAGCCTCCACCCAGTTAGTTTACAGGATTTTCCCTTCTGAATCAGATATTTTCCCCTCTCCCCAGATACATTTTGTAGTTTTATGATGTTGTTTTTCTCTTTTCTTTTGTTTTCTTTTTTTCTTTTTTCTTTTTTTTTTTTTTTTTGAGACGGAGTCTTGCTCTGTCGCCCAGGCTGGAGTGCAGTGGCACGATCTCAGTTCACTGCAGCCTCCGCCTTCCAGGTTCAAGTGATTCTCGTGCCTCAGCCTCCCAAGTAGCTGGGATGACAGGCATGCGCCACCATGCCTGACCAATTTCTTTTTATGGTTAAGGGTGGGGCCAGGGTTTCCCTAGGGGTTAAGGCACTATTACGTTTTTTAAAATGTCAGTCGGAGGCTGAGGTGGGTGGATCACCTGAGGTCAGGAGTTCAAGACCAGCTTGGCTAACACAGTGAAACCCCGTCTCCACCAAAAATACAAAAAAATTAGCCAGATATGGTCCCATGCACCTGTAGTTCCAGCTGTTCAGGAGGCTGAGGCACAAGAATTGCCTGAGCCCAGGAGGTGGAGGTTACAGTGAGCCGAGATCATGCCACTGCACCAACCTAGGTGACAGAATGAGACTCTGTCTCAATCAATCAATCAATCAAGTGTTAATTGGTGTTTTCCCACCATTCACTTTTCTTCTGCTCAAACAGTGAGACTCAGGAAGGGTCTTTGAATTTTTTCTTGGTCTTTGAGTACAGGAGTTTGAGAAAATTAAGGTTCTCTTTCTATTCTATACCAAACTAAAAAAGCATTCCCCAGGCTGAGAAGGTAAGAGGCAGCAGGGAAGCAGGTCAGTCTAAACATTAGAGGGACACCGTGCCCTGTCTTATGGCCACGGTCCTGGTGTTTGCGGGACTTAGGGGGCACAGGGACATGGCACATGGGGAGTCCAAGGTGAACAGGGCCACAGGTAGCCCCATCCCATGCCCTAGCCTGAAGCAATCAAATGAAGTCTTCAATGGGCTGCCAGGCCTGAAGGTGCTAGTGGACTACCCTGAGTGTGGACACATAGGCTGATGTCCAACAGGGAGGCAGGATGCTGATGTCTAAGTGGAGGCCCGTGTGGACAGGTGCCACCAAGAACCAGGTGGCACCATGCTCCCCTGCACCTGGGCAGTAACCAGTTTCCTGGAACTGATGTAATTCTGGGCGAGTGGTGACCCTCACAGTGACTGCAATTAAGTTTCCATATCCTGTAGAATGGGGGTCTCAAAATAGAAAATAGCTTCTTCTAGAAAACTACAATCATATTTTCTCATCTACATGAGTGTGTGGCCAGAGGTGCTCACTGAAGGCACCTTTGGAATCCCCTGGCAGAGCTCCTGTAGCAGGCACCATTGGTGGCCCTCGTCTACCAGAGCTCCCACCTGCTGGGCACACACTGGCTGACTTCCAGCTGTGAGTACCCACACTGCTCTGTCTGTGGCCTTGCTCTGGCTAACAAAGCCTGTCTTGCCCCTGCCCACCAGTGCAGCATGCCAGAAATTCCAGGACATAATGTTCCCTGCCCCCCACCAAGAACCCTCAACCAATGACTGAGGTCAGTTGGTGCCTAAATACCCCACCTCCCTTGCCCTTGGGTGGAATAACTCCAAGGTGTGTGCACTGCACTGTCTCCCCGAGTTTCTCCTGGGGGATTAAGTCCAACCACCCACAGGGGAAGCTGGTTTGCTAACACACTCTTCACTGGCTGCCTTCCTTCCTCTGCCTCACCTCCCCACTCTCCTGCCCATGTCTCCAACTTCCAGATAAACTGTTAGTGGGACCATATGACATTGCCAATATTTGAGATTTTTGACCTATAAAAATGGCAATTTCATATAGTTCAACCTAAAATTTACACTCAAATCTTTGTCTCAGAGTCTGCTCCAGGGCTATTTCCCCTCCAATGCTTATCTACCTGCTTTATCCAAAGGCTGTCCGCTAGGTCTCCTCCTGTCCCACAGCACAGCGGGTTCCCGGAGAGGTAGAGGTGGGACAACAGGGAGGCGGCTCCAGGAATGAGCACGTGCCCCACCCACATCACATATCAGAGTGGGAAGTGTGGCTACAAAATGAGGAAGTCATGAAAGATATGGAAATGTTGTAACTGGAAAAGTGATGGAATGTTTGGAAGCAGAAGCTCTGGGTGTGGGCTTGGAATCTGGAAAAGGGAACATGGGTTCATGGCCTGTTTGGCCTGATCCCAGTCCTCTCTCCTAAAGAACTCAATTCCCTCTAAATGGAGAGTTCTGGGCATATAAATAGGCTCAGGAACACTTTGGCTAAATCAGAACACCAGGCATAAACATAGCACTTTGCCATCTCAGTTAGCCACCCAGCAAAATTAACCTGTTTCTGTGGCTCACAGAGTATGGAGACCACCCTGCTAGACAGCAGGGGAGGAGGAGAATTTGGATGAGAATCCAGGCCTGTTTCCATCTAAGCAGTTATTTTTGTCTGTATCCCACAATAGGAAATGCATTTTACCAGGCAGTCTATTGTACACATACACACACCTGAAAAAAAAAGTTTCACAAAATAATATTACCCAACTACCAATGAAAAGGATAGTTTCTATTCCTTTCTGTTTCATAGTTTTTAAAAGCTGAACATGAGCTGGGTATGGTGGCTCATGCCTGCAATCCCAGCACTTTGGGAGGCTGGGGGGGCAGATCACTTGAGGTCAGGAGTTCGAGACCAGCTTGGCCAACATGGTGAAATCCCGTCTCTACTAAAAATACAAAAATTAGCTGGGCATGGTGGTGGGCACCTGTAATCCCAGCTACTCTCGGGAGGCAGGAGAATCGCTTGAGCCTGGGAGGCAGAGGTTGCAGTGAGCCGTGATTGTGCCACTGCACTCCAGCCTGGACAACAGAGAGAGAGAGACTCCATCTCAAAAAATAATGAATAATAAATAAATAAATAAATAAATAAATAAATAAATAAATAGCTAGACATGACTCATTAACTGATTTCTTTCTTTTTTTTTTTTTTTTTTGGAGACAGAGTCTTACTCTGTCACCCAGGCTGGAGGGCAATGGTGCAATCTTGGGGCTCACTGCAACCTCCACTTCCCAGGTTTGAGCAATTCTCATGCCTCAGCCTCCCGAGTAGCTGGGATTACAGGTGTCCACCACCACACCTGGCTAATTTTTGTATTTTTAGTAGAGATGGAGTCTCACCATGTTGGCCAAGCTGGTCTCAAACTCCTGATCTCAAATGATCCACCTGCCTCGACCTCCAAAAGTGTTGGGATTACAGGTGTGAGCCACCATGTAATTAACTGATTTCATAACCTGCTTCTGGGTGGTGACCTTCAATTTCAAATATTGCCCTTGAGTGTATTCAGAAATGAATTGGGTGTGGACAGAATTTCTGGGCTTTTCCCAAACACTGTGCATTTGCTGTCAGCCTCTGTCCCATTCAGGGATTCAGGAATTGCTGGACTGAGCCAGAGGAACTTTGAAAAATTCATAAGGTGAAGAGGGTTCCTATCTCCTAATCCAGTGATTAAAATGAGGCATTGCTGTCACCTTCATATTTTTTGCCACATCCCTCTACCACCTATACTATGTATTATTGTATAAATATATCTTCTATAAATCAACTCACCACTCTTTAAAACTTAAATACTCACTCTAGTCCTGTTTTATGGAATATTATCAGTAAAATCACACATTTGATGTTATTTCCCAAGGCAAACAAATAAAAACATAACTAGAAAAATAAAACATGTTTGTCCATTCCACCTTAACTCATCAAACCCATGACTTTCTCTGCCCAGTTCCTTTCACAAGAAAACCATCCTGTCTCTGCACAGTTTGTGCTGTTTCTAATGCCCAGAAAGGCCTCAACCTCTGTCTACCTCTCCAATGACAATCAGTGCCATCACTGTGGCCGACAACACCTAAACTCATCTAATCTTCACACCAACCAACCCTATGAAGCGGTAGGGTCATTTCCATTTTACAAATGAGGAACTGAGGCACAGAGAGATCAGGAAGACTTGCCCAAAATCCCAATGCTAGGGAGTGATGGAGCCAGGTTTTGAATCCAGGCTGATGAGAGAGCCTGTGTGCCTAACTACTAGGTGTTCCTGGCCCCTTCTAAAGCTGCCCATCCCAGTCTCAACCCTAGTATCATCCCGTAGAGGACACGTTCCTGGACTACCCAGCCCATTGGATTACTCTTCGTATGTTCCCAAAGCACTCACTTCTTGCCTGTTTAATTCATCTGGAGGTAAATCATAACCTATAGAGACATTGCCTCTACTAGGCTGGGGACTTCTTGAAGGCAAGGCTGCATCTTATTCCTGTGTGTATTTCTGGGTCCAACAGCCCATCTGAGGCCTTTCGTGTCTGCTGAACACTGTGATCTTGCCTTGTTTAACAAACACTTAGCACTCTTTGCTAGTTGTCAGCTCACAGGCAGGTTTCCAGCAAAGCCCTGGGAATAGTCAGGGGCAAAGGGAGAGGAGTCAGAGGCAACAATTAAAGGAGTCTTAATCTAAGGTCCATGGATCCCCAAAGGACCCATACCTGGTATGCAAGAGATCTGAGCTTACATGAGAATAAGATTACATCCTTATTTTCACTAACCTCTAATGGAAATTCAGTATTTTCTTTCATTGGAATGTCACCCATGACTTTGTCACCAGTGAAATCCCTGATAGTTTCATTTCACATTACCATCAGAACAGACATCTAAAAATATTTACATTCATTACTTCCTGGAAATTCAGACCCACTGCTAGATCTTGTATTTAAGGCATTAATAAAGATACACATAAATAGCACACGCTATACTATAATTTTTTTAAAACTTGGTAACTATTTCAATGGGATTGACATTCTTAGAAACTTCAGTAGAATTGATAATCATATGTGTTTTATTTTATGCATTTTAAAACATGATTCTGAGAGGGGCCCCATAGGCTTCACCAGACTGCTGGGGGTAGGGGTGGGGGCCATGGCACAAAAAAGGTTAAGACACTTGGCCAGGCTCCTTGACTCACACCTGTAATCCCAGCACTTTGGGAGGCCGAGGTGGGCGGATTGCCTGAGGTCAGGAGTTCGAGACCAGTCTGGCCAACATGATGAAACCCTGTCTCTACTAAAAATACAAAAAAATTAGCCAGACGTGGTGGCATGCGCCTGTAATCCCAGCTACTCAGGAGGCTGAGGCAGGGGAATTGCTTGAACCAGAGAGGTGGAGGTTGCAATGAGCCGAGATTGCGCCATTGCACTCCAGCCTGGGCGACAGAGCGAGACTCCGTCTCAACAAAAAACAAAACAAAACAAAAAAAAGGTTAAGACACTCAACATAGAGTATCATAATTTAGAAATGGGTTTTGGACCCAGACGGACTGGAATTCAAACGTTAGTTTTGCCACTTACAAGTCAAGTTACCCAGGCCTCAGTTCCCTCATCTGAAAAATGGGCATTACTACCTACCTTATGAGATTAGCATTTAGCACCTGAGTAAAGGTGATTTCCTAACCCAGCTGGACTTCCTAGTGAGGCAAACAATGCGTGGGGATAGTGGAGCCCTCAGCTGGGATAGGGTCCACCTTTCTCTCTGCTTCCTATCCCTCCCACCAGAGAAGTCATTTGTCTCCCTCAGCCTGGCGAACCCAGCTCTCTGTAGCAGGACAGAAAGTCTGGCCTCAGACTCTTCTTGGATACTCTATTTCATTTCCTTTTTTTTTTTTTTTTTTTTTTTTTTGAGACGGAGTCTCGCTCTGTCGCCCAAGCTGGTGTGCATTGGCGCGATCTCAGCTCACTGCAAGCTCCGCCTCCCGGGTTCACGCCATTCTCCTGCCTCAGTCTCCCGAGTAGCTGGGACTACAGGCGCCAGCTACCACGCCCGGCTAATTTTTTTTGTATTTTTAGTAGAGACGAGGTTTCACCATGTTGGCCAGGATGGTCTCAATCTCTTGACCTCGTGATCCACCCGCCTCGGCTTCCCAAAGTGCTGGGATTACAGGCGTGAGCCACTGCGCCCGGCCTGCTCTATTTCATTTCTGAGCCCAGGATCTGCACCCACACCCAAAATTAGCTGCGACTATCAGAGACTCCCAAGACAGACCAGACATCTTGCTATTATATTTTAAGCCTTTACATGCACTTCTACATTTGTCCACTGGATGGGACTGGTTCACATTCTAAACACCGCAGCCCAACAGGGCAGAGTCAGAACTTCACTCAGAGAGCTGGAGCATCCGATCATCCTCTCCTGCCTCTCCCATCTCACTCAGATTTATTTTTATCTTTTCAAATACAGCCTGATGTACCAAAAAGTTCTCACTTTGTGCGCCTTTCCAGTAACCTACCACCCTAAGTATGGTAGCAACTCTCCTGACTTCTAACATTACAAGTTAGCTTCTAAAAATGCTAACCGGTCGTATAGAACATATTCTTTTGTGTTGGTTTCATTTGTTCAACATTATGTTTGCGAGATGACGTGCAGTTGCAGTTCATTCATTCTCATTGCTTCAAAGGCTCCATTGGGCAAATATGCAAAAAATGTATTTGTATCCTCATCTATTGCCTTGGCATTTGAGTAGTTTCCAATTTGGGGTTTGCTTTGCTGCTGCACTGTTGATGGGAGTTATCAGCCCTTCAAACCACCCAAGATTGATTCGGAGCTCCAGACTGATGATGCCACACACTCATCAGGAGGATTTGAAAAGAGTTACTACTCACGTAATGAGGCTTTCTGGGGACAGCAGGGCCCACACTCAAGCAAAAGAAGGGGCACGTGGCTCTGGTTTTTATAGTGGCTGGGCAGAGGGCAGGTGCGTCCAGGATGAAGGATCCCTCTCCCACAGGCTGGAGTTTGTGTGGTTTGAACTGCCCGTCTGCACCAAGGAAGGGAGCACCATGAGCTACCTGTAGGCATGTCCAGGTGTGGAGAAAATGAGAAAGGGGAGTGATGGGGCTTGAAAGCTGTCATAGTAAAACATCAAAAATTGAGTCAGACTCTTTATTCCAGAGTTATTACAAATGTGCTGCTATGAGCATTCTTATTCAAGTCTTTTCTGTTGGGTATGTTTCGAGGACGTTTGACTTTGGCAAATACTACCAAACAGTTTTTCAAAGTGTCTGCAGCAAATTACATTCCCTCTAGCAACATTTACAGATGCACCACAGTTTAATCCATTCTGTAGCTGAGGGACATTTGGTTTGTCTCCAGTTTTTTTGTAATCAACAAATAAATCTGCCACAAACATTCACGTGCAGATCTTTGTGTGAACATAGGTTTTCATTTCACTTGGGTAAATACTTAGGAATAGAGTGACTATGTTGAATGGTAAGCGTATACTTAACTGTGTAAGAAACCAGTCAAACTGTTTTTCCAAAAGTGACCATACCATTTTTGCATTTCCACCCACAAAATATGAGAGTTACAATTGTTTCACATTCTCCTAAGTTCTTGGTATGGTCAGTCTTTTTACTTTTAGCCATTATAATGAATGTGAAGTAGTATCTCATTGTGGTTTCAGTTTGCATTTCCTTATGAACTAATGACATTGAACGTATTTTCATATGCTTCCTTGACATCCCTATATCTTCTTCAATGAAAGTGTTTTTTCACATATTTTGCCCATTTTTTACAAAATTGGGCTGTGTGTTTTCTTACTATTGAGTTCAGAGGATTATTTCCATATCCTTTATAAAAAGTCTTTTATCAGATATATGATTTGCAAATATTTTCTCCTAGTCTGTGTCTTGTGTTTTATTCTCTTAGTGTCTTTTGAAGAGCACACATTCTTAATTTTGGTGAAGTCCAAGTAATTGACTTTTTCTTTTATGGATTATGCTTTTGGTGTCTTAACTAAGAAATCTTTGCTTACCCTAATGTCATAAAGATTTTTTTTCTCTTATGTTTTCTCCTAGAAATTTTATAATTTTAGGTTTTACTTTTAGGCCTATGATTGATGAGTCTGTATTAGCAAACCTTGGAAGGCTATTTGAAAGAGGTTTCTGATAATATAAATTTATGTATCTTCAGTGTCCAGTAAACACTGAAAATACATAAAGAGGGTCATATTTCTGTACATAAAGTCAAATGTTAAGGATTTCTGCTAATTCAGAATTTAACTTTCAAAATAAATGGCATGGAAGTCCAGGGAGATGGGGGCTGATTTCCTCTTTGTATACTCCCTTTTATAGATGTATTGCCTACAGCGTATATTTAATAGTGTGACAGTTAATTTTAGATGTCAACTTGACTGAGTTAAGGAATACCTAGAAACCTCATAAAGCATTATTGTGGGGTGTGTTTGTGAAGGTGTTTCCGGAGGTGATCAGCATGAGAGTATGAGTGGACTAATGTGGGCGGGCACCATCCAATCTGCCAGGGACCTGGAGATAACAAAAACAGAGAAAAGGTGATCTGCATCCATCTATCTGCTGGAGCTGGAATACACTCTTAGTCTCCTGTCAGAACTGCAGGCTCCCAGCTGGTCGCAGTGGCTCATGCCTCTAATCCCAACACTTTGGGAGGCTGAGAAGAGAGGACTTCTTAAGCCCAGGAGTTTGAGAACAGCCTGGGCAACACAGTGAGACCCCATCTCTAAATATATATATATTCAAAAATTAGTCAGGCATGGTGGCATGCACCTGTAGTCCCAGCTACTCCGGAGGTTGAGGTGGGAGGATCACTTGAGCCTGTGAGGGTGAAGCTGCAGTGAGCTGAGATTGCACCACTACACTCCAGCCTAGGCGACAGAGTGAAACCCAATCTTCCAAAAAAAAAAACTTCAGGCTCCCCAGCCCCTGGACTCCAGGACTTAATACCAGTGGCCCCCCTGCTTCTCAGGCCTTTGGCCTTAGACTGACAGTTACACCATCCGTTTCCCTGGTTCTCAGGCCTTCGGGGCTTGGATAGAGCCATGTTTCCAGCATCCTAGGGTCTTGCACATTATGTCCCAAGGGTGAAATAAACACAATCAGATAACTTTAAGGAAGATGCCAAATCCTGTGTTACACCAACCATTGAGTTGTCAGACAACCACTGCAAAAGACATTTGAAAGAGAAACACGGTGATCAGAGGTGGGGAAGAAGGACCTTCCTGGTAGGCACCAGTAAACTATGACAGTAAGCAAGATGATGACTTAAGAGTCCAGCAGTCAGTATTAGCCCAGCCCATTTCATACACTAGTCCTGAGGTTATTTATCTGGCATCTCCACACAGTCCTAGGAAACTTATCTGTAGTCTTCACTCAGTCCATCTTGAATGCCACACAGTAACTCCCTTTCCTTTCTTGGCTAAAACTGTCGCAGGGCTTTGGCAGACTCTGAATTGTATTCAAGTTCACCTTGTGCACTGCTGGTTGTGCACCTTGTGGCTTGTCACCCTCCTATCCTCAAGAATGGTCTAGAGCCCCACAGAGTCATGACAATGGTCAACAGAACGCCACAGGGCCCTTTCCATCTGAGTTGTTTCTCTGGATTTCTTTTAATAGACCCTGGTATACTGCTGGAATAGAGGTGCCGTATGGAGTCTAGGGTGGTCTGGGCTGCAAAGGAACACAGAACCTAAGTGAGGACTTGATAATAAGAAAGCAACAGACAAGTAAGAAACCTCTTGGGGTTGGAATGCCAGCTAGATAACCATGTTGATATGGCCTGAGTCCCAGGATCTGGTGGATTGTGGAATTGCAGCTCTAGGGTTCATCTTGATCCTTGGAAGAGATTCAGGGCACTTAAAGCCTTATTACAAAGTTTTATTTAGTTTTGCTGGTGCTACAGTTTTGCTTTTATCTCATCACAACTTTGGAGGTGGGAGAGAGGTGTGGTTTGTAATTTATATATATGTTTGGAAAATTGTTCCATAATACGTGAATTACTCTCAGTTTAGATATGAGATTTTTCTGGGGAGGAATGCATTCCTGGAGCAGTTCTTCTGACTGTAGTAATACCTGCCTTTCTCAGGGGTTGCCTCAGACTACCCAGAGAATAAGCATAACACAACTCAGACCTGGCAGACAGCTTCTAATGCACCAATCATCTCTTCTAGGGTGCTTCTATGATGCTCCTTCACCCAACTGTACCCCATAGTAAGATGCCCAGGCTCGGGTGGGCAGAAGGAGGAAGGAGGGACCTGGGAACCACGAGTCACCCATTTCAGTGGAGGTTGAATACGCAGAATCAGGAAGCACAGAAATCCACACCCATATCATAATGAAATTGCAGCACACCAAAGGCAAAGAGAAGATCTTTAATGCAGCCAAGGAAAAAGCACAGATTACAGAGAGCAGACGCTGAGACTGAGAGTAGACTTCGTAGTGGCCACAGTGGGAGCCGGAAGCCATGGGATACAGTGAGTGTGACTTGGGACTCTTCACCATCAAATTAGAATCAGGAGTTGAAATTGATGGTTGTTCAAGAATCTGCTCACGGTAAAGGGCATTTCCAGATGGGAAACAGAATTTATCACAACACGAAACTCAGGAGAGTGAGACTCAAGGAACTCACTGAAGAACGTACTTCCAGCAGAAGGAGAGTGGTCCTGGAGAAAGGGTGTGATTCTGAGATAGGCAGATGAACAGAGCAGTCAGTGAAGACGTGAGCAACGGAAAGCAACGTGGACTCTAAAGCTCTGTTAACTGGGTGACCCTGGTTATCTGGGTTGCGGGGAGAAAAATTAGAGCCCTCACCAACACCACACAGCAAATAAGCTCTGAATGTTTTAAAGCCTAGAAGATGCTATGGGAGAGCATCTTCATGGGCTCTGGAGATGAAAGGCCTTCTTTAACAAGGTCCTAAATGCCCAGTGAAGGAAAACATTAAGAAATTCAGGCCGATCGTGCTGGCTCATGCTTGTAATCCCAGCACTTTGGGAGACCGAGTTGGGTGGATCGCTTGAGCCTAGGAGTTCAAGACCAACAAGGCAAAACCCCATCTCTACCAAAAAAGTGCAAAAATTAGCCAAGGGTGGTGGTGCGTGCCTGCAGTTCCAGCTACTCGGGAAGCTGAGGCAGGAGGATCACTTCAACCTGGGAGGCAGAGGCTGCAGTGAGCCGAGATCGGGCCACTGGCACTCCAGCCTGGGTAGCAGAGTGAGAAACTGTCTCAAAAAATAATAATAAAAAAAAAATTTGCCCGGGCACAGTGGCTCATGCCTGTAATCCCAGCACTTTGGGAGGCCAAGGCAGGTGGATCACGAGGTCAAGAGATCGAGACCATCCTGGCCAACATGGTGAAACCCCATCTCTACTAAAAATACAAAAAATTAGCTGGGCATGGTGGTGCGCACCTGTAGTCCCAGCTACTCAGGAGGCTGAGGCAGAAGAATCACTTGAACCCGAGAGGTGGAGGTTGCAGTGAGCCGAGATCACACCATTGTACTGCAGCCTGGCGACAGAGTGAGACTCCATCTCAAAATAAGTAAATAAATAAATTAATTAATTAATTAAAAAATTAAAATAAAAAAAATTACCCAGACATAGTGGCTCGAGTCTATAGTCCTACATATTTGTGGGGCTGAGGTGGGTGGATCACTTGAGCCCAGGATGTCAAGGATGCAGTGAGGCATGATCGTGTGACTGTACTGTAGTCTAAGCAACAGAGTGAGACCCTGTCTTCCCTACCGAAAAAAAAGAAAACACACAACATTTATCCATTAGGTTCTCGTCTTATATGGACACCCAAAACAATTGCATAGTAACATCAAAGATCATTGATCACAGATCACCATAGCGGTATAATAATGATAATGTGGCTGGGCACAGTGGCTCACGCCTGTAATCCCGGTACTTTGGGAGGCCGAGGCAGGTGGATCACCTGAGGTCAGGAGTTCGAGACCAGCCTGACCAACATGGCAAAACCCCATCTCTACTAAAAATACAAAATTAGCCGGGCGTGGAGGCGCATGCCTGTAATCCCAGCTACTCGGGAGGCTGAGCTGAATTGCTTGAACCTAGAAGGTGGAGGTTATGGTGAGCCAAGATCGCACCACTGCACTCCAGCCTGGGCAACAAGAGCGAAACTCTGTCTCAAAAAAAATAAAAATAAAAATAATGAAAATGTTTGAAATATTGCATGAATTACCAAAATGTGACACAGAGACACAAAGTGAACACATCCTGTTGAAAAAATGGCTCTTGTAAGACTTGCTCAACACAGGGTTGAAAATCTGGGTTTCTAAAAAAACACACATAATCACTAATATGTTTATCTGTATCCAATAAAAGAAAATGGCCTTAAAATACAATATTAATATGATCAATAAAGCCACAGAAGTCTGGTTTTGTAATGCAGTTTTTTTTTTAAATGATCTCTCAAATCGTCATTCCCACTAAGTAGTATGTGTGGTCAAATCCTATTCTAGAACTGGGCAGTACAGTAGTCACTAGCCATATTTGGCCATGAAGCACCTGAAATGTGACTAGTCTGAACTGAGAAGTACAAGCATAAAGCACATGTCAGATTTCAAAGACAGTACAAATAACGGAATGTAAAATATCTCATTAATAATTAATAATTGTATAGTGTACACTGCTTGGGTGATGGGTGCACCAAAATCTCAGAAATCACCACTAAAGAACTTATGCATGTAATCAAACACTATCTGTTCCCCCAAAACCTATTGAAATAAAAAATACTTTAAAAAATAAAAAATAAAAATAAACAAAATATCTCATTGTTATGTTGATTACATCTTGAGATAATTTGTTTATATTTTGGGTTAAATAAATACATCATTCAAATTAATTTCACTTGTTTCTCTTTAGGGCTTTAATGTTGACTATTAGAAAATTTAAGGCTGGGCAACTTAGTGAGCCCTCATCTCTACAAAAAAATTTATAAATTAACCCAAGCACAGTAGCTCATGCCTGTAATCCCAGCACTTTGGGAGGCCAAGGCGGGCAGATCGCTTGAGCCCAGGAGTTCAAGACTAGCCTAGGCAATGTGGAGAAACCTCATCTCTACAAAAAACACAAAAATTAGCTGGGTGTGGTGGCACATGCCTGTAGTCCCAGCTACTCGGGAGGCTGAGGTGGGAGGATCACTTAAGCCCAGGAGGCAGAGGTTGTAGTGAGCTGAGATTGTGCCACTGTACTCCAGCCTGGGCAACAGAGTCAGACCCTATCTCAAAAAAATAAAAATAGAAAAATTAGCCAGGTGTGGTGGCATGTGCCTGTAGTCCCAGCTACTCAGGAGGCTAAGGTGGGAGAATCGCTTGAGCCTAGGAAGTTGAGGCTGCAGTGAGCCATGATCATGCCACTACACTCCAGCCTGGTCGACAGTGAGACTCTGTCTCAAAAAAAAAATTAAAATGACACATACGGATCATATGGTGGCTCACCTGTTTTTATTGGACAGCACTGGTCTAGAGTATTTCATTGCTGTGCGTTCCGTATGCGGTGATGGAGTGCCCTAATCTGATAGATGAACTGGTGCAGGTTTTTGCATTTTCTTAATTTGATAGCACTACATTTTCTTTTTCTTTTTCTTTCTTTTTTTTTTATTCTTTTTTTGAGACAGAGTATTGCTCTGTTGCCCAGTCACCCAGGCTGGAGTGCAGTGGCGCAATCTCAGCTCACTGCAACCTCTGCCTCCCCAGTTCAAGTGATTCTTATGCCTCAGCCTCCTGAGTAGCTGGGATTACAGGTGCCCACCACTATACCCAGCCAATTTTTGTATTTTTATTAGAGACAGGTCCTCACTGTGTTGGCCTAGCTGGTCTCAAATTCCTGGACTCAAGTGATCTGCCCACCTCAGCCTCCCAAAGTGCTGGGATTACAGGCATGAGCCACCACGCCTAGCCTGATGGCAATGAATTTCTAACAATTAAGGGTCATGACATCTTAAGAGATGGAGGCTTTCTGGTATTAGGCTGTTCTTGGTGCAGTTGCCACTAGAGGAAAGGGGAGGGTCATCTCTATCTTTCCAAAAATCTCAGTCTCCAAAGTTTTGTGTTTCATTTCACTACCATTAAACCATACAATGATTTAATACCAATTCTAAGTACAAAATTCATAGACATAATTTCTGGCTGAATAAATTGGTTCTGCCTCTTTAAATTTCTAGTGATATTAAGGCCCATGTATTTCCCTATGTTCACTTGATTTTGAAACTATCAAACCTTTCACCTACTAGTAATTGCATTTTTGGCATCATGGTCCATGAAAGGAGAGTCAGGAGACAGTAACCACAGTAAGTTGAACAGGGAAAGTTTAATATAAAGATGTATTGACTATTTGAAGAGAAGTAACTACTACAAGAGAATTGAAGAGAACTCTAAAGAACATCCTAGGCAGAGGGAGACTACTTACAAAAGTACTAATTTGGAAGAGAAGGGAGCCCTGCCCCAAAGCTAGGATGCAGACCTCCTTTGAGAGGGTGCGATTGCAGCTACTGGATGGCACAGATGTTCAACTGGGTTGCCCTAGATGGAGCTCATCCACACTCAGCAGCTGGGGCTAGCAGGCAGGAAACTATGGGTCAAAACTGGCAAGCAGCATCCTGGGCAACTGAAGCTGGAGGGCAAGAAACCACTGCCATTGGCCAATGAAATTAGCCCTCCAGCGCCCCCTGCTGATAAAGTTTAGCATCATGCCAGCTGGCAAAGAAGAAATGTTTTAACGTCACAAAGCAATGAAGGTTGGATTTGAAACAGGCAGGCATTAAGTGACAAAAGGTACACCTCCTTTAAAGGTGGGGGGTCTGCTGTTTTGCTCTTGGGATATTTTTAACAGGTCCATAAGAGACTTTTCACTGAAAAGAATTTTCCCAACATCACTAAGGAGGTTTTGCAACTTCTCCTAGGTGAGCGTGGCAGTCTCGGATTTCACCTTTTATTTTTTGTTTTTCAACCCATCTCGCACACTGATAGCCTTTTACTCTTTAAGCCTCGTCTTCTCACAAATCTCTGGCTCCATCTGGCCACGATGAGAGTTTCTGTTTTTCTTTTTCTTTTCTTCTCTTTTTTTTTATTTTTTTTGCCTGAAGTTTAATTTCAGAAAATTATAGTCCCAGGATCACTCTCAGAAAACCACAGGTTTTTAGTCATTTCTGGTACACCAATCCCAAATTATACAGAAAAAAGACCAAAATGTTTAAAATTAACTGACTTGGGGGAGGTTGGAGTTCCCTTCCTCATGCAGACCGGAGCATCCATAGAATGTCTATCTAGCCTAAGGGGATATAGAATGCACCTGATTTTGAGGGGTCTGGGAAGAGAGGGATAAAGAGAGGCCACACAGTCCAACCAACACCCCAGCAGATTCAGTTTCTGATGCTTGCCTGAAGCAACAAAGACTTTCTGAAAATAAAAAAAAAAAGAAAAGAAAAAAGGCAGAACTTACACCTCATCACCAGGAGACAAAGGCAGGGAGGGGGACTTGAAAGAAACACATTACAGGATTTCACCAGCGGGGAGCTTCTTGTGTCCTGCACTACACCTCTTCTCCTCTCAGAGTCACTATTGCTCCATATCTTGTTTTCAATATGCCAAATTTGGGGGAGGGGACAGACAAAATTTTAAAACAAGATTTTGCCACTTTTAGGGGTTGCATTACAGAATGAAGGAAGAGGAAAGAAGAGTTTATCAATCAAAGGCTGGGCGTGGTGGCTCATGCCTGTAATCCCAGCCCTTTGGGAGGCTGAGGCAGGGAGATAACTTGAGGCCAGGAGTTCAAGACCAACCTGACCAAGAGGGTGAAACCCCCATCTCTATTTTAAAAAAAAATTAAATAAATAAGAAGTGCTTATCAATCAGAGGCTAACGACCAGCATCCTCCAATTCCTTAGACATACTTCCTTTGATACAGGAATACTATCTAAGACCCCCTCTATGATTGCCACATGGTCATTGGAGGAGGAGAGGCCTTGGGACAGTTAGGCAGGAAAGAGGAAGCCTCATAACATTCAGGAAGAGAAATATGAACCCTGTTATAAGGGGTATTTGAAAGAGGGTATTGAAAACAAGTCCCAATATTTGTTTAGTAAATATTAGACATCTATGAAAGAATCACAATGTTTGTTAGTTCAGAGTTTAGGTTTTGGAATATGAGACCTGAAACTGGATTATGGGGGCTGATTTTCTTTTGAGAATAGGGTCATGTAGGATGACCTGCTGCCCCTAAACTCTTCTTGCCTCTACGCATGTACCCCGGTGCCCTTTGCAGTCAAGGTACAGCCCCTTCAAGTTTTCCCATGTTCTGTTTTGTGTCTCATTTGCCTCTCAGTTGGCATGAAGACTAAAAGAGTTACGTCACATGGCAGAGGACAGAGTGCAGATGCAAGGGGTTGATGGTCAAGAGGTCCCTCTCCTAGTCCCAACTGTGCTATAGGAAGAAGGGCAAGCCCCAATCCTCTTTAGGCCACAGGGTCCCTATCTATAAAATTAGAGAGGGTACAACTCCACGGCCCTATCGGAAAAGTGATAGGATGAGTGACCCGAGGGAGCTAGAATATGGGGGAAAGGTGACAAGAATGAGCAGCAGAGCCAAGAGCTCATGGCCTGATCTCCTGGTAGGAACATTAGGGAAAGTGACTCACCCTGGGCCAACCAGAATTGCCCCTCATTCCTGGCCTACCACTCCCATTTTCTCCCTTCACTTCTTTGGGAAGAGAATTTCTGATGAGTCAGAGATGGTTTACCTTTGTCACTAGCTCAATAGGGGCTATTGCCTGGAACAGAGTAATGTGGATAATTCATTTGCATCTAGTGAGCTAATATTGTTTGGAAGCTGACACACCTATGTGGACTTATGAACAGCAATTTTCCTGTGCCATGCCTCTACCAAAGTCCACGTTTGCCACCTTCTGGTATTTTTGCATTGATGAAATGTGTATCTTACACATTCCAACCTCTGTGGCCTTTTACTCACCCTCATTTTCTTCTCCCCTTCTCTCCATCCAAAGATCGCCCATTCTTTCACCCTGTTCAAGTCCACTCTATACCAGGACACCTGCTCTGTTCCTTTTCTAACTCTTTAATTCCGTCCAATTTCAGATGGCTTGATGCTCCCCTCTCCCAGGAGTGTTTTGCCCTAAACTGACTGTCAATAAATGTGACCATGATGATCACAATAAAGATATCACTCATTTAGTCCACTAATATATACAACTATGGGCCTGCTCTTATATTATCCTCCTATTTCATTTAATGTGTGCTACCATAATTGCAGGTATTGTACTTCACATTATGATTCTATTTTCAGAGGTTACTAGAGAAAAGAGTTTGCAGTCTGTCTTGATAACCTTCTTCATCACACTGTATTCTTGAAAAGAATCCCCTGATTAGCCCCCCAAATCATCAGTCTTTGTCCTGAATTAGACAGAATAAAGTGTCTAACTGGCATGTGAGATAAATTCGCCGCTCCAAATCTCCATATCTCCAAATCTCATCCTCAGACCTTCCCAGAACATTCACAGACAGGTAGGCACTAGGAGAATAATAAGTCTCAGAAAACATTCCTTTTGGTTCCCCTTAAAACAAGATGTTGCCACTTTTAGGGGCTGCATTGTGGAAGGAAGGAAGGGAGAAGAAAGAAGTGACCTTCTCACAGTCACTTGATCTGACTTTCCTTATCTGAAATCAAAATATAATGCAAGCTGGCCAGGCGCGGTGGCTCACGCCTGTAATCCTAACACTTTGGGAGGCCAAGGCAGGTGGATCACCTGAGGTCAGGAGTTCAAGGCTAGCCTGACCAACATAGTGAAACCCCATCTCTACTAAAAAATACAAAAATCAGCTGGGCGTGGTGGCAGGCATCTGTAATCCCAGCTACTTGGGAGGCTGAGGCAGGAGAATCACTTGAACCCTGGAGGCAGAGATTGCAGTGAGCAGAGATTGCACCACTGCACTCCAGCCTGGGTGACAGAGCAAGACTCTGTCTCAGAAAAGAAAAGAAAAGAAAAGAAAAAAAAAAAAATATATATATATATATATAATGCAAGCATCCTTTGACATATCCTCCTGGGATTAGAATTTATGACTACAGCTCTTTCCTTTCCCTGTTGACTTTACACATGATTTTGCAGGCTTATGGTTTATTTTATGGAGAAGACTGAAGGGTGTGTGGTAGCTAAAGGGCAATTCATTTTTCTTGCTCTGCCCAAAGTTAGCAAACAACCATCAACAAGTCCTAAATGGGAGTGTGGGGGCGTCTCCCTGTGGGTGAGAGTGTCCACGCACAGGCTGGATGATGACTAGAAATCAGAAACCCTGAGGGCTGTTCCAGCCTCACAATTCCACAAGCCTCTTTCCCACGCATGGGGAGAGAGACAAAGTGAACAAGTCCAATCCCCTAGTGCCTTCATCTTGGCACTTGGTCAAATCTTGTCTTAAAGGTTTCCTACATTGGTATCTCGTAGATCTCTTAACTAAAATGTAGGTTCCCCAGAGGCAGAGTACACTGCCTTGCTTCTCCTTATCCATAATCCATTGTAGGTAGTTTATGGCTCTGGATTGACAAAGTGCTCAATAACCAGCAGATTCTTTCAGCCTTTCGATGACATGCTTTAAAGTTACCACTAGAAGTAAGGTTTCAGTGATATGGAGATACAGTTACAACATGGCTCTGCACAAAGAAACCCATAACATCAGAATTTAGAAAGACTGAATTGGAATAAAAGTTATAATACAGTTATAGGTGTTGGCAGAATTATAGAAATTCAAATGAAGAAACTACATTTTACTTAGGGAGATGGATTAAGAAATATTTGACACAAGAAATCCTTTGGACCTGTGACTCAAAGAATGAATAATGTTTAACCAGGTGAAAAGTGAATACCTAAAACTGATATAAGTAAGACACTCCACCCAACAACTGCAAAATACATGTTCTTCTCAGGTGCACATACAGCATTCTCCAGGACAGAGAATATGTTAGGCCATATAACAAGTCTCAATGCATTCAGAAGAACTGAAACCATATATAATATCTTCTCCAACCATAATGGAATTAAACTCAATCAATAACAGAAGGAAAAATTTGGGGAATTCAAAACCATGTGGAAATTAAACAACACACTCCTAAATAACCAATGGGTCAAAGAAGAAATCACAAGGGAGATTAGAAAATACTTTGAGATGAATGAAAACAAAAATAAAATGTACCAAACTTATGGGACATAGTAAAAGCAATGCTTAGAGAGAAATGTGAATACAGATATTTTTAAAAAGAGACCCCAATTCAGTAAACTAACTTTTCGCCTATGATTCTGGAAAAAGAAGGGCAAACTAAACTGAAAGCAAGCAAAAATAAAGACAAAATAAATATTGGAGTACAAATGAATGAGAGAATATGAATACAATAGAGAAAATCAACAAAACCAAAGGTTGTTCTTGGAAAACATCAGCAAAACTGACAAACTTTTAACTAATTGACTAAGAAAAAAGGGAGAAGACTCTAATTGCTAAAATCAGAAATAAAAGAGAGAGAATCACTATAGAAAAAAAGATTATAAGAAAATACTATGAACATCTGTATGCCAATAAATTAGATAATTCATATGAACAAATTTCTAGAAAGACATAAACTACCAAAACTCTCTCAAGAGGAAAAAGAAAATCTGAATAGACCTATAACAAAGAAAGGAATTTCATTAGTAATCAAAAAATGTCCCACAAAGAAAAGCCCAGAACCAGATGACTTCACTGGTAAATTCTACCAAATGTTTAAAGAATTACCACTAATCCTCTCAAACTCTTTCAAAAAACAGAAGGGGAAGAAACATTTCCCAACTCATTCTATGAGTCCAGTATTACTCTGATACAAAAACCCAACAAAGACATCACAAGAAAAGAACACTACACACCAATATCCCTTATGGACCATATATAGATTCTCAGACACACACAACTCCCTAAACAACATACTAACAACCCAAATCCAACTACAGATATAACGGGTTATACACCATGACTAGTTAAGCTATTTGCCAGGCATGCAAGGTTAAACCGTTCAACATCCGAAACTCAAACAATGTAAGACAACATATGAAAAGAATAAAGGACAAAAACCACATGATCACCTTAACAGATGCAGAAAGAACATTTGGTAATCTTCACCACCTTTCCTGATTGAAAAAAAAAAAAAATTCAATAAACTAGGGAACATCCTCAACCTGATTAATGGTATCTACAAAAAAAAAAAACAAAAAAAAAAAAACCCAGAGCTAACATCACACTTAATGGTAAAAGACTGAAATCTTCCCCCTCCCTACCTCAGATCACAAACAAAACAAAGATGCCCACTTTCACCACTTTTATTTGACATTGTACTGGCATTTCTAGTCAGAGCAGTTGTGCAAGAAAAATAAAAAGCATTTGCACTGGAAAGGAAGCACTGAAATTTCCTCTATTGGCAGATTACATGATTTTGTATATAGAAAATCCTAAGAAATACACACACACACACGCACACACACACACACACACACACATCAGAGCTAACAAGTTATCTCAGCAACATTCAGGATACAAGATCAATATACAAAAAGCAACTGTATTTCTATAAACTAAAAAGAAATTAAGAAAACTATTATATCTACGATAACATCAGAAAAAATAAGATACCTAGGAATAAATTTAACAAATGAAGTGCAAGGCCTATACACTAAAAACTGTAAAACATCATGGAAAGAAATTAAAGTAGACCTAAGTAAGTGGAATTACATTTCATGTTCACGGATTGGAAGACTAAAGGTTGTTAAGAGGGATGTACTCCCTTCATTGATCTACAGATTCAACACAATCCCAATCAAAGTTGCAACTGCATTTTTTACAGAAACAGACATGCTTATTATAAAATTCGCATGGAAATGCAAGGAACCCAGAATAGCCAAAACAACTTTGAAAAAGGACAAAGTTGGACTCACACTTCTTTTTTCAAAACTTACTACAAAGTCACAGTAATCAAGACTGTGTAGTACTGATATCAGAATAGTCATATAGATCAATCGAATAGAACTGAGAGTCCATAAATAAACCCAGGTATCCATGGCCAATTGATTTTCCACTTCACATCCATTGGGATGGCTATAATTCAAAAAGAGAAACATGGAGAAACTGGAACCCTCATACATTGCTGCTGTGAATGTAAAATGGCACAGCCACATTGGAAAACAATTTTGGTAATTCCTTAAGAACTTAAACATATGGTCTGGTATATGCCCAAGAAAATTGAAATCATATGTCCCTAGGAAAACACATATACACAAATGTTCCCAACATTATTCATGATGGCCCAAAATTGGAAACAACCCAAATGTCTACCAATGGATGAATGGATAAGCAAAGTGTGGTATATCCATGCAGTGAAATATTATTCAGCCATTTAAAAGGAATAAAGTATCGATACATGCTATGACATGGATGAACCTTGAAAACATTATACAATGTAAAAGAAATCTGATACAAAAGTCCATATATTGTACGATTCCATTTATATGAAATGTCCAGAATAGGCAAATACCCAAAATAGATTCATGGGGCAGGGGGAAGGTGTGGAGATGGAAGTGACAGCTAATGTGTGTCACTCATGTTTGGCATGATGAAAAATGTTCTGATTTTAGACAGTGTGATGAGTGTGCAACTTTGTGGTTATATTAAATTGCATAATTTAAGAGGCCAAATTTTATGTATATAGTCAGCCCTCTGTATTCATATGGGTTCCAAATCCATGGATTCAACCAACAAAGGACTGAAAATATTTTTTAAAAAAATTTAAAAATAACAATACAGCAATAAAAAAATACAAATTTTTTAAAATACAGTATAACAACTATTTACATAGCATTTACATTATATTAGGTATTATAGGTTGAGTATCCCTTATTCAAAATGCTTGGCACCAGAAGTGTTTTGGATTTCGGAATTTCCTGGATTTTGAAATATTTCAAAATATAAATAATGAGATATCTATGGGATGAGACCCAAGTTTAAACACATTTATTTATGCTTCATATACACCTCATACACATAGTCTGAAGTTAACTTCATACAATAATTTTGTGCATGAAACAAAGTTTTGACTGGGTTTTGACTGCAACCTATCACATGAGGTCAGATGTGAAACCAATCCCCTGTGGATACGAAGGGACGACTGTGATTGTCTCAGTGTTCTAAAACTCAGATCTAAGTTATGAAATCAGAATCACAGTGTGATATACTTAGTGTAGAACAAACTAGGACTAATTACCTTTATTTGATTGCTTGCTGCAATAAAGTTAAGGGAGAAAAGCAGAGCACAAAAGTCAATAGATTTTATTAATTCATTCCGCAAAAATGTATAGGTTTCTTGCCATCCTATGCAACTGTGTTAGTTCCCTCAGGGCATATACAAAGCTGAATGGTGCTTAGCTCCCCTCTTATGGTCTTAGAAGTTGATTGCATGGCTTAGAAGAGCACACAGTGCAGAGAGCCCAAAGAGGGTAAGTTCTGCTTGCTTACTGAGTATTGGACATGTCAGGGCAAGCCACCAAACTTCCAGTTCTGAACATCCCAGACAAGTCTGTCTAGGAAGAGAATGACTGGAGACACGAAGGCTGACAGGCTACACAGGAGAGAGACACTTGAATAAATTATAGAATGAAGGTCACACCCTGATCTCCCAGACAGGAGAGAAAGCAGTTGAGCATCCTTTTGTCTGGAGCCCCTGATTGAGGAGAGGGAGATATTGAGACAGATTACTCTGACTCCTGACCAAGTTCAGTACAAATTCCCCTAGGCAAGGTGGCAGGGGAGGGGATGCTGTAAGAAACAAAAGGAAAAACTCAAACGCAAAAGTCACTCCATGCTAGGCTTTATCGGAGATGAAGAAAACAAGAGGAAGGGATAACTTTTTAAAAGTGAAACCTGGATAGGAGAAGACTGTCCCGCCACTTCAGCAAAGTGAAGACAGGAGGCACAGCCTAGACCATGTGGGGCCTGGTGGAATAATGGGGCTTAGCCTAGAACCAAGTGAAAGGAAGGGGACAGCATCATGCAAAAACAAACACTGGAGTGAGCGTAATGATTGACTCACATCAAAGGAACAGTGTTGTGGTGGACACACAGCCAAGACTACAGAGAGGGGAAGAGACACAAGCCTGAGATCTGGTGGATACAGCAAAAAGATCCTAGCTTTCATGACTGGGGAAGGGGGGCAGATTGGAATAACAATTATTCTGTTACTGGTTTTATTCTTTTTTTTTTTTTTTTTTTTTTGAGCTGGAGTCTTGCTCTGTCACCCAGGCTGCAGTGCAGTGATGCAATCCTGCCTCCACCTCCCAAGTAGCTGGGCTGGGATTACAGGCGTGCACCACCACGCCTGGGTAATTTTTGCATTTCAGTAGAGACAGGGTTTCACCATGTTGGCAAGGCTGGTCTCGAACTCCTGACCTCAAGTAGTCCACCTGCCTTGGCCTCCCAAAGTGCTGGGATTACAGGTGTGAGCCACCGCACCCAGCCTGTTTTTATTTTTAACTGTGCCTGTTGTATTCTTCCCTCTCTGAGTTAGTGGGCCCTGGGAAGTTGAGGCTACACAGAATACAAAGCAAAATGCTAGAAGTGACTCAAGAAAATACAAGTACTAGGAAAAGGGAGTGTGTTTCAAAAGAGGGACAGAGAGCTTTAATTTAGAGACTGGGAAGAGATTCTATTCAGGTAGTGACATGTGAACTTAAAAGGATGTGAAAGGTTTTAAAAATTGTTTTGTGATTATAGCAATAATATAAATTTAGTTTCATAAATATATTTTTAAAAACGGAAATAAAAATCACGAAGTATTCTACTGTTCAGATAAAGCCACCATTACTATTTGAGGAGTATATCTTTCCATATTTTATTTATTTATTTATTTATTTATTTATTTATATCTGTCTCTATCTATCTATAAATACCTAGAAGTCAATGCATATAAATAAATATAGATGTAAACCTAAGTTGTATGTGTTTGTAAATATATACATATATGTATTTCAAAACAAAAGTTTTGATTGATAAAGATTCTGACAGGGGAAAGAGAAGATTGAAAAGTATATTCTGGCTGGGCGTGGTGGCTCACGCCTGTAATCCCAGCACTTTGAGAGGCCGAGGCGGGCGGATCACGAGGTCAGGAGATCGAGACCATCCTGGCTAACACAGTGAAACCCCGTCTCTACTAAAAATACAAAATATTAGCCGGGCGTGGTAGTGGGCCCCTGTAGTCCCAGCTACTCGGGAGGCTGAGGCAGGAGAATGGCGTGAACCCGGGAATCGGAGCTTGCAGTGAGCCGAGATAGCGCCACTGCACTCCAGCCTGGGCGACAGAACGAGACTCTCTCTAAAAAAAAAACAAAAACATATATATATTCTATAAGAGAGAGAACAATCTGAGCATAGGCAGCAAAAAGAAAAGATAGAGAGGCAAGAGAGTGTTCCAGAAAGGGCATGAGCTAAACAGTACTGGGTTCAAATTCTACCTCTGCCTCTATGGAAACCCAAGCAAGTTACCTAACCACACGGAACCTCAGTTTCCTCCTGTATAAAATGGGGGTAATAATACACACTTGTAGAGTTGTTTAAATGATCAGAGACACTTTCGTATGTCAAGTGTGTAGGTCAAGTGTGCAGCAGTGCACGTAGGAAATGGAAGTGAGCTAAACAGGACTCCTGTGTGCGTGTGCTGTTGGCGTATTGCAGACTGAGCAGCTGTATGTGGTTTTTCTTGCTTCTAGTGGAACACGTATGTAAGGAAAAGGGATGCCAGGGACAACTCACTCACTATAGCCTGTGGATCACAAGCATTCTGAATTAACGGTAAAAGCAAATTAGCCAGAAATCGTAACAGGTCTTTTAAAACTATTGATGAGGCCAGGCATGGTGGCTCACGCCTGTAATCTTAGCACCAGCACTTTGGGGTGCCGAGGCGGGTGGATCACGAGGTCAGGCGTTCGAGACTAGCCTGGCAAACATAGTGAAACCTCGTCTCTACTAAAAATTTAAAAAATTAGCCGGGCATGGTGGCAGCCACCTGTAATCCCAGCTACTCGGGAGGCTGAGTCAGGAGAATCACTTGAACCTGGGAGGCGGACATGGCAGTGAGCCGAGATCGCACCGCTGCACTTTAGCCCAGGCAACAGTGTGAGACTCCATCTCAAAGAAAAAAAAAAAAAAACTATTGATGAACTGTCCTTAAGCAATAACCCACCCAATTCCTAGAGAACTCACAAGCTGCACCTTAGCCCAGTCCCACTGCCTTGTGATTTCCTTCTCATCAGCTATATTGTACTAGGCAACAGGCCAAGGTTACTAGCTTTTTTTTTTTTTTTTTTTACTGTTATTTTAGTGCTCATAATCTTTGAAAATCTCTTCTGGCCCTCAGAAAGCAGGGTAACACAAGGACATTGGTGGCTAACATTTGACTGTTGGGTTGGGCAGATTATATTTCTTTTTTTTTTTTTTTTTTGAGACAGAGTCTTGCTCTGTTGCCCAGGCTGGAGTGCAGTGGCGTGATCTGGGCTCACTGCAAGCTCCGCCTCCCAGGTTCATGCCATTCTCCTGCCTCAGCCTCCAGAATAGCTGGGACTACAGGCGCCCACCACCACATCTGGCTAATTTTTTGTATTTTTAGTAGAGATGGGGTTTCACCATGTTAGCCAGGATGGTCTCGATCTCCTGACCTCGTGATCCATCCGCCTCAGACTCCCAAAGCAGATTATATTTCTTTTCTGGTTTTCCCTGAAACAGGGTAGGCAGGTTCCTGTCCCTGAGCAAAAACATCAACATACGGAGAGTCACTCAGGAAACCAATTTGGGTGAAGTATCTGTTTGCATAACCCATTTTTCTTCCAGAGCTATAAAAGTAATTATTCATCCATCTCTGACAAAGGAGACCATTATCCTGTTCTTACTGTGATTTGGATCTAATTTAGATGTCAACTACATTTATGAGTCCTCAATTTATTATGCAATCAAGATAAACAGATGGTGTCTCATAATCAGTATGAGGGCAGAATGACTTGGAGAGCTTGGAGATGAGCCAATAAAAACCTGTTTGCAGTGCCATTGAGTGTGGCAGTGCCTCCCAGAAGAGGTACCTCATTCTCACAGAATTAGCAGACCATAAAAACAGCCCTAATATTTGGGAGAGACAAAGTGAGGGAAATCAGAGAGGCAGTCAATATTCAAGGAAGTGCAGGAGGAGAAAGGGGGGCTCTGAAAGGAAGACTGTGTAAATGGTGGGTGAGCAGGAGGGCTAAAAAGCCAGAAGGGCCTGCAGCCCCTGCCTAGCTACTGCAGCCCCAATAGCTGAAAATGCAGCCAGCATCATTGAACTCAGCTGCTTACCTCAACTTTGCAGAGAGGCAGCCTTGAGTAATTCAATCAGTACTGACTGGAGGGCTCCTGTGTGCAGGTCACCAACAGGCTCTGTGGGCAATACAAAGAAGGACACAATAGAGGTTCTGCCGCCAGGGGGGTTGTAACCCAAGGTACATGCATAATCATGGAACTCAATATCATACCGTGTGCCAGGAAACAGTGAGGGAGCCCAGCTCTTTTCTACTGGAAAGAGCCAGGAAACAGTGAGGGAGCCCAGCTCTTTTCTACTGGAAAGAGCCAGGAAACAGTGAGGGAGCCCAGCTCTTTTCTACTGGAAAGAGCTGTTTGCCTGTGGTCAAAAGAAAGCTCTTAGTTCCAGTGATCAATGTTGTTTTGTGTAATCTAGTCCCATACTTATACAAATATAGATTATAAAAACAAATCAATCTTTTTAGTTACATAGAATTACATAAAATTATGAGTTTCTAACTTTAAAAATCAGGATATAACCCACATAAAACTGAATATTATAAAGACCAAAGTCTTCCTACTCATTCTCTACTAAAAGACATATTTAATAACAAAATATATGCAAGATAAAGTTATACAGACTTTTAAGAGGTGATGGTTGTGTTGTTAATCTCAAATTCAAAAGTCTTCAGAACAAGTAAAAGAGGCAGGAGAGCTTCGGCTTAGTCAGGAAAATTCTGTGCCCACCATCCCACCTGCCCCCCATTTCCCCCACCAACACCCCAGCAAAGAACTAACAGAAAGAACAAAAAGGAATTTGAGGAGCTGCAAAGAATCCAAGATCCATTTTTTAGTGACAACCTGACAGCATTTTGTTTGAAAATGTTGTCAGTAAAAACAATCTATGGGCCAGGTATGGTGGCTCACATCTGTAATCCCAACACTTTAGGAGGCCGAGCCGGGCAGATCACCTGAGGTCAGGAGTTCAAGACCAGTCTGATCAACATGGCGAAACCTTGTCGCTACTAAAAATACAAAAATTAGCTGGGTGTGGTGGCACTTGCCTGTAATCACAGCTACTCTGGAGGCAGAGACAGGAGAATTGCTTGAACCCGAGAGATGGAGGTTGCAGTGAGCCGAGATCGCGCCACTGCACTCTAGCCTGGGTGACAGAGTGAGACTCCGTCTCAAAAAAATTATGCCAATGTCTTTCCTTATTTGATCTGTTTAAGTGCTTTCCTGTGTAAATGATCCTCTCAACATTACTGCTTGTAGGAAGCAGCCAATTCTGGGCCAGTTTGCTCAGAGCACATCACTATGAAAGTGAAAACTCAGTCTCATGTCTGCTGTAGCTCTTCCCCTAGATCTTCATAGAGCTGACCCCTGGTCATTCAGTTCTCTGCTCAGATGTCACTGGCTGGATGTGAAGAAAGGAGGAAGTGGCATCAGGGATTGACCCAGCTTTCATGTTTGGTGAATGGGATGGACAGTTGTTCCATCAAACACGTCAGGGAATTTAGGAGAAAGTGCAGGCTTGTGCGGAGAGAGATGTAGAGAGCAGAGAAGAGGGGAGGAGAGAGATGGTTAACACGGCTCATTTATGGACACATGGAGTCTGTGGAATACCAAAGTGAAGACGTCCAACACAGTTGAATAGATAGCTCTGGAACACAGGCAAGAAGTGTGGCAGACAGAGGAGAGAAAAGAACATCAGCATACAGATGAGAATAAAAAACCATAAAAGTACATGAGATTACTCTAAGAGAAGGGCAGAGAGTAAGAAGGAAAGAGAGCACAGAACCCTAGAGCACACCAATATTTAAGGGACACAGGAAATAAATTCAGTCACTGTAACTAAGAAAGAATGACCAGACTGGAAGGAGAATGAGAAGAAGAGTGTCAATGGAAGATTCATAATGTCAAATATGATAGAAGAGTCAAGTAAGATATGGGCTGAGAAACTGAAATATGTCCATTGAATTATGTCCTTTACTATTGTTGTTTCAGTAGCGTGACAAGAATGGAAACCAGTGGGTTGAGAGAGCTGGGTTGGGGGGAAGATGTGGGATGATATGTACACTTTTTTCTCCTAAACTGAGGAGAAAGAAAAGAGAGCAATAGCTGGAGAAAGGATGAAGAATCTAGGAAGGAATCTTTTTTAAATGGAAGAGTATGAGAAGCCTGGATGCAGGGGCGAGGAGAGGCTGAAATTACAGGTGAGAGAGCAAAAAGCTGACAGATTCAATGGCAAAAAATGATGGAATCCAGAGCATAGGGTTTGATGGGTGTTCAGTGGGAGGAGGGTACCCAAAACCAGAAGAAACGACTGATGGAGACGCAGGTAGGGTAAGAGAGGAGGAAGCTGAGAGAATTTTTCAATGCTCTCTGTGAAAACGGTTAGTGGGGATATCAGGGGAATGGAAGTCGAGGCTGAACAAGAATAAATGAGAGAATTGATTTAGAGAAGGGGTCAGAAAACTTCACGGTCTAAAAAAGAAAAGTGACTTGCTTGAGGTTGCATTGCTGGTTAATGCTTAAGAAGATAGCAGCAAGAGGAAGGGGCCTGGTTTGGTGAGAGGATCTAACATGTACTGAGGCTCTATTACATCCCAAGCACTCTTCTTGGTGCCTTATGTATGGTCACTTAGATCACACAATGCTATCCTATAAGGCATATACTTACTAGTATCCCCATTGTGTTGATGAAAAATGTGAGGCTAAATAACGTGTTCAAGGTCATAATGTCCATAAGCATTTAAGCTGTTATTCAAAGCCGTGTCTTTTGACTTCAGGCCTGGTAGCAATCCAGGGGCCCAAAGCCAGTGCCTTTTCCACTCTACCAAATTTTTTTTTCATTAGTACTTGTTAAGTGTCCTGCTGTCCCCAACAGCAATAAAAAATACTGAGTGCTAGACAGGCATGGTGGCTCACGTCTGTAATCCCAGCACTTTGGGAGGCTGAGGTGGGCAGATCACCTGAGGTAAGGAGTTTGAGACCAGCCTGGCCAACGTGGTGAAACCCTGTCTCTACTAAAAATAGAAAAAAATAGCCAGGTGTGGTGGCAAACACCTGTAATCCCAGCTACTCGGGAGGCTGAGGCATGAGAATTACTTGAACCCATGAGGCAGAGGTTTCAGTGAGCTGAGATTGCACACTGCACTCCAGCCTGGGTGACAAAGCAAGACTCTACCTTAAAAAAAAAAAAAATGAACTGAGTGCCTCAGTTCATTGACTTTTTCCACTGAGTTTCCTCAGCGGAAAAGTCAATTCAAGACTAAAATATTTAAAGTATAATATTTTTGTTCACTACAAAAATTATCACTACATAAACACACAAATCCTGCTGCCACTTTGGTTGCTAATGGGAACCAGTTGATGAAACCAGCAATATAAAAGGTAAGACACTATGTAAACTAAAGAGATCAAAGGTGGTTTCTAGCTCCTAGCTTCTTCTTTGCTGAAGTACACCATATTGATGGTGAGCATCTTATATTTATGATTTTTATGGAAACCCTCAGTAACCAAAAGACATTTTAAAATGCAAAGTACACACACACACACACACACACACACACACACGAAACTATCAATTGTGTTTATAGGTTAGCTGAGTAGTATCTACAGGAACACACAAAAAAACCCACAGAATGTCGTAACAATTAACACATATAACACTTACTATATGCCAGTTAATGTTGGGGTTTTATATATCATTTAACACTCCCCAGAGTCCTACTAAGTAGGACCTATTATTGTACAAATGAAGAAACAGAGGTACAAGATGATTAATTAACTTGCTCAGTGTCACATAACTAGTAAGCAGCAAAGCAAACCCCAGAGCCTGTGGAGCCTGACTCATACCAAATTAAAAGTGGCTGTGACTTTTCTCCCTCTGGAGAGTTTTGAGCTTTCATTTTAGAGCTGTTCTTCCTAAAGGGTAGAGGAATGAACCAGGTACCTCCCTTGAGAATTAATGTTCTGGAATGCATAAAGTGTGAGAAAGAAAAATTGTCACCTTAGCAGAACATGGTCGGATATGATGCCAGCTGGTCCTTCTGGAAAAATATTAGTGTTTCTTATAAAACACCTGATAGATTTGAATAAGCAGATCAAGGAAGAGTCTGGTTACTTTTTGCCAAGAGAAAATTTTTTGTTTACTTAAAAGCTCCTACCTTTTAGGCAAGTTTTAAATACAACTTTGAAACATGCAATTAATGTGTCTGGGAAGTGTATTTTTGTCTAAAATGAACAGCTTAAGTACTATTCCATGACTCTGCAGTGTAAAGGGTACTAAATTGGAACACATTATGAATAGCCTGTTAGGGCAATTTTCTGACATGGAATCTTCTGATGGCCTGGCCCCTAGCCAATTCTCCCTGGGGACTGGTCTTTAAAGATTATTGCTGCCTCAAAGTGGCAGTCCTTGTCAAGAAGTAGAGATAACACTACTGCATGTAACTACCTCTACATCCTTAAGACCAAGGGGAAAATGGTCTCAATACACAGTATGTAATGGGTTATTACTGAATAGTTTTAAATTTTCTGGCTAAGGCTGACACTCCCTTTCTAATCCATTCTATTTCACTTCCAATAACCTCAAATGCCCTCTGCTCTTGTCAACATCCTGCTCCAACGTCTTCAGGCGGCACCTAATAGAACATTGTCCAGGTTCTTTAATTAACATGGAAGGTCCTCCCCACAGTGACTCACTTTTCATTATTCTCTCTGACTCTGCTCTAGTCACAAATGTTTGCCTTTTCACACTTGCTGTCCTCTGTGACACAGCTACAATCCCAGAGTCTGCCTCTATTCTTCTGCCCTCTGTTTGCTGTTTCTGAAATATCCTCCCAATTTATTTACATCCTAGTCATCCTTCAAGGCCCACTTAAGCCCCAGTCCCAAGAAGCCTTTGAAACTGCTCCACTTACTGTGATATCTACCTGAAATTTCATTCAAAGTACTTATAAACTGTCTTTGTTATTTCTATATACTTGTTCCTTCTACCTACTTAGATTATAAATTATTTCATGGCAGGGACTGAGTCTTTAAGTTCAGAATCTAGTACAGGTACTTGGCACAATGTACGTATTCAATAATTGCTGATGGTGACTCCCAAATCTGGTATAAAAACACCGGTAATTATTACCAATTTTCTCAAAAGGTTTAACCTTTGTTTAAACAAAGTTCGACAAAGATCACACAGTACTTTTTAAAAAGGATGTCAAGAACAAGGTAATGTAGCTTTTAGTTGGGCCTCAGCATAAACAGACATCTGAATTTAGAAGCCTGTTTCTCCTATGGAAGATACGATCATGTGTAGACAGCTATTTGCAGCATGAAAAGTCACAGAGGCTCTCTGAAGAGGGGAAAATAGCAAAGCTGGCAGACACTTTTTGTGCTGCCTTTCTTTCTATAAATTACAGGTGGGTTGGTTTAATACCTGAAAACCCAAATAATGTGTTAAGTCTTCTGCATCAATTATACTTCAAAATGACGCCCAATACGAAGAATGGAATAATAGATGTTGCATGTTTGTTACCAATTATAATGTCTGTATTATGAAAGATGTAAGTGTGTCATTGTCATTTTCTTGTAACATGATATGGTATAAAGTGTAGCAGAATAATCTTCACCAAAAATTGACTGAATCATCTGATTATGTTTCAGATATTTATCACCATCATTCACCAAGATTTTAGTTTCTGCATACTAATCAGAAGGAGAGAATTTCTCCCACAAACAGGCAACAAAACCTCAAATAACTAGGCATAAACAGATGTTGTCTCTCGTTATTACATTAAGTTTGGGTAAAGTGTGAACTTCTTAGAATTTGCAAGGAGAATTCAAGTTTCCCAGAATGAGACTGGGGTCATTAATGATACTGCGAAAACTTAAAAACAGCTCACCATGGAACAAATTCCATCTATTCCTCAACAGAGCTTGAAAAACAAAATACAACTTCCTAATAAATATGGCAGTTTTCAGTCTTTATGCTGTGAACCAGTGAAGTATGCACATGATGCAGAAAATAATAAAGGCACATTGTACCAAGTTACAAACTCTTGAATTTGTATGATATGGTTTGTGTCCCCACCCAAATCTCAAGTCAAATTGTCATTCTCAGTGTTGGAGGAGGGGCCTGGTAGGAGGTGATTAGATCACGGGGGTGGACTTTCTCCTTGCTGTTCTCTTATAGTAGTTCTCACAAGACCTGGTTGTTTAAAAGTGTGTAGCACTTCTTCCTTCACTTGCTTTCTCCTGATCCCACCATATAAGACAGGTTTGCTTCCCCTTCATCTTCCACCATGATTGTTAAGTTTCCTGAGGCCTCCTTAGCCATGCTTCCTATACAACTTGCAGAACTGTGAGTCAATTAAACCTCTTTTCTTTATAAATTACCCAGTCTCAGGTAGTTCTTTCTAGCATTGCGAGAACAGACCAATACATATATTTTTAGAATAGATTATGTAGGGCAAACTGAACCAAGATTTTAAGTTAATATTAGATACTATAACATACTTATTTAAAAACAGATCAAAATCAAACCCAAAAACAAACCCAAAACATACTATAGCTCTTGGACTAATTCTTATTTGCAAATTATCTTGCTTTCGTTATTCATATTTTGTCCCAAAGGCCCTAATGCTAAATAAAATAAAATAAATTATGGAGCTTTATTTTAATCAAATTCAATAACATTAACAGCACTGTTCACATTAACATAACTGTCTAAATCAATCACTTTACCACATATATGATTAGAACCAAAAGAAAGCTGAAGGCCGGGCATAGTGGCTCATGCCTGTAATCCCAGCACTTTGGGAGGCTGAGGCAGGTGGATCACTTGAGGTCAGGACTTTGAGACCAGCTTGGCCAAAAAGGTGAAACCCTGTCTCTACTAAAAATACAAAAAAATTAGCCGGATGTGGTGGCACATGCCTGTAGTCCCAGCTACTCAGGAGGCTGAGGCAAGAGGATCACTTGAGCCTGGGAGGTGGAGGTTGAAGTCAGATGAGATTATGCCAGTGCACTCCAGCCTGAGCAACAGAGTCAGACTCCATCTCAAAAAAAAAAAAAAAAAAAAAAAAGGCTGAAAATTGCCCAACCACTTTTATTAAAGGTTTTCAGTTTTAAGCTGCATGGAATACTAAGAGGTCTGATTCCATGACCTGGAGAGGTAAGCAAGCAAACAGAGCACTGGGCTAGTTCTCAGGAAGGCAGAGTTATTCAGATTCTGCCTGTAAGTGTGTCATCTAAAACATCCACTTACATTCTCAAAAACTGTATTTTCATTAAAAGAAAGGAAATGGACTAGATGAGCTTTAAGGCCCCTTTTAATACCTAACACTGAGACTCAATCTTCAGAAAAAAATTTAGAATGCATTGCTTTAAACCTTTCCTAAACATTTATACTTTGTCTCTCTCATAAAGCAATATTAGAAAGTATGACTATCTAGGAAATAAATTGTATCCATCACATTAGTTTCAGTAAGGGCTTGGCACAACAAATGCAGTCCCATTACAATACTCCTAGCCAAACAAGGGCCGTTATGCACTATACAACCCTGAGGGAAAGAAAACTGAAGGGGGCCAGCCCCTCCACACCTCTGGGTATTCCTCGTCAGGTGGAACGAGAGACTGAGAAAAGGAATAAGACACAGAGACAAAGTATAGAGAAAGAACAGTGGTCCCAGGGGACCGGCGCTCAGCATATGGAGGACCTGCACAGGCCCCGGTCTCTGAGTTCCTTCAGCATTTATTGATTACTATTTTCACTATCTCGGCTAGGGGAATGCGGCAGGAGAACAGGGTGATAATGGGGAGAAGGTCAGCAGGAAAACATGTGAGCAAAGGAATCTGTGTCACAAATAAGTTTAAGGGAAGGTACTGTGCCCGGATGTGCACGTAGGCCAGATTTTTGCTTCTCTCCACCCAAACATCTCAGTGTAGCAAAGAGTAACAGAGCAGCATTGCTGCCAGCATATCTCGCCTCCAGCCACAGGGCGGTTTTCTCCTACCTCAGAATAGGAGGAATTTACGATCGGGTTTTACACCGAGACATTCCATTCCCAGGGACATGCAGGAGATGGAGGCCTTCCTCTTATCTCAACCGCAAGAGACCTTCCTCTTTTACTAATCCTCCTCAGCACAGACCCTTTACGGGTGACAGGCTGGGGAGGACGGCTGGGTCTTTCCCTTCCCACAAGGCCATATCTCAGGCTGTGTCAGTTGGGGGAAACCTTGGACAATACCCAGGCTTTCTTGGGCAGAGGTCCCTGCGGCTTTCCGCAGTTCGTTATGCCCCTGGTTAATCGAGAATGGAGAATGGCGATGACTTTTACCAAGCATACAGCCTGTAAACATATTGTTAACAAGGCACACCCTGCACAGCCCTAGATCCCTTAAACCTTGATTCCATACAGCACATGTTTCTGTGAGCACAGGGTTGGGGCTAAAGTTATAGATTAACAGCATCTCAAGGCAAAACAATTTTTCTTAGTACAGATCAAAATGGAGTTTCTTATGTCTTCCTTTTCTACATAGACACAGTAACAGTCTGATCTTTCTTTTCCCTACAGAAAATGTATGTGCCTTGTTTCAAAACAATGAGGAAATGAGGGCCTGCCACTGTGGCTCACACCTGTAATCCAGGCACTTTGGGAGGCTGAGGTGGGCAGATCACTTCAGGTCAGGAGTTCAAGACCAGCCTGGCCAACATGGTGAAACCCCATCTCTACTAAATATACAAAAGTTAGCCGGGTGTGGTGGCAGATGCCTGTAATCCCGGCTACTCACATGAGAATCGCTTGAGCCTGGGAAGTGGAGGCTGCAGTGAGCCAAGGTTGCACCACTGCATTCCAGCCTGGGCAACAGAGCGAGACTCTATCTCAAAAAAGGAATGAGGAAATGAAGTCGGTGTTAGGAATCACCCTTACAATTTTAAGGAAATTGAACACTCGAACAAAGGATTTTTAATGAAGCAATTTTACTTTTGCGCAGAGGGGTGTCTCTTCGGCCAGTTGCCATGAGAGCGCACTTGAACAAAGGGGCACGAGGGCCTTTATTTTTGACGCAAGTCTTGCCTTTGTATTCTTTTTTTATTGGTAGTGGTCGGGTCGTACAATTTAAACTAATTTTGGTTGGCTAAACATTCGATTTTTTTTAGATAGGGTGAGCATGTAAAAGAAAAAGTGGAGGGAAAGGGGAAAGGGTGTTTGTAATGAGCTAGAAAGTTAGTCTTTTTTTTAATAAGGAAAGGAATGTAAGTTGGTATTGATAAAACGTGGTATTGTGGCGTGCCTGGGCATTTAACAAAGGCAAAGAGGAAAAAAGGCGAAAAAGGAGAAAAATTGGGGGGGGGTACTATGAATTAAAGAATAAAAGATTGATCAGATTATTTGAAGAGAAATCTTATCATATCCCACATCAGTTTATCAATACACCCAGTCTTTTTAAACAATTTCAACAAAAAGTTAATTTGTTTGAAATGGTTAGTTGACTCCTAACTCATCATTCCAATCACATTACCAACAGATTGAAAGATATTCTGCAACTTAATCGCATTACCAACAGACTGAAAGATATTCTGCAATTAATTCCAATAAAATGTTATTTTTTAAACAATGAATCACTTTAGAATTCAGGAAATATCTATGTCAATACTGTTTTCTAATTTCCTATTATTTATTCTTTCCTGCTGTTGGGGCTCAGAAAATGATACCCCAAAGTGAAGGCCTCAGAAGCAGCCTCAGAAGCAAAGTTTCTAACCAACCTGTCTTACCCTCCTGTCTATCTGTCATACCCTCATTCTCTCCTGAAGCAAGTCATAGAAAATAGAATTCCTCTTCCCCAAGGCTGATTACAGAAACCAGAACCTCTAAGCTTCCCCAACTTTTTTTTTTTTTTTGAGACGGAGTCTAGCTTTGTTGCCCAGGCTGGAGTACAGTGGCGCGATCTCGGGTCACTGCAACCTCTGCCTCCCAGGTTCACACAATTCTCCTGCCTTAGCCTCCTGAGTAGCTGAGATTACAGGTGCACGCCACCACGCCTGGCTAATTTTTGTATTTTTAGTAGAGATGGGGTATCACCATGTTGGTCAGGCTGGTCTCAAACTCCTGAGCTCGTGATCCACCCGCCTTGGCCTCCCAAAGTGCTAGGATTACAGGCGTGAGCCACTGTGCCCAACCGCTTCCCCTACTTTTTGTCTAAGAATTGGCCATAAAGAAATTCTCTCACCTGCCGTGTTCAATAGCAGCTCATAAGACCTCCATTCCAGAAAGGATCCCGTACTGTATCCTGAAAGGAGAAATGCTACAATCGAAAGAAAGTTCAAGAATCTGAACAGACAGGTCTTGCTAGGTTTTCTATTACCATTAGCTCATATCCTTTGTTGTCCAATCACATTTCTACACGACTGTCCCTGTTTCATCAAACCTAAGCATATAATGAGACAGAGTCACCTGTATCTTTGGGTCTTCACTCTGAAGGCTCCTGCATCATGTAAAACTTTGATCAATAGGAGGCTGAGGAAGGCAGATCATGAGGTCAGGAGATCAAGACCATCCTGGCCAACGTGGTGAAACCCCATCTCTACTAAAATACAACAAATTAGCCAGGTGTGGTGGCACACACCTGTAGTCCCAGGTACTTGAGAGGCTGAGGCAGGAGAATTGCTTGAACCCGGAAGGCGGAGGTTGTAGTGAGACAAGATCACGCTACTCCACTCCAGCCTGGCGACAGAGCAAGACTCTGTCTCAAAAACAAACAAACAAAACAAACCTTGATCAAATACAGTACATTTATAATGTTTTTCTCTTGTTTTTGTTTTGTTTTTATCTTTTCTTTTTTGAGACAGGGTCTCACTCTATGGCCTAGGCTGAGTGCAGTGGCACAATCTTGGCTCACTGCAGCCTTGACCTCCCAGGCTCAAGTGATCTGCTCACCTCAGCCTCCTGAGTAGCTGGGACTACAGAGGCACACCATCACACCCAGCAAATTTTTGTATTTTCTGTAGAGACGGGGTTTTGCCATGTTGTCCAGGCTAGTAATTTTCTCTTGTTAACCTGTCTTTTGTTATAGGAGTGTTAGCTGTAACGCTTATGATGGGAAAGAAAGGGATCATCCCCTTTCCACCCCTACACTGCCTCTGTTTATGTTTTCTCCCTTAAACTGACAGGGCTGGTACACTTTTGTCGAAAGATGGGACTTTTTTCTCCTAAATTCAACCGTCATTCAAACTGGGTCAGACTAATGACAATTCTACCAAGTAGTGTATACCAGTAGCCTCAATAAAGAGATTTTGGGGGACAAATGTGCATCTTCCACACAGTTGTAGCCATAGAGTGCATATCTAACTTCCTTAAATTATCTATGTGGATCTGTCATCCTATAATTTGTCTAAATCCTTATTTTTTAATATTATGAATAGAGTCCAGCTTATATATAAAAATGTATTTCCTTTCTATGTCTTAAAAATTACTTGCTGTTGAGCGATACTATATTCCTAAAATATAGCGGAATCAAAATTCCTAGTTTACAGTCCTCTACCTCTATTACTTACTAGCTATTTGACCTTTATACCAATCAATCATCAGAGATGATTGAACCAGAGCAACTCCATCTTGAATAGGGGCTAGGTAAGATAAGGCTGAGACCTACTGGGCTACATTCCCAGACAGTTAGGCATTCTAAGTCACAGGATGAGATAGGAGGTTAGGCATTCTAAGTCATAGGATGACATGGGAGATTGGCACAAGGTACAGGTCATAAAGACCTTGCTGATAAAACAGGTTGCAGTAAAGAAGCCAGCTAAAACCCACCAAAACCAACATGGCGACGAGAGTGACCTCTGGTCATCCTCACTGCTACACTCCCACCAGCACCATGACATTTTACAAATGCCATGGCAACATCAGGAAGTTACCCTATATGGTCTAAAAAGGGGAGGCATGAATAATCCACCCTTTGTTTAGCATACAATCAAGAAATAACCATAAAAATAGGCAACCAGCAGCCCTTGGGGGTATTCTGCCTATAGAGTAGCCATTCTTTTATTCCTTTACTTTTCTAATAAGCTTGCCTTCACTGTACTCTATGGATTCGTCTAGAATTACTTCTTGCAGGAGATCCAAGAACCCTCTCTTGGGGTCTGGATTGGGAGCCCTAATAGTAATTGGTTTAAAAGGTGCTTATACTTACAGCTTCAAGGGCAAGGTCTGACTCTTTTTGCACAGTACACAGCAAGGAATTTTTAAAGCAATAGCTAACATTTTTCATGCCAAGCATGGGGCTAACATGCTACATATATTTCCTCTTTAACCATCATTCATGTTACCCCCCATTTTACAAGTGAAAAAAGTGACACTTTGAGAAATCAAATCCAAGGTCACGGCTAGTATGTTGCCAACTAGTTGCTCTCCGCTGATGGGGCAGTATATCTTATTCTCTGGAAATTAACAAGTTAGCTGATGTTAGTTTGAGGCATATACATTGCCTTCAGAAATGAATATGCTTTGGTCACTGCTGCCATTAGCCTTTGTGTTTACAGAATCAAGAGACTAATGACTTCCGGTTGACCTTCATATTGAAGGCAGTGGGGTTTATCCTATAGTTCCTGACTATCCCTACTTATCTTTTAAACCCTCCAGTTATTGCAGCATTTACATCTTTCTTCATTTACCATTATTGAATTTCTATTGAGCACACAGGCAGCATTCAAGGAGATACCAGGATCATCCAGACAAAATATGTGCCTTCAAGGAGCTGAAAGCTACCATATAATCAAAGTATGAAGTTCTCTCTTTTTTTTTTTTTTTTTTTTTTGACAGAATCTCTCTCTGTCACCCAGGCTGGAGTGCAGTGGTGCGATCTTGGCTCACTACAAGCTCCGATTCCCGGGTTCACGCCATTCTCCTGCCTCAGTCTCTCCAGTAGCTGGGACTACAGGTGCACGCCACCACACCCGGCTAATTTTTTGTATTTTTAGTAGAGACGGGGTTTCACTGTGTTAGCCAGTATGGTCTCGATCTCCTGACCTGGTGATCCGCCTGCCTCAGCCTCCCAAAGTGCTTGGATTACAGGCGTGAGCCACCGTGCCCAGCGAAGTATGAAGTTCTTAATCATCCATAGCATGAAATGTTTCTTACATGTATCTTAATTATGAGATGAACGATTTTCAAAATCCTGAGCCCATGACATTTAGTTCCTATCTGTATGACGAGCACTTGGTAGTCTGCCTTGTTTTGTGGTTATATCAAGAAACTCTAACTTAATCACAGATTTCTCCATGGTGCAGTTGTAGATGCTTTGCATCTGAGGACTAAGCTCTGATTTTTTTTATCATGCCCAAATTCCTATCTAAGGGGTCTGGGGAGTCATGCCCCACAAATAATAAGTTATCATCAAATGGGTTTTATTTAACTCTATATATCGTGACTTACTTTCCAACTTGACTCTGGCATAACATTATAAGACAAGGAAGAAAATAAAAATATTTTACCCCAAAACATATTTCTTTGCCATATCTTGAAATGGCCATACAAAGCTGTCCTTTGCGGGGAAAAATTCTCATCTGTAAAGAATCCCTATAACATAGCTAGATCTTTTTCTTCCAGGCCCCCCAATCCTAAAGAGATTAAAAGTCTAGCACCTTTCAAACATCTGAATAGGAAACATTTGTCATCTATTGTCTCTAAAGGCAGCCACTACAAGACTTCAAAAGAACCTTGGTCTCCACAATCTTTTATCTTAACTTGAACATTCCCTTTCTGTTGATCCCAGGTCTTCAGACAAACTCAACCAATTATCAACCAGAAAATGTTTAAATTTACCTATAGCCTGGAAGCCCCCTCCCCTCTCGCCTTTGAGTTGTCCCCCGTTTCTGGACCAAACCAATGTATTTCTTAAATGTATTTGATTGATGTCTCATGCCTCTCTAAAATGTATAAAACCAAGTGTGCCTGGACCACCTTGGGCACATGTTCTCAGGACCTCCTGAGGGCTGTGTCAGGGGCCACGGTCACTCACATTTGGTTCAGAATAAATCTCTTCAAATATCTTAGAGTTTGACTTTTTTCGTTGACCCACCAATTGGCCGGATTATTACTCATTATTTACTTGACAAACACATTAGGAGCCCTGTCCCCGGAAGCTCGCTGTCACGAGGGGCCTCTGACATCTCCTTCTTGAGAGAAAGGTCGCCTGGCCTGGGTGAGGTCGTAGTTCCCGCGACCCCGTGCTTGCAAGTACTGGCTGCCTCCTACTATAGTGTAAGCTCCAGGAAGGATCCCGCGGGGGACCTGACAGCTCACGGTCCTGGCCGACAACCGCCCTGGGAGCGGAATGGATGGAGCCCGCAGTCGTCCCGGCGCACTGGGCAAGCTCTGCTCCCACTGTGGCAGGCCAGATCTCCATTAGCAACCAGAGCAGCTCTCACCAACGCCTCACTGTCATTCTGATGCATGTATAAGTTAAACATTGGAGAAACTGGTGCCTTAGGAGAAAGGCTAGAATGTAAAGACAAGTCCATTAGGATCCCGCCTGAGCTTTTTCAACCCCTAGAGTTTAATTAAAATAATGGAGTTGTTCTTGCACACCTTGTACCAGGACCCACTTTAGATTATTTCCAAGGCTCTGAAGCAATTGTCTAGACACCTGACCCTATTACCGTTAAAGATTGGCTTGAGTGAAACACTTTGGCTTTCGACTTGTAAATGCACTGAATGTATTTAAGCACTAGAAAAACTTGTATTAATAATTTTGAGTTGGTCTGGTGAGTTACTCCGACCTTCTCCCTGTAACCTGTTGCAGAAATAAACTCCGTTCTTTCCCAGTCTGTCTGCATCTCGTTACTGAACGGCGAGAACAAGCAGTCGGACCCGGGTGGGTCGGGGAACACAACCTCACCCGCAGCCGAAACCCCTCACCCGCATCCCTTCCCGGCCCGTGAGGCGTCCGCAGGCGGCGGCGCTCGGGACACGGCGTTCGCGGTGCTCGCCTCCGCTGCCCGAGGGGAAAAGGGCAGGAGAAATCTGAGGAGTCCTTGGGCCAGGAGCCAAAGCCCCTCAAGTGCCCGGGCGCGAACCCCAGGCGCCGAGCTCTCACGTCTGTCTCCGCCAGTACGCTAGAGCCGGGGTAGTGGGCCAGCACTCACCGGCCCAGCCAATCCAGGACCCGCTCTGCACTGCCCCACCCGCCGCGCACACGCACGCGTCCTTTTGCGGCCGCTGGCCTCTGATTGGCTGGGACGGCTGTGGGTGGGGAGAAGCCGGGAGGACTGGGTGCGCCTGCAGGGATCGGAAGCCGGTTGGGGTGTGAGAGGTTTTCTCGCTCTAGGTAAGCGAAACAAGCCGGGGGACTGCGAGCCAGGGACTCGGGCCGCGGGGCGGGAAGAAGTGGGGCAGCGCTTGGCCAGGCCGAAAGGACTTTGGGGGTGGGGGCTGGGAGTCCGTGTCTCGAATGAGGGAGGAGAGGTGGAGTTGCCGGGGCTCAGGCCCGGCCTCGAGCATGGGCGGATGAGAGGAGTCGGGAGCCGAGGCCTAGGGTCCTTCGGGTGAGGGGAGACGGAGCCAGCGAGGAGATGGAGCAGAAGCTTGTGGAGTGAGTTGCCGAGCGGGGAAGACTCGCTGATGGGGTGGTAATGAGAGACGGGGGCCAGGAGGGTGTTGACTGGGCCCGACGGCGGGGAGCGAGGAGCGGGAGCTTCCCCGGAGCTTGGAACATTCTGAAGAGCGGGCTAAGCGGCAGGCGAGGCGGGATAGGAGAGCGAGCGCTCCGGTCACGGAGTCACGACAAGGTCACAGGAAGAGAGGCGGCGAGGAAGGTCGGGAGGTTGAGGGGAGGGCGTACTAGCAGAGGACCTTCCAGTCCTGGTCTTGCTTTTCTCCCCGACCTGGTGTTTCCTCCACCCTGGGAAAGTGATAAGGCCTAGGGTCCTGTGTAGTGCTTCTGTGACCGAATTAAATTTTTCTCCTGCCGAGTCGGCGGGTTAGAGATTACAAAGCACAGCGTAAGGGCAGAATTAGGAGCAGCCGACATGATGCAGCAGTGATATTCGCCTTTGTCTTAAATTCCCGGAGTGGGAAGCAGCTATTTCCCTCTTCGGAGTAATCCCCACGACAGGGATCCCTGCTTCCGGAAGTACAAAGGCACTTTGGAGTAAGACAGGTTTGGATGGAAAGTTCTAACAGGTTGAAGCGGTGACAACCTGGTCATGAAGCTCCAGCATGACACACATATTTGGAGTCCTGTATACTAGGAGTTCTCTTTGTGCACCAGAGTCACTTGAAGGGGCTTCTTAAAGATTCCTTGAGCTCTGCCCCAGACCACCTGAATCCGGATCTCCATGCTGGGGCCTTGGCAGCCATTTTAAACAAGCTGATGGGCGACTGATGCAAAATCAGTTTGAAGCCAGCGTTGCTTTAGATAGTAATTCCCGTGACAAAATGACTGTGAAGAAAGATCCTTCATTCAACCTGTTACGTCTCCTGATGCTGGACGGCTCATCTTCCCTTAATGCCTCTTTAGGTTCCCTGTGGAAAGGTCTTCAGTCGTGTCTTACTAAGCGTACAGAATTAATTTGTGCTCTCCAAACTGACTTTAAATATCTGGTTACTGGTGCCTTTTTTAGCGTCTATTCAACTTTCTGACAGAAATCTGGGACAACTACTGTGGGTGGATGAGAAAACGATAATGAAGGAAAGTCTGGCAGTGGTGTAGTGAAAAAAGTCTTTTCAAATCACAATTGAAATTGTTAGATGAGTTAAGTCACTGAAGAAGATTCCGTTTACCTTAGGCATGATTTTTTTATATATATCATTCAAAGAGAACAACGTGGGCTTCTGTTGAGTAATGGATTCTTAAATTTTCTAATCAGAATTCTTATCTGCCAATTTAATCTAATTTACATCAGCAGCGTAAGATTGATGCTTTGGCAATATATCGTCAATCAAAAGAACCCAGGACTCTCTATCAGAAGAGCTGGATTCTAATCCTACCCCACCAGACATGTATTCCTTGTACTGAGCAATTCGTATAACCCTCTCACAACCCTTTCCCCACCTGTAAAATAAGGCTATTGGCTTGGATTATTCATCTGATTTGTTACTCTCAAATTATATGATTAGAACTTATTGTTCCTGATACTTAACCAGTTTTCAATTCAGGTGGCTATAAACCATGAATACTTTGGAAACTTCTACGTGGTAATTAGACAGTTATCAAAATTTTGTATTCAGAGAGTATTTTAGATATGTACTATATGGGAATTATAATATTTTGACTACAGAATAACAAATAACTGATATGTGTTGGATTTTTAAATATTAATCCTTACTAATTTTATTCTGAAATGTACACATAAGGTATTCTGGAATCACAGACAGATTATCATCTGTCGTTTCAAGCAAATAATGACCATTTTGTTCCCCACACCCTGATGCTTACCGCAGGGGCTACTTTCTGAAACCCAGGTCAAATGCCCTATCCATACAAGCTTCAGAGTCTGTATCATAGATGAAGAACGGAGAAATAGGTTTTCTTCTGTTCTTGATTTATATACAGGAAAGAGACAACTAACCCCCTCCCTCCTGAAAGGAGAAAAAAAAAAAAACCTTTTGCTCCATTGACCTGTTGGAGAATTAGAGTCAGCCAGATGTGAGATAATTATAAGAAAAACTACCAACTTTCTTGCTATTTTTAAAAAACGATTTATGTCCTGTTTTTGTTTGTTTGTTGGGTCCCTCAGCAAGGGTCTTGCCTGTTGCCCCGGCTGGAGTGCAGTGGCTGGATCATGGCTCACCGCAACCTCCACTTTCCAGGCTCAAGCAGCCCTCCTGCCTCAGCCTCCTGAGGAGCTGGGACTACAGGTGTGCACCACCATGCCCGGCTACCAACTTTCTTGCTTTTAAAGACAATTCCCAAATGATTTTTTAGTTTAGAAATGATTCAGGCAAAAAAGGGGAAAACATGCTTTTATATCTGCAGAAGTTTTTAGTTTTTAAAAGTGGATTATGGTATATAATAGTTTTGTCCCCTGTGTTGCAAGGAACTAAGACCTCAGGTTATTTCTCTTTTCATAGGTACAATATAAGAAACATAAAAGAAATAAGCACTTAGGTACATACAGTTAGGCATTTTTCTTACTGATTAAACTCTACAAATCTGTATGATTGTTATTTTTTTGTACTCAATATTACTGAATAACCTAAGAATGCTTTCAGTTGTTGAGAAATGTAACTTTTAAATGTATTCAAGAAACATTTGTAGTGTACATATTATATATAGGGTATTGCACCAGGCAGTGGAGTTGGATACAAGCAGAGCAGGTATTGGTCCCTGACTTGAAGGATTCTAGCAAAAGAAACAGACAAACTGGTGCTTATAAGGGTTATAAGGAAAGTACAAGGTCCTATGGGACTGCATAACCAAAGCACTTACGAACTTAAAGAGACAAAAATTTCTGAGAGGAGGTCAATTAAGATGTGAACCTGAGTCCAGTATGGTGGCACCCAGTGGCAGTGTGAACTGTGAGGAGTTCGCCGAGTTCCAGGAATTACTCAAGGTGATGTGGACAGTTGATACAGACTAGTACATTAATTAAACACTACAGTTCCAACAGCTTCCTTTGCAGGGAAGATTGATGCCAGCCAAACCTGTAAACAACTTTGAGTCTTTGATGGCAGCTCATGCCAGTAGGGACAGAGTCATAAAAAACTATATAGCCCAGACCTCAGCAGTAGTAAAAAACCTCTGAGAAGAGAGAGAAAAGAATTTGGACGATTTAATATTGTTAAAGCAACTCAGAACAGAGCAGGCAAAGTTGAAATGGATGTAGTCAGAATGATAAATGACAGGAGCTGGAAGGAGTTTAATGAATGCTGCCGAATTCACTTCAAACCTCCAAATAAACAGAATAAACGGAGATACTTTTTTTTTTTTTAAAGGACCGGGTCATCTCATAAGAGCTAAGCATGACAAATGTCAACAGGGCGGGCTTCCTAGGATGATTTCTGAGCCAGTAGTCCAAGACCTTTTGTTGATTTCAGCCCCACTTAGGCAAGACCTCAAATATAAATAATTCTGATAATTATGGAGAAATCAACTGCTATTTTATACTGATTCTGTTAAAAAAAAAGTTTTGTAACTATTAAAATAATGTTCTGACTCAGTGTAAAAAAAGAAAAACCAAACCTGAAAAAAAAAATGGGAGGAGTTAGCTAGGAAAGAGTATCTGAAGGGGATGGAAAGGGAGGGAAACTCTCACAAGTAGAGGAATCAGCTTGTGCAAAGGCTTAGAGGTATAGAGAGCATCTTAAAAATATTTAATGTGGTCAGAATGTGGGGTTGGGAAGGGAAATGAAAGGATTTGTGATAAACTTCCCCTTTGAGAAGGTCATGTTTTTTTTTTCTTTTTCTTTTTCTTTTTCTTTTATTTTTTAAAATTTGAGACAGAGTCTCTCTGTGGCCCAGGCTGGAGTGCAGTTGCACAATTTCAGCGCACTGCAACCTCTGCCTCCCGGGTTCAAGCGATCCTCCTGCCTCAGCTTCCCAAGTAGCTGGGATTTCAGGCATGCACACCACTATGCCCAGCTAATTTTTGTATTTTTAGTAGAGATGGGGGTTTCACCATGTTGACCAGGCTGGTTTCGAACTCCTGACCTCAAGTGATTGCCCACCTTGGTGCCCCAAAGTGCTGGGATTACAGGCATGAGCCACCGCACCTGCCCGAGAAGTTCATGATTAGATATGAAGGCAACTAGTAAACATACTGGCCTAAAATAAATACAGTGTTTAATCTCTCTATCCAGTCCATTTATGCAGTTTCTTCAAAGCCAGTCTCAAGTGTTTCTCTGTGAAACGTGCCAAACCTCCTTTAGCTAAAATACATCACTCTCTCTAAATTCAGACCTTGTCTGTGTTAGGCTTTTGACAACTAATTACACTGTGATTGAAACCACCATTGCAAAATTATAACTGAGACAGTGAAAGAGATCTGACCTAGCCAAAAAAAGATGGAGCCAGGCATGATGGTTCACGTCTATAATCCTAGCACTTTGGGAGGCTGAGGCGGGCAAATCACTTGGGGCCAGGAGTTTGAGACCAGGCTGGCCAACATGGCAAAACCCCATCTATACTAAAAATACAAAAAAAAAAAACCAGGCATGGTGGTGCACACCTGTTATCCCAGCTGTTAGGCTAAGGCACAAATCACTCAAACCTCGGAGGCAGAGGTTGCGGTGAGCAAAGATCGAGATCGTGCTCCAGCCTGCGTGGCAACTAGACCCTGTCTCATAAAACAAAAATAGAAAAATAAAGCAAAGATGGTAACAGCCCTTTCCTAAAACAAACCCCCTTCTTGCCTGGGGACTAGACTGCCTTTGTAGGTTTAATGAATTAGCCACAGATTAGAAATTATGGTTTAGGAGTCGTGCAGCTGGAAGTTATAAGATTCTTTTTTTTTTTTTTTTTTTTTTAATTTATTTTTTTATTGATAATTCTTGGGTGTTTCTCACAGAGGGGGATTTGGCAGGGTCATGGGACAATAGTGGAGGGAAGGTCAGCAGATAAACAAGTGAACAAAGGTCTCTGGTTTTCCTAGGCAGAGGACCCTGCGGCCTTCCGCAGTGTTTGTGTCCCTGATTACTTGAGATTAGGGATTGGTGATGACTCTTAACGAGCATGCTGCCTTCAAGCATCTGTTTAACAAAGCACATCTTGCACCGCCCTTAATCCATTTAACCCTGAGTGGACACAGCACATGTTTCAGAGAGCACAGGGTTGGGGGTAAGGTCACAGATCAACAGGATCCCAAGGCAGAGGAATTTTTCTTAGTGCAGAACAAAATGAAAAGTCTCCCATGTCTACTTCTTTCTACACAGACACGGCAACCATCCGATTTCTCAATCTTTTCCCCACCTTTCCCGCCTTTCTATTCCACAAAGCCGCCATTGTCATCCTGGCCCGTTCTCAATGAGCTGTTGGGCACACCTCCCAGACGGGGTGGTGGCCGGGCAGAGGGGCTCCTCACTTCCCAGTAGGGGCGGCCGGGCAGAGGCGCCCCTCACCTCCCGGGCGGGGCGGCTGGCCGGGCGGGGGGCTGACCCCCCCCACCTCCCTCCCGGACGGGGCGGCTGGCCGGTCGGGGGGCTGACCCCCCACCTCCCTCCCGGACGGGGCGGCTGGCCAGCCAGAGGGGCTCCTCACTTCCCAGTAGGGGCGGCCGGGCAGAGGCGCCCCTCACCTCCCAGACGGGGCGGCTGGCCGGGCAGGGGGGCTGACCCCCCCCACCTCCCTCCCGGACGGGGCGGCTGGCCGGGCGGGGGGCTGACCCCCCCACCTCCCTCGCGGACGGGGCGGCTGGCCGGGCAGAGGGGCTCCTCACTTCCCAGTAGGGGTGGCCGGGCAGAGGCGCCCCTCACCTCCCGGACGGGGCGGCTGGCCGGGCAGGGGAGCTGACCCCCCCCACCTCCCTCCCGGACGGGGCGGCTGGCCGGGCGGGGGGCCGACACCCCCACCTCCCTCCCGGACGGGGCGGCTGGCCGGGCGGGGGGCCGACCCCCCCACCTCCCTCCCGGACGGGGCGGCTGGCCGGGCAGAGGGGCTCCTCACTTCCCAGTAGGGGCGGCCGGGCAGAGGCGCCCCTCACCTCCCAGACGGGGCGGCTGGCCGGGCGGAGGGCTGACCCCCCCACCTCCCTCCCGGACGGGGCGGCTGGCCGGGCAGAGGGGCTCCTCACTTCCCAGTAGGGGCGGCCGGGCAGAGGCGCCCCTCACCTCCCGGACCGGGCGGCTGGCCGGGCGGGGGGCTGACCCCCCCACCTCCCTCCCGGATGGCACGGCTGGCCGGGCGGGGGGCTGACCCCCCACCTCCCTCCCGGATGGGGCGGCTGGCCGGGCGGGGGGCTGACCCCCCCTCACCTCCCTCCCGGACGGGGTGGCTGCCGGGCGGAGATGCTCCTCACTTCCCAGATGGGGTGGCTGCTGGGCGGAGAGGCTCCTCACTTCTCAGACGGGGCAGCTGCCGGGCGGAGGGGCTCCTCACTTCTCAGACGGGGTGGTTGCCAGGCAGAGGGTCTCCTCACTTCTCAGACGGGGCGGCCGGGCAGAGACGCTCCTCACCTCCCAGACGGGGTCTCGGCCGGGCAGAGGCGCTCCTCACATCCCAGATGGGGCGGTGGGGCAGAGGCGCTCCCCACATCTCAGACGATGGGCGGCCGGGCAGAGACGCTCCTCACTTCCTAGATGTGATGGCGGCTGGGAAGAGGCGCTCCTCACTTCCTAGATGGGATGGCGGCCGGGCGGAGACGCTCCTCACTTCCCAGACTGGGCGGCCGGGCAGAGGGGCTCCTCACATCCCAGACGATGGGCGGCCAGGCAGAGACACTCCTCACTTCCCAGACGGGGTGGCGGCCGGGCAGAGGCTGCAATCTCGGCACTTTGGGAGGCCAAGGCAGGCGGCTGGGAGGTGGAGGTTGTAGTGAGCCGAGATCACGCCACTGCACTCCAGCCTGGGCACCACTGAGCACTGAGTGAACGAGACTCCGTCTGCAATCCCGGCACCTCGGGAGGCCGAGGTTGGCGGATCACTCGCGGTTAGGGGCTGGAGACCGGCCCGGCCAACACAGCGAAACCCCGTCTCCACCAAAACCAGTCAGGCGTGGCGGCGCGTGCCTGCAATCGCAGGCACTCGGCAGGCTGAGGCAGGAGAATCAGGCAGGGAGGTTGCAGTGAGCCGAGATGGCAGCAGTACAGTCCAGCTTCGGCTCCGCATGAGAGGGAGACCGTGGGGAGAGGGAGACGGAGACGGAGACGGAGACGGAGACGGAGAAGGAGGGAGAGGGAGAGGGAGACGGAGAGGGAGACGGAGAGGGAGAGGGAGAGGGAGAGGGACGGAAGTTATAAGATTCTAACCCTCCCTAAAATGCTCCTAAGATCAGTGCTTGAGATATTTTGCAGACCCTGCACTTGATAGACCAACTGGCACCACCCAGATCAATAAACTGGCTCGTCTGATCTTATGTCCCCTACCTAGGAACTGACTCAGCACAAGAGGACAGCTTCAACTTCCCATTTCATCTCCAACCCAACCAATCAGCACTCTGTTCTCTGGCCTTCCCCCACCCACCAAATTATCCTTAAAAACTGATCCCTGAATGCTCCAAGAGACTGATTTGACTAATAATAAAAATCCTGGTCTCCCACACAGCTGGCTTTGGGTGAATTGCTCTTTCTCTATTGCAATTCCCCTGTCTTGGTAAATCAGCTCTGTCTAGCCAGCGGGCAAGGTGAACCTGTTTGGCGGTTACATGATTTCTCTTTTTTTTTTAAAAAAAAAAACAACAACTAATTTTTGAACGATTAATTACTTTAGTGTTTATATTGTATTATTCAGATATATAGTGAGTATCTTGAACCTTGAGCTTATTGAACCTTATATATAATAAAGCTCATTACTTAGGAGTTTATTCAGTTAAGAAGTAATGGAGTACAAAAAGAAGGTTTAAGTCCAATCTAAATTTTCTTTTATTTAGCTAAGATTTTCTTCTATGTCAGATGACAGTTGAGTCTTCTCAATGAAGGTGAGGCTTATAGGGATGAATTCACTTTCTAAACTAAGCACACCACCCCCTCCGGAGTTGCATTTTTGTTGAGGACCTTAACTGCCACTGACTCCCCTTGAGTAGCAAGGTGTTGAATGAGAGGTACTTTTATCAAAGGGAGCATAATGCACATGAAAAACCCAGAAGTGAAAGTAAGATTTTATATGGGTGTTAGGATGGGCATAGACTTTTAAGTTTATTGTAATTGACACTAATTAGAGACTTGTATGCTTACACTATGCTTCAGGCCCTTATTTTATCTGTGAGTAAAGTTTATTGCAATTCAAAATAGTTCAGTGAAGAAAGTATACTTTGTTATTGTGGCTAAAATGAAATAGCATTTGTTAATGCCTCATTGTGATAAAAGGGCTATTCACGGAGATGACTGAAAAGGAGGAAAGGAGCCTTTGATCCCTGTGATAATGAAAATGAATCCTTTTTTTTTTTTTCCTATCCCCTTACTCATACACTATCAGGCTAGATCTTGCCTTTGGGATACCATTTAAAGGAATTATAAAAAGAGGGTAGAGTTTTAAAAGGAAGCCTAGGGGATATAAGGTATGTAAATGAAGGCAGATCTGAAGCTTAGAAGATATTAAGAAGACCCTGAGGGTAATTCAGTTTTGTGCTGCAGTGATGTTAAAAGGTGCTAATCATAGGGCCAGGTGTGGTAGCTCATGCCTGTAATCCCAACACTGGGAGGCAGGTGGATCACCTGAGGTCAGGAGTTCGAGACCAGCCTGGTCAAGATGGTGAAACCCCATCTCTACTAAAAATACAAAAAAAATTAGCCAGGCATGGTGGCAGGCACTTCTAATCCCAGGTATTTGGGAGGCTGAGGCAGGAGAATCACTTGAACCTGGGAGGCAGAGGTTGCAGTGAACCAAGACTACGCCATTGCACTCCAGCCTGGGCAACAAGAACGAAACTCCATCTCAAAAAAAAAAAAAAAAGCTAATCATAAGCTGGCACAGTGGCTCACACCTGTAATCCCAGCAGTTTGGGAGGCTGAGGTGGGTGGATCACGTGAGGTCAGGAGTGAAACCCTGTCTCTACTAAAGAATACAAAAAAATTAGGCACGGTGGTGTGTGCCAAATGGAGGTTGCAGTGAGCCGAGATCGTGCCACTGCACTCCACCCTGGGCAACAGAGCAAGACTCAGTCTCAAAAAAGAAAAAAAACTAATCATAGGTCATTAAAAAAATCTAAAAGGCTATGAAGGAGACATTTCTACCAATATTTAAAATAAAAGCTTTGTTCTTAAAATGAGTAAATAATGAGCTAGGTAGAAACTTTGGCTATTCAGAATAATCTTTTCCCCAGAGGCAACCACCATGGATAACAGATTACTGTAATAGACTGGAAACTAATCTGAAGTGAAAATTGAAGCAAGGAAGCACATTGGAATAAATAAATCAGCAGTTGAAAGCAATAAAGACTGCATTTAACTACACCGAAAAGTGCTAAGTAGGATTTCCAACATGATATTGAAGGTTCAATAGGAGTTGTCAGTTTGGTTTGAGTAACTTAAAATTGTCAAGTTAAATAGTTGATTAAGGATGAAGATAGCCAGAAAATTAGTAGCTACTATTTTAATTGATAAAAGTAACATCAATTTAAAATTTTTCACTATTTTTAATTAACATGGTGCTAAAAATGAATGGGTTGTACAGGGGAAACGGCAAAATAATAGGGGGAATAAGTGTATACAACTCTCCCTTGAGAGTGACTGTACATTAAAAATACAGTTAATTTCTAAAAATATTTTTTAACTTTAGGATTATGGATAACATATACTAAGATTCTCATGGAAGTTAGGAATATTTTAAATACATCCAGATATTTAATAATGTTCAGATGCTTTTAATTACAGAACCTCATAGAAATTCTTTCTCAGGGAGATTCTTCAAGCAATCACTATGTCAACAGACACAGGTGTTTCCCTTCCTTCATATGAGGAAGATCAGGGATCAAAACTCATTCGAAAAGCTAAAGAGGCACCATTCGTACCCGTTGGTAAGTTTGACTGACATTTTAGTAGTCTTGAATATGGTAGAGCCGTGATAATTTGTTCATTTAGCAATATCCTGAAAGAATGTATTTTCCATTTTTTTCTTATGTTGAAATATGCTGAGATTGGCATGATATAAATCTCATCATAAAGATTCTTCTGTATGTATTCAGACTTTTTTTTTCTTTTTGGAGACAGGGTCTCTTTCACCTAGACTGAAGTGCAGTGGCTTGATCATAGCTCACTGCCCCCATCCCTCGACCTCTCAGGTTCTTGATCCTCCCACCTCAGCCTCCTAAGTAGCTGGGACCACAGGTGTGCACCACCACGCCCAGCGAATTTTTGTAGTTTTGTATAGACACGGGGTTTTGCGATACTGCCTAGGCTAGTCTTGAACTCCTGGGCTCAAGCAATCCGCCTGCCCTCAGCCTAGTGCTAGGATTATAGGCGTGAGCTGCCACTCCAGCTGAGACTTCTTATTTTATTGAGTCTTATTTCAGTGCATAATGTTGTATTGGGGGACCCCAAGACCATCCTCAGGTTAGATGATTGGGCCAAGACTCATAAGACTCAAAAATGCTTGTTACAGTCATAGTTTATTACAGCAATGGGATATAGGTTAAAGTCAACAAAGACATATAGAATGAAGTGTAGGATAAACCAGACACAAAATTCTAGGTGTCCCCTTCCCAGGGAGTCCCACAGGGGGAGAGGGGGTGCATTTAATTCTTCAGTACTGATGTGATATGTGGCAATACATGCTAAGTCTTGCCATCTAGGGAAGCCCACCAAGCCTTGGTAACCAGGTTTTATTGAGGTGTCAGCTGTGACTGAAATTAGCTATTCAGTCTCCTATCCCCCAGAGGTCGGACTCGCAGGCATATTAAAATTCATTTAATATGCAGTTAAAACAGATGAAAGGTGAAATTTATAGTATATAAATTAATCTTAAGAAAAAGTTTAAAAATTTTTAATCTTACAGAGAATTTTAAAATTACCTTTAATGCCACCATTTAGATATAACTGTTGTTACCATTTTGATGTACATATTTCTCCAGTTGTTTTTTCTTTTTTTATCTTCACAAATTCAGGATCATACTAAGATGCATATATGTATTATAATTTTTATCTCATGTTTTTAACTATGTTATTCGAAACTCGACTTTTTTTTTTTTTTCCGAGAAGGAGTTTCACTCTTGTTGCCCAGGCTGGAGTGCAGTGGCGCGATATCGGCTCACTGCAACCTCCACCTCTTGGGTTCAAGCGATTCTTCTGCCTCAGCCTCCTGAGTAGCTAGAATTATAGGTGCCCGCCGCCACGCCAGCTAATTTCTTTGTATTTTTAGTAGAGATGGGGGTTTCATCATGTTGGCCAGGCTGGTCTCGAACTCCTGATCTCAGGTGATCCACCTGCCTCGGCCTCCCAAAGTGCTGGGATTACAGGTGTGAGCCACCGTGCCTGGCCTAAAACTCTACTTTTTTTTTTTTTGAAACGGAGTCTTGCTCTGTCGCCCAGGCTGGAGTGCAGTGGCAGGATCTTGGCTCACTGCAAGCTCCGCCTCCCGAGTTCACGCCATTCTCCTGCCTCAGCCTCCCGAGTAGCTGGGACTACAGGTGCTCGCCACCACGCCTGGCTAATTTTTTCTATCTTTTAGTAGAGACAGGGTTTCACCGTGTTAGCCAGGATGATCTCGATCTCCTGATCTTGTGATCCGCCCGCCTCGGCCTCCCAAAGTGCTGGAATTATAGGCGTGAGCCACCGCGCCCGGCCAAAACTCCACTTTTAAGAATGACTTAATTTATATGATATAAATTACTGTTGTATATAACATTATTATAATCCTCTTGGTAGAAATTTATGTGATTTCTAATTTTTCATTATTAACAATTAAACTACTGAGCATCCTTTTAGATGGCTCTCCAAGAAGTTAAAGGACTTTGAAGTCTCTTGAAGGAATTTTTCTTCTGACCATATAATTAATAAGTTAGTTGCAAAAGTACATAAAACAGAAAGGTACCATGTCCTATGATCCCGACTCTGAAAGACAACAGCAGTCTGCACAGTCTGTCAGTGTTTTCTTCTCTGTGTACTACCATAAACTATTATTTATAATTATTTTTAGATGAAATATTTTTCTTTAGCCTTGTTCATTATCTTTTTATAACAATGCATATAGGAACATTTATATTTTTAATAATTGAATCATTAATTTTGTAGATATACAATGTTTTGTAACAGTGATCTATAAAATTTTTTGGTTGTATATTCCCTCAGTAAAAAATAATTTGAGCACGTACTTCCTGCCAGTGTGTTGTGTGTTTACCTATTTTTAAGTCATTTATGACTTTTAAGTCATTTAAGTCATTATGAAATACGCAGAAAGACATTTCAAAAGGATAAGATACAAATATAAAATTTTCTGCTCTTTAATGGGTTGTCATTTATACATATCCCTTCTTGGGAGTACATAAACCCTACATTGATTTAACCATTGCTGTATTGACGACATAGGAGTTGTTCCCATTATGTTGATTTTACAAACTGTTGGAAGACTGTGTGTGTAAAAATTAAATATCCTTATATACTTAATTGTACCAAAACAATGATTTACACCAATAGGCTGTGATGGGCTGGTTTTCCCATACTCTCAGTAGCACTAGATATTATCATTCTTTGAGCATCTTTTCATATGTATTGGTCATTCAGGCTTCTCTTCTGTGAATTAGCTTTTTTGTTTTTGCTTTTGTTTCTGTTTTAACTAGGATGTCTTTTTCTAATTAAATTATAATTATGTATTTTAGGTATTAATGTTTTCTTAATATGTTGCAAGGCCTTCATGATCCTGGGATTACTTAGGTTCCTGTATTTCCTTATGTTGTGCATTTATCATTGAGATACTAATCTATCTGGAATTTATTTGTAGGTATGACATGAGGCAAAATCTAACTTATTTTCCGTATGGATACTTTAATTTTCTATCACAGTGATTTGGGTATCTGTTTTGCATTCTTTTTCCACTTATTTGAAATGTGAACTATGTCATATACTAAACATATGAGAGATTTGTTACTCAACTACTGTATGTATTTTGTTGCTTTGATCTGTCTGCCAGAAACTTAGTGGTATGTTTAGATACCTCATAAGCCAGTACACTTTCACTATTCTACCTTCTTAAAAAGAGCTTGCCTGTTTACTTTGAAATTAGCTTGTTAATTGCAGCTACTCAGCAGGCCAAGGCAGGAGCGTCACTTGAGCCCAGGAGTTCAGGGCTGTAGTGTATAATGATCATGCCTGCGAATACCCACTGAACTCTAGTCTGGGAAACATAGGAAGACGCCGTGTCTGAAAAAAAGAGAGAAAAGAAAAAGAAACTGGCTTGCCCAGTCCAAAACGGGAAAAATGTCTCATTTTTACATTTGGATTACATTGAATTTATAAATTTGGAGAGAATGGAAATTTTAGAATGTGGTGCATCTACTGATTTTCATTCAAACCTTTTGTGTCCTTAAATATGATTTTATTGTTTTCTCTAGGTCTAGAAATTTAATTTCTCTAGATATGCTTTTTAATGTATTCATCAAAGTAATCTTTTTTCTTATTGGTTCTAGTTGTTTTTCTTTCTTTCTTTCGAGACGGAGTCTTGCTCTGTCGCTCAGGCTGGAGTGCAGTGGCACAATCTCAGCTTACTGCAACCTCCGCCTCCCGGGTTCAAGCAATTCTTGTGCCTCAGCCTCCCGAGTAGCTGGTATTACAGGCGCCTGCCACCATACCTGGCTAATTTTTGTAGTTTTAGTAGAGACAGGGTTTTGCCATGTTGGCCAGGTTGGTCTCGAATTCCTGACCTCAAATGATCCACCTGCCTCAGCCTCCCAAAGTACTGGGATTACAGGCGTGAGCCACTGCACCTGGCCTCTAGTTGTGTTTCATTTGATTCTCTTGGATTTCCTATACACACAGTTAGATGATCTGCAAACCAGTAGAGTTTCTTCCTAATTATGCGTATAGTTTTTTTTATGTGATTTAAAATTGTTTAGGATATCCAGGCAACAACAGCAGTATTCACATGTATCCCTGTCTTATTCTGATCTTTAAAGGGAACTTTTTTTTCTTATCTCTTTTTCGTTTTTTAATAAAAAATAAGGCTGAGCACTTTGGCTCATTCCTGTAATCCCAGTGCTTTGCGGGGCTGAGGCAGGAGGATCACTTGAGCCTAGGAGTTCAAGACAGCCTGGGCAACACAGTGAGACCCTGTCTCTACAAAAAAAATTTAAAAATTAGCTGGGCATGGTGCCACACGCCTGTAGTCCCAGCTACTTGGGAGGCTGAGATGGGAGTTTGCTTGAGCCTGGGAGGTCGAAGCTGTGGTGAACCATGATCATGCCACTACAGCCTGGGTGACAGAGCAAGACCCTGTCTCTAAATAAATAAATAAATAGATAAAAATTAAAAATGGAATATTTATAGTGTTTTAACACTAAGTACAATTTGTATTTGCTTTTGGTGTCTGAACTATATTCTAATTTACTTTTACTATTCAGATGTTCACATAGTTTCATCTTTCGTGAATCTTAAGAGATTTTTCGTTTTTTTTTTTGTTCTTGGATGTTCTTCCAGTGAATTCTTTTTTTTAATTTATTTTTTATTAAAATTTTTTTTTTTTGTAGACACAGGTCTCACTCTGTTGCCCATGCTGGTCTCAAACCCTTGGCCTCAAGCAATCCTCCTACCTCAGCCTCCCAAAGTGCTAGGATTACAGGGATGAGCCACTGCTCCTGGCCAAGATTTTCTTATGTAAAAGCAATGGTTAATTCCCAAAGTAGGCCAGGCACAGTGGTTCACACCTATAATCCCAGCACTTTTTTGGGAGGCTGAGGCAGGCAGATCATGAGGTCAGGAGTTCGAGACCAGCCTGACCAATGTGGGGAAACCCCATCTCTACTAAAAATACAAAAATTAGCCGGGTGTGGTTGGCACATTCCTGTAATCCCAGCTACTCGGGAAGCTGGGGCAGGAGAATCACTTGAACTCAGGAGTCGGAGGTTGCAGTGAGCGGAGATTGCACCACTGCACTCCAGCCTGGGTGACAGAACAAGACTCCGTCTCAAAAAAAAAAAAAAAAAAAATTCCCAAAGTAAAAACCTAATGATCATGGTTGATAATATTATTCTAATACATTTTAAAGTTGATAAGCTAGTATTTGGTTTAGGAATTTTATATCTATGTTTATAATTTATATTGCTTTGTAATTCTCTTCTCATGGCTTTTTTTTTTATTTTTTAGTTTTTGGAGACAGTCCCGCTCTGTCGCCCAGGCTGGAGTGCAGTGGCAGGATCTCGGCTCACTGCAGCCTCTGCCTCCTGGGTTCAAGTGATTCTCCTACCTCAGCTTCCTGAGTAGCTGGGACTACTCCCGCCACCACACCAGGCTGATTTTTGTGTTTTTAGTAGAGACGGGGTTTCACCATTTTGGCCAGGCTAGTCTCGAACTCCTGTTTTCAAGTGATTCACCTGCCTCGGCCTCCCAAAGTGCTTGGATTACAGGTGTGAGCCACTGCACCCAGCCTCTTATGTTATCTTAATTTTGTTTTGGTATCAGGGATTTGTTTTCTTGGAAAATATATTGGAAAAAAATGTATTGCTATGTTTTTAATGCCCTGGAATACTTTAAATAACATGAATTGAGAATGCCCTTATAATTTTTATTAGACCTTGTTAATGAAACTATTGGGGTCTTTATCTTTTGGGGATAAAGCATGGATTGCCCATTTAATTCTTTCTATGGTTATTGGTATAGAAAGGTTTTCTACAACTTCTTGAATCAAATTTAGGAATTTGTATTCTCCTCAGAAATCATTCATTTCACCTAGATTTTCAAATTTAATTGGCAAAGAGCAATCATCTCTTATTTTTAAAAATCTCTTTATCACTTGTGATTATATCCACTTCCTCATTCCTAATGTCGTATGTTTATTTTCTCTTTGATCAGACTTCCTAGAGGTTTTACAATTTTATTTGTTCTAAGAACCAGTACTGTTTTTATTTTTCAAATAATGTTTGATAGCTTCCTAATCTCTCAGTTTTTACTTTAACCTCCAAATCTAGTTATTGGTGCTCAGCTTCTCAGTGGTTAGAGGTGGGGGTATGTGTGTGGTTGTTTTACGTTTTGATTGCTAAGTTTTGGCCTTATGGTAGTCATCCAGGAAGAAGGACTTTTTGGAAGTTGGAATTTTCTTTGTGGCCTAATAAATGATTGGTTTTGTCAAAGCTTCATAGACATTTTAAAGAATGTGGGATCTCTGTTTTAAATTAAAATATTAAATTTTATTTATTTTTAAGAATTTAAGTAAGTTTATTTAATGGTGCCGTGCAATTCTGTAGCTTTAGTTTGGGGCTTCTTATTCTGTTGTTTTCTGAAAGAGACAGATTTTCCCATTTTGTTGTCTTCTAATAGAGCTAATCTTGTGTTCCTAACAATTTTTGCTCCATTTATTTATTTTGCTGCTATATTAGATTATTTTAAAGTTTTATGACTTTAAAAATTTATATATATATATATATATATATATATTTTTGAGATGGAGTCTCGCTCTGTCGCCCAGGCTGGAGTGCAGTGGTGTGATCTCGGCTCACTGCAACCTCCGCCTCCCAGGTTCAAGCATTCTCCTGCCTCAGCCTCCCAAGTAGCTGGGATTACAGGCGCATGCCACCATGCCCGGCTAATTTTTTGTATTTTTAGTAGAGATGACCAGGCTGTTGGCCAGGCTGGTCTCAAACCCCTGATCTCAGGTGATCCACCTGCCTCAACCTCCCAAAGTGCTGGGATGATGGGTGTGAGCTACTGCTCCCAGCCCTAATTTTTTTTTCCTCCTTATGATTTGGAAGTTCTGCGGCTATTCTTACACTGCTTGCTGGTGGTTATCTTTACATTGTCAAACTAGGATGTGTTTTTTTCATCTATTTCCTGTATTAAAATGAATATAAATTTATTCCCTAAGACCTTTAGCACACGTTTTGTTGTGATAATCATAGCCTAATTTCAGATTCTTAATTTTGCTATATTATACCAGTCATTTTCAAGGAACCAGTACAGATTTTTCTGTCTTTATTGCTCACCATTATATCTTAACCATTATGTCTTTATTTCTTGAACTGTCCATTTTGACTCACTGTTTTTATTTGACTGGATATTTTCCTCTAGGTTTTTGTATCAGTACCTGGGTGGCAGCTTGGGAAAGACAGCCCTCCTGTAGTCCCAGTTATTAGGGAGGCTGAGCGAAGAGGATCACCTGAGCCTGGGAGAACAAGGCTGCAGTGAGCTATGATTGTGCGGCTGCACTCCAGCCTGGGCAACAGAGCAAGACCCCATCTCTTAAAAAATAAAATAATAAATCTTAAAAAGAAAACATGGAAGGTCATGTCCTGAATGCTTTTGCCCTCAAAATGAATGAGAGTTTGGCTCTGTATAGAACTCTAGGATCATAATCCTTTTAACTGAAACTAATATTGCTCTATTCTTTTCCTTTATTTACTTCTTCCCAGTACAATATCCCAAAGTTTGAAATATTCAGGCAATGTTTCTCAGTGGTAGTAGTGTGTAGGATTGTCTCTGGTATATTAACTGATTACCTTGAGGGAGGGAAATAGGACAGAGAGGAAATGGAATAAATTCATTCTCTAAGTCAAGACCTTTGGCACACTTTCGTTCTGATAATCATAATCTAGGTTCCTGTTAATTCCCTAGCAGTTTTTTAAAGGAGTTTATCTACTGGCCCCACAAACCCATGTTTTTAAAGATAATCCTGACTTTCTGGATCTGTTGTTGTTTGCTTAAAGATTTTTGGTTTTGATAGGGGAAAACATGAAAAACTCAATTTGTATGTTAGCTAATTAATGATCTGATAAAGAATCCTCATAAAAATAATAGAATGTACATTGACTGATGGTAAAGTCATCTTGGTCCCTTCTCATGCATCTGACATACTTGTTACTTTGTTTTACAGGAATAGCGGGTTTTGCAGCAATTGTTGCATATGGATTATATAAACTGAAGAGCAGGGGAAATACTAAAATGTCCATTCATCTGATCCACATGCGTGTGGCAGCCCAAGGCTTTGTTGTAGGAGCAATGACTGTTGGTAGGTTCCTATAGGAAATTTCAAATTTTCGTTTCTCATTAAGGTATTTCTTTACAAACAAAATAGGTAAATATTTTTAGCTGACCTTTTAGCAGTTGGAGAATATCACTTATACTCATTTTCATGTAAAAAATGAATTAATGAAGATAATTCAAGTAGTGACATAGTTTTTCTATGATATATCCTACTAAGATTTTAAAGAAAAAAAAAATCCTGTCAATCACTGAGTTTATAATTTCATTGAAGAGCCTAGACATGTAATTGGGGTTGATAGTAACATCTGTTATCTGGGAGAGACATACAATTGCTATTTTATTGTGTTTTTAAAGGAGAGATTCTTAAAGTTTAGGTATTACATGCTTCTTCTATTGGCTTTATAATTCATTGACTTTATCTGGTATTATGTAGCAAGAGTGATTCCTTTCAAAGTTACCAGATAAATATTGATTGTTCTTTCAAAGAAATATTGTAACATGTGAAGTAGCCATACCAGCCCTTTGCTACTTGGGAAACTACTGTATGTAACAAGAGTTTTAGAGATTTAAGATGTTTAAGAAGGCAAGAGTATAAGCTTCCTAGGGTCTTATTCCCCTTGTAAATATTCCATGCTAGCAGTGGTGCTACTTTCAGCTATTTTATGAACTGGTTTTTATTTTTGAATATTTAAGAAAATACTGAAATGCTTAACTAGCATTCTTTTTCTTTAGGTATGGGCTATTCCATGTATCGGGAATTCTGGGCAAAACCTAAGCCTTAGAAGAAGAGATGCTGTCTTGGTCTTGTTGGAGGAGCTTGCTTTAGTTAGATGTCTTATTATTAAAGTTACCTATTATTGTTGGAAATAAACTAATTTGTATGGGTTTAGATGGTAACATGGCATTTTGAATATTGGCTTCCTTTCTTGCAGGCTTGATTTGCTTGGTGACCGAATTACTAGTGACTAGTTTACTAACTAGGTCATTCAAGGAAGTCAAGTTAACTTAAACATGTCACCTAAATGCACTTGATGGTGTTGAAATGTCCACCTTCTTAAATTTTTAAGATGAACTTAGTTCTAAAGAAGATAACAGGCCAATCCTGAAGGTACTCCCTGTTTGCTGCAGAATGTCAGATATTTTGGATGTTGCATAAGAGTCCTATTTGCCCCAGTTAATTCAACTTTTGTCTGCCTGTTTTGTGGACTGGCTGGCTCTGTTAGAACTCTGTCCAAAAAGTGCATGGAATATAACTTGTAAAGCTTCCCACAATTGACAATATATATGCATGTGTTTAAACCAAATCCAGAAAGCTTAAACAATAGAGCTGCATAATAGTATTTATTAAAGAATCACAACTGTAAACATGAGAATAATTTAAGGATTCTAGTTTAGTTTTTTGTAATTGCAAATTATATTTTTGCTGCTGATATATTAGAATAATTTTTAAATGTCATCTTGAAATAGAAATATGTATTTTAAGCACTCACGCAAAGGTAAATGAACACGTTTTAAATGTGTGTGTTGCTAATTTTTTCCATAAGAATTGTAAACATTGAACTGAACAAATTACCTATAATGGATTTGGTTAATGACTTATGAGCAAGCTGGTTTGGCCAGACAGTATACCCAAACTTTTATATAATATACAGAAGGCTATCACACTTGTGAAATTCTCTTGTCTAATCTGAATTTGCATTCCATGGTGTTAACATGGTATATGTATTGTTATTAAAGTAAGTGACCCATGTCAAATGTCTTTTATTTATTTCATGAGGAAAAGCTTTCTGTAGAGGAACAAATTTGAGAACAAGTTTCAGGAAATTGTCTTTTTTGTTGTTGTTCTCTAATCATGTTCTCCTTTCTGTTTCAACGATTTTAAAAATATTTTACTTTATGGTATGTTTTATTTTTTTTCCTTTTGTGGGTAATTTTTGTTCTATTGATTATCCATATAAATTTTTTTTTTTTTTTTTTGAGACGGAGTTATTCTCTGTCATCTTGGCTGGCGTGCAGTGGCACGATCTTGGCTCACTGCAACTTCCATCCCCCAGGTTCAAGTGATTCTCTTGCCTCAGCCTCCTGAGTAGCTGTGATTACAGGCATGCACCAACATGCCTGGCTAATTTTTGTATATTTAGTAGAGACGAGGTTTCACCATGTTGGCCAGGCTGATCTTGAATTCCTGACCTCAGGTTATCCACCTGCCTCGGCCTCCCAAAGTGCTAGGATTACAGGCGTGAGCCACCACGCCCAGCTGATTATCCATATAATTATAACACTCTTCTATTTATTTTCAGTCACCAATAATTCCTTTTGAGCAATATTTAAGCCTAGCATATTTCTTCCTTCCCTCCTCCTCTACTAACCAGTTCTGGTCGATATATTATTGGATTTTACTCTTATACTGTTTGTTTGTTTGTTTGTTTGTTTATTTTGAGACAGAGTCTTGCTCTGTTGCTGAGGCTGGAGTACAGTGGTGTGATCTGAGCTCACGGCACCCTCCACCTCCTAGCTTCGTGCGATTCTGATGCTTCAACCTTCCGAGTAGCTGGGATTACAGGCATGCGCCACCATGTCGGGCTAATTTTTGTGTTTTTAGTAAAGGCGAGGTTTCACCATGTTGGATGATCTTGAACTCCTGGCTTCAAGAGATCTATCTGCCTCAGCCTCCCAAAGTGCTGGGATTACAAGCATAATCCACCACACCTGACCTACTTTTGTATGTTAAATGTGATTATACTTCTCTTTGACTTGTCAGCTTAGCTTTAGCTGATACACTCTGGTGCCCAACTATTATTGTATCAGTGAACTTCCACTTTCTTTTCCTTTTCTCTCAATTTTTGTTGTATCATTCCTACCTTGTGAGGACATATAATATTTACATTCTGTTGTCATCCTCACATTTCTTAGTTCCACAGTTTAAATGTATTTGAAACTCAAAACATTCCCATTAATCTCTTGGTCAGCTGAAATTAATGATTTAATAGTTTCCTTAAAAAAGACTCATGGAACAATTTCCCTAAATTTTTGCCATGTCAAATATGTTTATCTGTAGCCTTTACACAGTAAAAACAATTTGGCTAGATAATACAATTCTCAGTTCATATTTTTCTTTGGAATATTAAAGTATTGCTATAGAGAAGCCTAAAGTCATGTGACATTTTTCTTACATAAGTGATTTGATTTTTTGCTTGGCTGCTCAAATTATTCCTTTATCAAGTCCAATAACTCTAACAGGTCTTGGTATTGACCTTTCTGGGTCAGTTTTCACTACATTTTCAGAAAATTTTCATTCTATTTAATAGATGAATACTCTTGGTTTTGTTTAAATAACTAATTTGAGAGTCATTGATCTAGACAAATGGCAGAGGATAGGGGGAGAAGAACAAGTGAAGGGTTAAGATGTTAATGAGTGTTCATGAGAAATTTGTGGGATTGTGTGCCTGAAAAGAATGGTAAATGGTACATTAGGTGGTTCAAGTGGATGTGATACTATTTTTTATTGAATGAGAGCTGGGTTCATGGTTCTGCCACTCCTAACCAAGCAGCCATGGTTTCTTATCTATAAAATGGGGACAGTATCAGTGGCGTAGGGTTGTTGGGATTAAATACAATACTGACTATAAAGGGCTTACTTAGCATAGCACCCAGTGCATTAGTAAGCTCAATAAATGGTTGCTGTTTCCATTATTACTGTGTTAACTGTGGGAATGCAGTAGCACAGGAGACACATGAGCCTTGCTTTCAGAATTTATAGTCTAGCAGGGAAGGCTGGCATTAAATAAGTGATTACAATTGTAGGGGCCAAGGGAAAACTTTACCTTCACCCTCTGAAGGTTTACTGAAAAATCAACTGACAAAAGGCAGATTATTAGGAGAAAAAACATGCAATTATTTTAATGTGTATATCACAGGGGAATGGCATAATGACTACTCAGTAACCCAATAGGGTACAGATGTTTATATATCCTTCTTCATAGGGGAAGGGGAGATGGAGGAAATGTGGCAATTTGAGGGATAATGAGTTATTTTTAGGGGGATTCAGTGGACTTAAAGAACATACGATGGCCTAAGACAAAGTCTGTTTGGCCTACAGGGCAGATAATAGTTTGTGACAAGTCTGTCCAGATATGTTGACAGATTTGTCTCTCTTCCTGCAATATGAATTAAACTAATGAAAACTCCGTGCCGGTGCAGTGGCTCACACCTGTAATCCCAGCACTTCGGGAGGCCGAGGCAGGCGGATCACTTGAGGTCAGGAGTTTGAGACCAGCCTGGCCAACATGGTGAAACCCCCTCTCTACTAAAAAAAATACAAAAATTAGCCGGGCATGGTGGCATGCACCTGTAGTCCCAGCTACTCATGAGGCTGAGGTGGGAGAATTGCTTGAACCTAGGAGATCACGCCACTGCACTCCAGTTTGAGCAACAGAGCGAGACTCCATCTCAAAAAAAAAAAAAAACAAAAAACGGAAAGGACCAGGAGTAATTTTCCCCCCGCCTTTGGCAGGTCTAGACTTTAAGCAGATAAGGAAACTTCACAGAACAGCTTCATGGCGGGGAGGGGGTAGGAGGTCAGAGAGACCTTGAGGCTGCATCTTCAGTCCAGCATGTCAAAGCATCGTATTTTGGGGTATTTGTTTCTGAGTCCCAACACAATAAAGGATGATAATTATTAGGTAGAGGATGCAACAGGAACATCCGGCTGGGGGAACCTAACCCAGGGTTGGGGTTGGAGAAATTCTCCCTGAGGAAACAATGTTCTACTTTACGGAGATAGTATGTTGATTTTTCATTGAGAGTTAGAGTCCATGGCTTAATGTTGGATGTTATTGGAGTGTTGGTGTGTGTGATTGCTTCCATGCCTCTCCTCCAGTTGTCTGAGGGCATGATGGCCTTTCTCATCCAAAGCACGTGGCACACATAAGTGTTCAGCGTTTGTTGAATTAATTAGAATTAAAAGGTTTGGGGCTTCTACATTCAGGATCCTACTGTCCCTAGAAGGTATGTATTTCTAGTTACTGAACAACAGTGACATCTGGTGGTAAGAGTTGGAATTTGACTCCACACTTAAAAGCCCCCTAAATAACACTCGACTTCTGAATCACAGACAGATTTTTGGAGTGGAAGGAGTATTGGTCATGTAGGCCATGTCTCTTGCCTCAGAGATGAGGAACTGCTGCTCAGTTTCAGGGACTTGAAATTTAGGTTGTATCCCCATGTACATCTATAGTTTTATCACATCATAACTACCAGACCAGAACAACACTGAATGAACATAAAGTATTTTAAAGTTCTCATGTCAGAGTGGAACTGCCAAATATTATTTATACACTTGGTCCCATTTGAAAGCTGTTTGAATAGAATAGGGAAATTTGAGAGAGGCAGCTGGGACATGCACCCTGACTGGTTTGCTACTTTTATCAGTGAATGATTTACCTGATATGAGTTCATGGAAGAACTAACACTGCTCATACAATCTAGTTTCCTTGCCTACTTCCCCCTTAGTCACTGAACGAAGCAAAAGAAAGAATTTGTTTGTAGCAAGACAAAAGTTAGAAAAATTTCCCCCTGAATTCAGCAGTAATAAGTGAGTCTACGGTGGAGGCCGGTGTCCAGTTGATCCCCTCAGAGAAACCTAAGAACAGGTCCTTGCAGTAGTATTCTGAGCTTCTTACAACGTTGGTGTTAGGTCTTTTCCTATCCTGAATGCAACTCTGAAGTGTTAGGACTGACTAAAATTTTGCCATCACATCTTTGAGTTATGGTCCTTACCTAATCTCACCTTGTCTACAACCCTATCTGTTGTCTTCCCCACAGTGCCTCTTCCTAGCTCACTCATTTCTGTCAATGATAACCCCATCTCCCGCTGTCATCCCCTGAGCTCAAACCTCCTGGGCTCAAGTGATCTTCCCACCACAGCTCCCCAGGTAGTTGGACTACGGGCATGGGCCGCCACACCCAGCTGATATTTGTATTTTTTGTAGAGATGGGATTTCACCATGTTGGTCAGGCTGGTCTCAACCTCCTGAGCCCAAGTGATCTGCCTGCCTCAGCCTCCCAAAGTGCTGGGGTTACAGGCATGAGCCACTGTGCCTGGCTTATATATATGTGTTTTTTAATTGAGACTGGGTCTTGCTCTGTCGCCCAGGCTGGAGTGCAGTGGCATGATCATAACTCACTGCAGCTCTGTCTCCTGAGCTCAAGCAATTCTGCCTCAGCCTCCTGAGTAGCTGGAACTATAGGTGCACACCACCACACCTAGCTAATTGTTTCAGCCTTTATAGAAAGGAAGCTGAAGAGATTCCCACATACAAATGGTCTTTACTGTGGAAGTGGTAAATTAAATACTATTAAGTGCACAAGGCATTGCGGACCTAGTTAATGAGAGAAATGAATAATTACTAGGATCAGGTGACTCACCCAAATGTTTTGAAAGACTATGATGTGAGCCAAGAATGGAAATGAGAAATTTGAGGATAAAATAAATATATTAGCAACCTTGTGCTGAAGGCTTGGTGGAGAGCCAGGGTAGATCTCATCTATCAGAGAGGTCCCTTGGAGCTAAGGATTGACGAATCTTGGCAGAACATTGAGTTTTCTAATAAAGTCAACATATGATGAGTGGGACCACATCTATACAAACACATCTTAGACAAAATAGTTCCGTGGATAAAATAAGATTGACTGTAGCCAAATGGTGTTAAGCTAAACACAAAATGTGCTGGAGGACTCTGGGAGGCTAGTAGCTACCAAAGCCCAAATCCATGGCAAGTTGTACAGGCAGAACTTCCAGCACAAAGGGGCTTGAACCTGGAGAAAATGAACAATTTTTTTTTTTTTTTTTTTTTTGAGACCGAGTCTCGCTCTGTCGCCCAGGCTGGAGTGCAGTGGCGGGATCTCGGCTCACTGCAAGCTCCGCCTCCCGGGTTCACGCCATTCTCCTGCCTCAGCCTCCCAAGTAGCTGGGACTACAGGCGCCCGCCACTACGCCCGGCTAATTTTTTGTAGAAAATGAACAATTTTTATCTATGTAGGGCTCCTGATTGTGAAGTGGAATAATTTAATAAGGCTTAACCCTGGGCCAAAAATACCCTCTAGGCAGTTTGTTTCTGTTTGTTCTGAATCCATGCTCACAATATCTTTCTGATGACTCTTTTGGCTTTGTGGGTGCCTGATGCTGGGAAGGGAGAGTCTCTGGACATGGGTCACAACCCACAGATATAAACGAGAGACTTAGTGTTCCTGGTTTGTATGTCAGTTACACGTGACTGGTGTAAGTCTAGCCCCAAGAGATACTCATGGTATAATAACTAAATTGGATTTGGGGCCTGCAAAGCTGAGGTCTAGAATGAGAGCTGTGAAATGGAGAGAGCCAAATGAGGCCTTGGTTTTAAGCTGTAGCAGAACTTACTTCCATTACCAGGCAAAACAGCTAAATCTGTAGTAATTAATATATGTGACTACTAAAATAATAAAGATAACTGAAGAGAATTTCACATTTTACAAAGCACTTTCATGACCTATTTGATTATCATGATAATAAAGGTACTATTACCGTTTTAAGAAGAAAGTTGAGGTTTGTGACTTGACTAATGAGGTCAAAACTCAGGTATTCCCACTTCTGACTTTGTTCAATTCATTTTTGTTTCTCATAGTAAGAGTAGGGCCACTGTTTATGTTATGTTTACTTATTGGTGGGAGAGAGAATTTCAGTGATGGGAAATATATTTGGTGACTATTATCATTAAGATAAATAAGCATGGGTAAAAGTCCCACTTTAAAGTTGGAACTACATGGAACTGTGGGGAGAACCTAATTTAGGGATTAGGAAAAAAAGCCATTACACCCACACAAGTATGCACAGCTGATTTTTAAAACCTTTATTGTGGTAAATATACATATAAAAATTACCATTTTAACCATTTTTAAGTGTACAATACAGTGGAACTAAGTATATTCAAAATGCTATGTAACCATCACCACCATCCACCTCTAAAGTCTTTTCATCAGCCCAAACAGAAACTCCATGCCCTTTAAGAATAACTTCTGGTTGGATGTGGTGGCTCACACCTATAATCCTAGCACTTTGGGAGGTCAAGGCAGATCGCTTGAGCCCAGGAGTTCGAGATCAACCTGGGCAACATGGCGAAACACCATCTCTACAAAAAATACAAAAATTAGCTCGGTGTGGTGGTGCGAGCCTGTGGTCCCAACTACTTGGGATGCTAAGGTGGGAAGATAACCTGAGCCCAGGTGGTTGAGGCTGTAGTGAGCTGTCATTGCACGACTGCATTCCAGCCTGGGCGATAGAGCGAGACCCTGTCTCAAAAACAAACAAAAACCCCCAAACCTCTCTACTTGCCCCGTTCTTCCACTCCCTAGCATCCTCTATTCTACTTTCTGTCTCTATGAATTTGTTCATTCTAGGTACCTAATATACATGGAATCGTACAATATTTGCCATTTTGTGTCTGGCTTATTTCACTTAGCATAATGTTTTCAAGGTTCATCCAGAATTCAGAATTTCATTCTTTTCTAAGGCTGAATATTCTGTGGAGTATATATACCACCTTTTGTTTACTCATTCATCTGTTGAAGGTTGCTTGGGTTGTTTCTACCTTCTGGCTATCGTGAATAATGCTGCTATGAACACTGGCATACAATTACCTGTTTGAGTCCCTTCTTTATTTTTTATTATTACTTTTTTTGTAGAGACAAGGTCTCGCTATGGTGACCAGGCTGGTCTCGAGTTCCTGGCCTCAAGCAGTCCTCTACCTCAGCCTCCCAAAGGGCTGGGATTACAGGCATGAGACACTGTGTCTGGCCAAGTCCCTTCTTTCAAATCTTTCGGGCATATATTTAGAAGTGGAATTGTAAATCATACGGTAATTCAATGTTTAACTTTTTGAGGAACCACCAAACTGTTTTCTACAGTGGATATACCATTTTACATTCCCACTAGCTCTACATAAGGGTTCCAAATTCTTCACATCCTGGCAAACACTTGTTATTTTCCATTTTTTGGATAATATCCATCCTAATGGGTGTGAAATGGTATCTCGTGGTTTTGGTTTGCATTTCTCTAATGGTTAGTGATGTTGGGCATGTTTTCATGTGCTTATTTGCCATTTGTATATCTTCTTTGGATTAATGTCTATTGAAGTCCTTTGCCCATTTTTGAATTGGGTTTTGTTGTTGAGATAGCTAACCTGATTTTTGACAAAGGTGCAAAAGCAATTCAATGGAGGAAGCATAGCTTTCCAACAAATGGTGCTGGAACAACTGGACACCATAGGCAAAAAAGCAAAAAAGAACCTTGATCTAAATTTCATACCTTTATATAAAAATTACATCAAAATAAATCATGGGCATAAAACTCTAACACTTTTATAAAAATGGGGGGAAATCTTTGGGACCCAGGGCTAGGCAAAGAGTTCTTTCTTAGACTTGAAATCAAAAGCACAATCCATTAAAGAAGGAATTGATAAATTGGACCTTGTCAAAATCAAAGCCTTTTGTTCTGTGAAAGCCCAAGTGAAGAGGATTAAAAGATGAACTACAGATTCGGAGAAAGTATTTGCAAACTACGTATCCAACAACGGACTAGTATATAGAATATATAAAGAATTCTCAAAACTCGACAGTTAGAAATTGGGCAAAAGACATGAACAGACACTTCACCAAAGAAAATATACAGATGACAAATAAGCACATGAAAAAGATGTTCAATATCATTATCCGTCACGTACATTAGAACCACAATGATATCACTACACACCTATTAAAATGACTAAAATAAAAATAGTGACATCAAATGCTGGCAAGGATGTGAAGAAACTGTGTCACTTAAACATTTCTGGTAAGAATGTAAAGTGGAACAGTCACTCTGGAAAACAGGTTTGGCAATTTCTTCTAAAACTAGATATGCAGTTACCATACTACACAGCAATTGCACTCTTGGGCATTTATTCCATAGGAATGAAAACTTATGTTCACACAAAAACCTATACATGAATGTTTATAGCAGCTGAATCATAATTGCTCCTAACTGGAAACAACCCAGATGTCTTTCAGTGGGTAAATGGTTAAACAAACTGGTACATTCATACTAGAACTACTCAGCAATAAAAAGGAATGGATTATTGATACACACAACAACTTGGATGAATCTCCAAGGAATTGTTCTGAGTAAAAAAAAAAAAAAATCCATCCTAAAAAGTGTACATGCTGAGTTATTTCATTTATATAACATTTTTGAAATGACAAAATTTTAGAAATGGAGGGCAGACTGGTGGTTGTAAAGGGTTAGGGACTAGGGCAGGAGGAGGGAGGGAAGTGTACATAGTCATAAAATCACAACAGAGAGATCCTTGTGATAGTATTTGGTATCTTTTTTTTTTTTTGAGACAGAGTCTCACTCTTGTCGCCCAGGCTGGAGTGTAATGGCGCGATCTCAGCTCACTGCAACCTCCACTTCCTGAGTTCAAGCGATTCTCATGCCTCAGCCTCCCAAGTAGCTGGGATTACAGGCAAGCACCACTATGCCTGGCTAATTTTTGTTATTTTTAGTAGATATAGGATTTTGCCATGTTGACCAGGCTGGTCTTGAACTCCTGGCCTCAAGTGATCTGCCTGCCTCAGCATCCCAAAATGCTGGGATTATAGGCGTGCATGAGTCACCATGCCCGGCTAGTATTTGATATCTTGATGGTCATGGATACACAAACTGACACGTGATAAATCAAAAGAAAAGTACAGTTAAATTGGAGAAATCTAAGAGGAGTAGGTTGTATCGATGTCAATATCCTGGTTGTAATATTATACTAAAGTTCTGCAAAATATCATTGTGGAGAACTGGAAAAGTATACAGGGGATCTCTATTATTTTTTACAACTGCATGTGATTCTATAAAAATCTCAATATAATTTCAAATTAAAAAGCAAAAAACAAAGGGCAGTGTCCTACAGATACTTCTGGCTAGAGAAACAAAGTGGGCTGGAATTAACAAACATCTGTATACTGTACATGAGGAAATACTGGTGACCCAGATTGGATTCGCCAGCTTCTTGGATGATAAAATGTCAAGCTTATAAACTAAAGAAAATTCTCAAAAGAATTTTGGGCAGAAAAAAAAAATGGCATGAGAGCCTTAGTGGTGACCGTGGAAAAGTAACAAACCTAGAGGAAAATCATCCCTGCTTTTTAAAAAATGGGTTACTGCAAAAATGATATCCTCGTCAAAAATAATCCTTGGATTGCTGGAGCAAATGTTACCCCTTTCCCAAACTTTCTAATACATACATTCTAGAATGTCGGTTCTGAAATTCTCTTGCATCCTTAATTTTCTCACAGCATGTTCTTATTTTAATGAAAACCTGGCTTTCTGCTAGGATCCATGCTTTCCAGAAGCCCTCTAAGTAGACCTGGCTATTCCTTTTCCTATGCCACATAGTCCCATCGTGGTCATGAGGCAAACGAATGATACTCCCCACTACACACACCATTTAAAAAAAACCCTAATCCTTTGAGGCTCACATCTACCTGAATCCTACTCTTTATCCTGTCTCTCTTTGCTGCCACCTGTATATTATACGTCTCCCACCCTCAGCTCACCAGGCAGCAATTGGAGACCAACGGGAAAGATCCATTTTTCCTTTATCAGGAAACTTCGGGTTTATACCTGCAGTGCTGATGGCAGTCTAGTGCCGTATCTTATGTATGCATGTCTATGGGATGGGTATTCATTCACCTTATGAGGAAAAAAAATAGAAAAACAACTGCCAAGGTTTTCAAATTATGAAGTCCTGGATAAATATTTGGGCAGGAGCTGTGGCTCACGCCTGTAATCCCGGCACTTTAGGAGGCCAAGGTGGGCGGATCACCTGAGGTCAGGAGTTCAAGACCAGCCTGGTCAACATGGTGAAACCCCGTCTCCACTAAAAATAAAAAAATTAGCCAGGTGTGGTGGCGGGTGCCTGTAATCCCAGCTACTCAGGAGGCTGAGGCAGGAGAATCGCTTGAACCTGGGAAATGGAGGTTGCAATGAGCTGAGATCGCACCACTGCACTCCAGCCTGGGCGACACAGCGAGACTCTATCATAGATAGATAGATAGATTAGATAGATAGATAGATAGAAAGAAATCTCCCTTGAATCATCTTTCCTAGAAATTTGCCTCCCACCCCCATATTGCCCTGAAATATAGTAGTGTCTTACATTGGAAGGTGCCATTTAAAAAAAAAAAAACAAGTATTTTCCTTTATGAAAATAAACGATGTTCATTATTTTAAAAATTCTCTAAAGTGTAAAAATAAAAACACAGCACTGCTATTCCACCACCCAAATATAACCACTTTTAATATTTCTATTTCGGTCTTGTTTTAGTGCCTAGTTTGAAATAAACACAACTTTATTTATTTAGCATTGCTATATTGCGTCCTGCTTCCTTCACTCACCATCATAACATGGCCTTTCCCCACACTGTTTTACATTTTTCAAATATATCTGAATGGCTACTTTAAATTTCATGGTGAGATCGTTCGCTTTTTAACTCCCCAACAGGAGAGCGGAATGGGCATCTCTGTGCAGAACGTTTGGTCCACAAAACTTTTTTAAAAATATACTCCAGAAGATTTAAAATCTCCAGCGCACTCGAGATCGTGCTCGCTTGGATCCAGCCCAGCGCGCCATCAGCGCCTCTGTCACTTTCAGAACTCTTGGCGCCCCCTCGGCCCCCGTAGAGTAGCGTTGAAAACGCGCAAGTGACGTCGCTTGTTTCCCTGGTGACGGTTGCCAGGGCAGCGCGTGTCGGCGTCCGGAGGAGGTGACCTAGCCGCCGCGGTCCTAGAAGGGAGAAGTGGAGAGAGACCGCTGTAAGTGCCGGGGAGAGCGGAAGGGCCCGGGCCGGAGCTGGGAAAGCCCGCAGCTGCCGGGGGCGCGGAACCGAGCCCGAGCGCAACCCCAGCCCGAGCGCGCTGCCACTGGCCGGGCGCTCACCGCGTGCTGGGCGCCCAGCGAGGACTCTTCCCCTTCGTCCTTTGAATCTTCACACACAGCCCTCTTCTAACCCAGGCAGACGCTTATTTTCCATGCAGTACATGGGTTAATGAGGCGCAGAGGGTGGGTCGCCTGCCCCAAAGTCATAGCGTAGATGGCACAGTCAGAACTCGAACTCAGGTCCGCCTGACAAGCGCTGTTTGCTGGGCCTCTGCCACTGGGCCCTCTCGCACCGCACTGAAAGATGCGACCCGACGGCGTGCACTTCCGCATCTCCCAGTTCCCCTTCCAGGCCCAGCCCCCACAGGACTGGGGACTCGCAAGAGGGAGTTCCCCTCCAAGCCCGGAGTCCAGCCCTGAGAACCAGAGCATCACCCCGCTCCCATCCCAAACCCATCCCTACGAAGATGCTAGCAGTGCACAGAGCGCCAAACTAGGCATCCGTGGGCGGCCTCCCCACACCTCCAGGCCCCTAGACTGTTGTTGAGAATACTCGAAAAGAACACAGTAAAAGAAAAGAAGAAAGAGAAGGAGAGGGGAAGAGAAAAACAATGAAAAAAGTGGCAGGCCGATGGGGCAAGGGGTCTCAATCCTTCCTCACTGGTCCCTGTCACCTATGGTCCCATATCCTGTGGGATCTTGCTTCCTCATAGGACTCCAGAGTGCATGCCACTCTTCCTACTCCCTGGCTCTAAGTCCTACCTGAGCCAAGAGTTCTTTCCATGCAGCTCTAGCCTTTACTTTATTTTTTTTATTATTACTTTTTTTTTTTTTTTTTTTTTTTGACGGAGTCTCGCTCTATCGCCCAGGCTGGAGTGCAGTAGCGCGATCTTGGCTCATTGCAACCTCTGCCTCCCAGGTTCAAGCGATTCTCCTGCCTTGGGCTCGAGTAGCTGGGATTACAGGCGCCCGCCACCATGCCTGGCTAATTTTGGTATTTTTAGTAGAGATGGGGTTTCACCATGTTGGCCAGGCTGGTCTCAAACTCCTGACCTCAGGTGATCCACCCACCTCAGCCTCCCAAAGTTTTGGGATTACACGCATGAGCCACCACGCCCGGCTTAGCCTTTACTTTTAAAAGAAAATAGACTTAAAGCAGATTTTTAGAAGCATTAAACAAAAAACAGTTCCTTTATGTATTCCGTATTCCCATTTCCTCTGTTGTTAACATCTTACACATTGCATTGGTGTGGTACATTTGTTATCATTGATACAACTATACTGGTATGTTATTACTAACTAAAGTCCATAGTTTACATTAGAGTTCATCTGTTGTTGTTGTTGCTGCTGCTGTATTGAGACAGGGTCTCACTTTGTCACCCAGGCTGGAGTGCGGTGGCATGATCATGGCTCACAGTAGCCTCCAACCCCTGGGCTCAAGCAATCCTCCCACCTCAGCCTCCTGAGTAACTGGGAACACAGGCACATGCCACCATGCCCAGCTAATTTTTTTATTTTTTGTAAAGCTATGGTCTTGCTATGTTGCCCAAGCTGGTCTCAAACTCCTGGCCTCAAGTGGTCCTCCCACCTTGGCTTCGTAGAGTGTTGAGATTACAGGTGTGAGTCATCACACCTGGCCAGTGTTCATTGCTTAAGGTTGCACAGGTCTACAAGTTTTGCTAAATGTGTAATGCTGTGTATCCACCAGTAAAGTATACAGAACAGTTTCACCTCCCCAAAAACCCCCTAGGCTTTACTGTTCATTGTTCCTTCCCACCAACCCCTGGAAACCACTGATATTTTTCATTTAGAAGGGATTTACAATCACTGGTATCTTTTACTTCTCTGTAATTTTGCCTTTTTCAGAATATTATACAGTTTGCAATTATACAGCATGTAGCCTTTTCAGACCGGCTTCTTCACTTAACAATACACATTTAGGTTTCTTTCATGTCTTTTCGTGGCGTGATAGCTCATTTCTTTTCATCACTGAATAATATTCACCGGTATGAGTGTACCAGGTTATCTACTCACCTATTGAAGTACATCTTGTTTTTTTCTCATTTTTGGTAATTATGAATAAAGTTATTGAGTCCAGAATTGTGGGTTCTTGGTCTCACTGACTTCAAGAACAAAGCCGCAGACCCTCGCGGTGAGTGTTATTACAGTTCTTAAAGGTGGCGTGTCTGGAGTTTGTTTCTTCCTTCTGATGTCAAGATGTGTTCAGAGTTTCTTCCTTTTGGTGGGTTCATGGTCTCGCTGGCTCAGGAGTGAAGCTGCAGACCTTCGCGGTGAGTGTTACAGCTCTTAGGGTGGTGCGTCTGGAGTTGTTCATTCCTCCTGGTGGGTTCGTGGTCTTGCTGGCTTCAGGAGTGAAGCTGCAGACCTTCACGGTGAGTGTTACAGCTCATAAAAGCAGTGTGGACCCAAAGAGTGAGCAGTAGCAAGATTTAGTGCAAAGAGCAAAAGAACAAAGCTTCAACAGTGTGGAAGGGGACCTCAGCAGGTTGCCACTGCTGCCTGGGGCAGCCTGCTTTTATTCTCTTATCTGGCCCCACCCACATCCTGCTGATTGGTCCATTTTACAGAGAGCCCATTGGTCTGTTTTACAGAGAGCTGATTGGTCCGTTTTGACAGGGTGCTGATTGGTGCATTTACAATTGCTGAGCTAGACACAAAAGTTTTCCACTTCCCCACTAGATCAACTAGATACAGAATGTCAATTGGTGCATTTACAAACCTTGAGCTAGATACAGAGTGCCGATTGGTGTATTCACAATCCCTTAGCTAGACATAAAGATTCTCAAAGTCCCCACCAGATTAGCTAGATACAGAGTGCCGATTGGTGCATTCACAAACCCTGAGCTAGACATAGGGTGCTGATTGGTGTGTTTACAAACCTTGAGCTAGATACAGAGTGCTGATTGGTGCACTCACAATCCCTTAGCTAGACACAAAGGTTCTCCAAGTCCCCACTAGACTCAGGAGCCCAGCTAGGTTCACCCAGTGGATCCTGCACCAGGGCCCCAGGCGGAGGTGCCGGCCAGTCCCGCTGTGTGCCCGCACTCCTCAGCCCTTGGGCTTTTGATGGGACCAGGTGCTGCGGAGCAGGGGGTGGCGCTCGTTGGGGAGGCTGGGGCGCGCAGGAGCCCACGGTGGCAGGGGGAGGCTCAGGCATGGCGGGCTGCCGGTCCCCAGCCCTGCCCTGCGGGGAGGCAGCTAAGGCCCCGTGAGAAATTGAGCACAGCAGCTGCTGGCCCAGGTGCTAAGCTCCTCACTGCCAGGGGCTTGCGGCCAGCCGGCTGCTTGGAGTGTGGGCCTGCGGAGCCCACACCCACCCAGAACCCTCACTGGCCGGCAAGCGCTGCGCGCAGCCCCAGTTCTCACCGGCACCTCTCACTCCACACCTGCCTGCAAGCTGAGGGAGCCAGCTCCGGCCTTGGCCAGCCCAGAGAGGGTCTCCCACAGTGCAGCAGCAGGCTGAAGGGCTCCTCAAGCACCGCCAGAGTGGGCGCCAAGGCCGAGGAGGTGCCCAGAGTGAGCGAGGGCTGCGAGGGCTGCCAGCATGCTGTCACCTCTCACTATGAACATTTCATGTGCAGGTTTTTGTGTGGATATATTGTTAAACTCATTTAGGTAAATATGATCACTGGATCATATGGCAAGACTGTTTAGCTTTGAAAAAGACTACCCAATTGTCTTGCAAAGTGGCTTTTCCATTTTGCATCCCCACCAGCAATAAATAGAAATTCTTGTTGCTTCACATTCTTGCCATCATTTGATGTTGTCAATGTTTTGGATTCTAGCCATTCTAATAGGTATGTAATGGTATCTCATTTTTGTTTTAATTTGCAATTTCCTGATTACATATGATGCTGAACATCTTTTCATATGTCTATTTGCCATCCATATTTCTTTTTTGTTGAGGAGTTTGTTCAGATCTTTTGCCCACTTTTCTTTTTTTTCTTTTTTTGAAACGGCGTTTCACTCTTGTTGCCCAGACTGGAGTGCAATGGCATGATCTCGGCTCACTGCAACCTCCACCTCCCAGGTTCAAGCAATTCTCCTGCCTCAGCCTCCTGAGTAGCTGGGATTACAGGCTCCTGCCACCACGCCCAGCTAATTTTTATATTTTTAGTCGACACAGGGTTTAACCATGTTGGCCAGACTGGTCTGGAACTCCCAACCTCAGGTGATCCACCCACCTCAGCCTCCCAAAGTGCTGGGATTACAGGCATGAGCCACCATGCCCGGCCTTGCCCACTTTTTAACTGGGGTATTTTCTTATTATTAAGTTATCAGAATTCTTTGTATATGTTGGATGTAGTCCTTTGTCAAATATGTGTCTGGCAGGTTTTCTTCCAGTCTCTATGGCTTCTCTTTTCTTTCATTTTCTTGTTTTTTATTTTTTTTTATTTTTTGAGTCTTTCTCTGTAGCCCAGGCTGGAGTGCAGTGGAGTGATCTCAGCTTACTGCAACCTCCACCTCCCGGGTTCAAGCGATTCTCCTGCCTCAGCCTTCCGAGTAGCTGGGACTGCAGGTGCACACCAACATGCCCAGCTAATTTTTTTATTTTCAGTAGAGACAGGGTTTCACCATGTTGGCCAGGCTGGTCTCAAACTCCTGACCTCAGGTGATCCGCCTGCCTCAGCCTCCTAAAGTGCTGGGATTACAGGCATGAGCCACCATTCCCGGCCTCTTTTCATTTTCTTAACAGTATCTTTCACAGAGTAGAAGTTTATAATTTTAATGAAGTTGAATTTATCAATTTTTTTTGTTTCATGTATCATGCTTTTGGTATTATATATGAAAACTCATAGCCAAACCCAAGGTCAGCTAGATTTTCTCCTGTATTACCTTCTAGAAGTTTTGCAGTTTACATTTCAGTATATAACCCATTTTGAGTTAATATTTGTGACAGGGATGAGGTCTGTGTCTAGATTCACTTTTTTACATATGGATATTCGTTGTTCCAGCACCATTGCCTTTGTTTCTTTGTCAAGGATCAGTTGACTCTATTTATGTGGATCTATTTCTGGGCTCTTTATTTGGTTTCATTGATTCATTTGTCTGTTTCTTCACCAATACCACACTGTCTTAATTACTATCATTTTATAGTAAGTCTTTTTTTTTTTTTGAGATGGAGTTTTGCTCCTGTTGGCCAGGCTGGAGTGCAATGTCACGATCTCAGCTCACTGCAACCTCTGCCTCCTGGGTTCAAGCGATTCTCCTGCCTCAGCCTCCCAGGTAGCTGGGATTACAGGTGCCCACCACCACACCTGGCAATTTTTGTATTTTTAGTAGAGACGGGGTTTTACCACATTTGCCAGGGTGGTCTTGAACTCCTGACCTCAGGTGATCCACCCACCCGCCTCGGCCTCCCAAAGTGCTGGGATTACAGGTGTGAGCCACCACGCCTAGCCTAGTAAGTCTTAAGGTCAGGTAGTGTCAGTTTTCCACCTTTGTTCTTTTTTAATATTGTGTTGGATATTCTGGATCTTTTGCCTCTCCACATAAACTTTGGAATCAATTTGTCGATATCCATACAGTAATTTGCTGGGATTTCTTTATTGCAATTGCATTGAATCTATAGATCAAGTTGGGAAGAACTGACATCTTAACAATATTCATTCTTCCTATTCATGTGCATGAGATAACTATTTGTTTAGTTCTTGATTTTATCAGAGTTTTATAGTTTATAGTCTTTTCCCAGAGTTTTATATTTCTCCTAATATAGATCTTACACATATTTTGTAAGATTTATACCTAAGTATTTCAATGTTTGTGTTAATATAAATGGCATTGCATTTTTAACTTGAGCTTTCCATTGCTTATTGCTAGTATGTGGGAAAACATTTGACTTCTGTGTATTAACCTTACTTCTTGCAACCTTGCTGCAATCACTTATAAGTTCCAGGAGTTTTTTTGTTCTTTTTTTTTTTAATAGATTCTTTGAGATTTTCTGCATAGACAATCAGTCATCTGCAACCAAGGCAATTTTATTTCTTCCTTTCCAAAATATATATCTTTTATTTCCTTTTCTTGGCTTATTCCATTAGGTAGAACTTCTAGTATGATGTTGAAAGAGAGTAGAGAGAAGGGACATCTTGTCATGTTCCCAGTCTTAGGGGTAAAGCGTGTAGTTTCTCACTGCTAAGTATGGTGGTAGCTGTATGTTTTTTGTAGATGTTCTTAATCAAATTGAAGAAGTTCCCCTCTATTCCTAGTTTACTTAGAGCTTTTATCATGAATGAGCATTGGATTTTGTCAAATGCTTTTTCTGTGTCTACTAATATGATTGTGTGACTTTTCTCCTTTAGCCTGTTGATGTGATAGGTTTATGTTAATTGATTTTCTAATGTTAAACCAGCCTTGCATACCTAAAGTAACTCCTATTTGGTCATGTGGTATAATTTTTCAAATACATCATTGGATTCAATTTGCTAATATTCTTGGAGAGGAAGTTTGTTTGTTTGGTTGGTTGGTTGTTTTTTTTTTTTTTTCTTTGAGACAGGATCTCGCTCTTTTCCCCGGTCTGGAGTGCAGTGGTGCAATCATGGCTCACTGCAGTGAGAGGAAGATCTGAGAATTACCTCCCCTCCTTTCACTTGACTGGCCCATCAAACTCTTTCTTTGCTGCAAAACTCGCTGTTTTTAGTGCATTGGTTTTCTGAACAGCAGGCAAGATGAACCCGTCAGGCTGTTACTTGCTTCCAGCTGTCTCTTCTTCCTCTTCCCTCTCCTTCCCTCTCTCCCACCTCCTCACTCTACACCTTCTCCTCATGCTGCTTTGTTCATACTCTAGGTCTCAACTACCTGAGGCTCCAGCTCAGACTTCCCTTCTGAACCCCAGACCCACCCAGCATCTCAGCCAGCCAGCTGCCCACCCAGCATCTCAAAGTCCACCACCTTGTCTGCAGCGTGGAAAACTGCTCCTCTGTCAGGGCCTGCTGTCTCCCCAGTCACTCAAACCCAAACCGCCTAGGTTTCTCCCCTCTCCTTCTCTGCATAGTTGCCTTCAGTCCCTTCCATTTGGCAGCAATTCCTCTTCCCCCTCCTCCATCTCCACTGCTACAGTTTTGATTTAGGCCCACATGGCTTCCCAGAGACCCCCTCCTAGCTAGGCCCTTTGCCTCCAGCTCTGCAGAAGGCAAAGCTGATCCTGTGTGCACCCTCTGAACATCTCCAGCGCCTCAGGATAAAGTCCAGGCTCCTTAGCTGGGCAGATCAGACCCTTCTTCTGGTGCCTCCCCAAATGTGCCCTGCCCTCTGGCCATTCTGAACCTTTCATAGTTCCCCACACTCATCACATTCTCTGCACATGCTGTTCTGGCAGGAGAGCCCGTTGCCCCCCACTCAGGCACCGTCCCTTCCCCACCCAGGTGAATTTCTTCTGCATTCAGCTTCAAATTGACTGAGATGCCTGTCTCTCCTGCAGCTTCTCTCTCCCCAGACAGCCTCTCAGAGTGCTTAACACCTCTCATTCTCAAACCAGCTGAACGTTAGGCTCACCTGGGAAGCTTTAAAAATACAAAAATGTTAGCTGGGCGTAGTGGTGCATGCCTGTAGTCCCAGCTACTCGGGAGGCTGAGGCAGGAGAATCGCTTGAACCCAGGAGATGGAGGTTGCTGTGAGCCGAGATCGTGCCATTGCACTCCAGCCTGGGCAACGAGAGTGAAACTCCATCTCAAAAAAATAAAAATAAAAATAGACACCCTGGCCACAGCCCAGATAATTAATTTCAAATCTCCACTGGCCTCATGAATAGCACAGATTAGATACTAATACTCTGGGGGCCGGTCTGGACCACAGGTGTCCTCTCAGTGCAGGCATTACTGTCTATCCCAGAGGCTCCGTTGGGCCAAGAGCACCACTTTTCATACAGTGATAATGATAATTATTTCCATGCATTCTTCCACTTAATCTCACAAACTCCCTGTGAAGTTCGTAAGTATCAGAGTCCCATTTTACAAATGGGAAACGAAAGCAAAGAGGTTAAGTAATTTGCCTGGGGCACAGTGTACATTCAATGAGTACCAGTTCCTCAGTGACTTCAAGTGCAAATTGGGAGTAGAAAAGGAGAAAAGCTTTACAAGTTACTGTGTTCATTCATTCAGTGACAATTCTACAAATGACAGTTGAAGGCCTGTTCTGGGCAAGATGTTGAGATTTAGCAAATGAATAAGGTATTAGGACCCCTGCCCTTAAGAGGTCTCTTTGTAAAGGGAAGTAATGTAAATAAAATAATAGATAATTATAATACACTGAGGTTAAGTTTAGTGATCAAGGGGTGCCCTAGGGATTCTGGGAGTCCACAGAGTGCCCTGAGGGGAATCCTAGAGGCTAACTGGGAGTTAGTGGGAAGGTAAAGGGCTGGGATGGGGAGGCCTGGGAGGAAGGCCTCCCAGGTAGAGGAGTGGCTGAAGCCAGCCTCTGAGATGCCACTGGGCTTAATCCACAGCAGGAGCCACAAACCCAAAACATCTGCTGTGGCTGATGGGAAATAAAAGTGAATCCAGCAGGTTTAAGAGAAAGAACAACATTTATGTGCAGTGATAATGGGCAGCTGATGTGCCAGCTGCAGCATCTGGAGGTGGCAGGGACAGTGGTTTAATGGAAAGAACCTATTATGCACCAAAGGAACTCTCTGCATAGCAGCTGCTGTCCGTGTGGGACGATGGGCCCAGCATTGCCAGATCTGTAAACTTTTATAAAAGAAGCTGGTGTAAACTAAACATAAAATTCAGAGGCCCCCCATCCATCTGAATGGACTTCCTTCTCAGCCAGGGCACTCCAAAGTTAACCTGAAAGACCAGTTCAGGCCTTGATGGGAAGCAAGGGTTGGACACGCCTCATTATACCCTCCTCCCTTTTGGAATTCAGGAAAAGTTGACCAACATTTAACATCAACACAGACCTTAAGTCTGATAAGAAACATTTACAATCTATTCTCTCTGAAGCCTGCTACCTGGAGGCTTCATTTGCATGATCAAAACTTTTATCTCTTTTATTCTAACCCAGATATTCCTTTCTATTTATAGTAACTCTTTTAACCAATTACCAATCAGAAAAATTTTAAATCTACTTATCACCTGGAAGCTCCCCCCTCCCAACCTTGGAGTTGTCCTGCTTTTCTGGACCAAATCGGTATATATCTTAAATGTATTTGATTGATGTCTCAGGTCTGCCTGAAATGTATAAAACCAAGCTGTGCCCTGACCACCTTGGGCACGTGGTCTCAGGATCTCCTGAGGGCTGTGTCACAGGCCATGATCACTCACATTTGGCTCAGAATAAATCTCTTCAGACTGGGTGCAGTGGCTCACACCTGTGATCCCAGCACTTTGGGAGGCTGAGGTGGGTGGATCACTTGAGATCAGGAGTTCAAGACCAGCCTGGCCAACATGGTGAAACCATGTCTCTACAAAAACATACAAAAATTATCTGGGTGTGGTGGTGCATGCCTGTAGTCCCAGCAACTCAGAAGGCTGAGGCAGGAGAATTGCTTGAGCCCAGGAGGCAGAGGTTGCAGTGAGCCAAGATTGTGCCACTGCGCTCCAGCCTGGGTGACAGAGCGAGACTTCATCTAAAAAAAAAAAAAAAAAAAAGTACATCTCTTCAAATATTTTACAGAGTTTGACTGTTTTTGTTGACACTGGAAATCTGATATTGAAACTACAATTCTTTGAATGTTGGCAACAAATTCAAATCCTAACATAGTGTTCTGTAAGAGCCAAACAAAAATGTCTGTGGGATGTGTTAAACTAACTGTAGCCTAAAGCTGCCTTCTTATATATTCTAAGTTCAGCCTAAAGGTTTCTCTGTACGTAGTAAACTGTAACCTGACTAGGAATTTAAACAGACTGCAATCTACTCTTGTACCAGTCACAGAGTTTCAGCCAATCACAGGCAGCCAGCTATTCAAATTGTATTCAAAAAAGGCAAACAGCCAGCTGTAATCAGTCTAGCTGTTTCTGTACCTCACTTGTGCTTTCTGTTCATCACTTTCCTTTTTCTGTTCATAAATCTTTTTCGACTAGGTGGCAGCCCTGGAGTCACTCTGAATCTGTTCTGGTTCTGGGGGCTGCTAGATTTGTGAATCATTCTTTGCTCAGTTGAATTCTGTTAAATTTGATTTGTTTAAAGTTTTTCTTTTTTTATTTTGGAGACAGGGTCTGACTGTCACCCAGGTTAGAGTGCAGTGGCGCGATCACAGCTCATTGTAGTCTCAACCTCCTGGGCTCAAGCTGTGCTTCCACCTTGGCCTTCCAAAGTGCTGGGATTACAGGTGTGAGCCATCATGCCTGGCCTAACGTTTATCTTTTAACAAAGGATATAGCCTTTGGGCCAGCTATTATACTCACATGTATTGTTTATTACAATGAAAGAATACGGGTCAAAATCAGCAAAGAGACACATAGGGCAGAGTCCAGGAGACACCAGGTGCAAGCTTCCAGTTGTCTTCTCCCAGTGGAGTCATGTTGACAGTACTTACTTCTCCCAGAAACAATTCGTGGCAACTTACATGGAGTACTGCCAGCCAGGGAAGCTCCCCTGAGTCTTGGTGTCCAGGGTTTTTATTAGGAGATGGTTACGTAGGTACAGTTGACCTTAGTCACTCGATCTCCAGCCCCCTCCAGCCTACCCTGCACCTGGCAATGAATCACATTGTTAATTAACATGGACTGGAATGGCCCAAGGTCCCCAGGTGAAGAAAAACACTCTCATCAGGAAGGATGGTCCAAGGGCTCAGAGATTCTCTCTTAGGAGCGGGTCAAAGGCCAAACATGTTTTTTGGAATGTGCGGGTGTGCACAATACAGGTTTTCAGAGTTAATTCTTTATAGTTCCTCTTACTGGGCAGAGCTGCCTGGTAAGGAATTTCAACATAACACCAGCTTCTGCTTTTGTTTGACCTTTGCCAAACCCTGGGCTCAGCCCACAGCACATTAAAACCAGCTGGGCAGCAGTTAAACCATCCCATGCTTGGTCTCCACTCCAGACTAATTTAAATCAGATTCTCTAGGGGTGGGCCTGGTTATCAGCATTTTTAGATTGTATCCTGGGGATTTGGTATTGAAGCAAGTTTAAGAGTAACTGGGTACAGGCTCTGGGACCACCCCTGTGTGTGAGATGGAGATAAGTATATTAAGAAGGTACAGATAGAGCAGTTGAAGCTGTTTGGGTAGGTAGAGTATTCCTCCTGGCGGGTCAGAAAAGGACCATGGTATTCATGCTGGGTGTAGGAGGACCAGCAAGATTTAAGCCTTGGGGGGAGAAGGAGGTATAGGAACAGAGGAGCAAGTCAACACAACTAGCTAGAAGTTAGCATTATGAAAGGGAAAACAGGCTAGAAGGACACAGAGGCCAAATCCAAAGCGCTTAATGCCATTGGACTTGGCTTTGTGGCTAAGGGGCATCTGCTGAAGCTTTTTGCACAGGAGTCTGTCAGGCTCAGAGCTGTGGTTTAGAGAAACTTGTCCCTCAGCAAATGTTATTCATTTGTTCAGCAAGTATTCATTCCATGCCTGCCATATACCAGGCCCTGCTACAGGCACTGAGGATACAGCAATGAACAACACAGTGCCTGCCATTGTGAAGCTGGTGGGGAGGGAGAGAGGCAGTCAACAAGTAAACAAATCAAAATATAATGTGTCAGATGACTCTCAGTGCCATGGAGGAAGACAAAACAGGGCAAGGGCATGGGGAGCGAGGGCAGGGATGCCTTCTACAATAGGATATGAGGAGACCTCTGTGATAAGGTGACATTTGAGAGGAAGTAGGTAAGGTAGATGTCTGGGGGAAGGACATTCCTGGAGAGGTAACAGCAAGTGCAGATACCCCAAGGTGGTTATGAGCCTGGTATCAGTGGGAATGGAGACATGGGGGCAGATTTTAGGACATTTATGGAAAATAAACAAGATTTATGATTAATTGGATGATAGGTAGATGATGTGGCTTGAGGTTGGTTTAAGGCAGGGATGCTTACCACTGGCTACACTTTAAAATCGTGAGGGGAGCATTTAATAATTCCAGTGTCTGTGCTCTATTATTTCATTTATGTGAAGTTCAAACAGACAAAGTATCAAGAATGTACAAGAAACTGATCATTCAGTAACAGTGAGTGATTGTATTGTGACTGTAAATTGTATTGTCTAATACAATTTAAAAATGGGCAAAAAATGTGAATAGACACATCACAAAAGAAGATATACACATGGTCAACAAGCACATGAAAAGATGCTCAACATAACTAGTCAACAGAGAAATACAAATTAAAAACACATTGAGATACCATTTTATTTTTATTTTATTTTAATTAATTAATTTATTTATATTTTATTTATTTATTTATTTTGAGACAGAGTCTTGCTCTGTCACCCAGGTTGGAATGCAATGGCGCAATCTTGGCTCACTGCAACCTCGGCCAGGCTGGAGTGCCATGGCGCAATCTTGGCTCACTGCAACCTCGCCCAGGCTGGAGTGCCATGGCGCAATCTTGGCTCACTGCAACCTCGCCCAGGCTGGAGTGCAATGGCTCAATCTTGACTCACTGCAACCTCTGCCTCCCAGGTTCAAGTGATTCTCCTGCCTTAGCCTCCTGAGTAACTGGGATTACAGGCCTGTGTCACCACACCCAGCTAATTTTTGTATTTTTAGTAGAGATGGGGTTTCTCCATTTTGGCCAGACTTGTCTCAAACTTCTGAACTCCGGTGATCCACCCACCTCAGCCTCCCAAAGTGTTGGGATTACAGGCATGAGCCACTGTGCCCTGCCTATTTATTTATTTATTTATTTATTTATTTATTTATTTATTTAGAGACAAGAATTTTGCTCTTGTTGCCCAGGCTGGAGTGCAATGGCATGATCTCAGCTCACTGCAACCTCTGCCTCCTGGGTTCAAGCAATTCTCCTGACTCAACCTCCCGAGTAGCAGGGATTACAGGCACATGTCACCACGCCTGGCTAATTTTGTATTTTTAGTAGAGATGGGGTTTCATCATGTTGGTCAGGCTAGTCTCGAATTCCTGACCTCAGTTTATCCACCCACCTCGGCCTCCTAGAGGGATGGGATTACAGGGATGAGCCACCATGCCCGGCTGAGATACCATTTTACATACTAATGAGAAAGTCTAAAATTTAGACTGACTAGCCTAAATGCTGACGAGGATGGCGCAACTGGGACTCCCATTGCTAGTAAGAATGTAAAATGGTACAACCACTCTGGCAAACAGTTTAGCAGTTTCTTATGAAGTTAAACATAAATTACCATATAAGCCAGAATTTTCACTTCTATGTATTTACCCAAGAGAAATAAAAACATACATTCACACAAATACCTTCTTATACATGAATGTTCATAACGGCTTTATTCATAATAGCCAAAACTGGAAACAGCTCAGATGTCCAATAACAAGTGAATGTATAATCAAATTCTTGTTTATTTAAACAAGGTAATATTACTCAGTAATAAAAACGAATGAGCTTATAATGTGTGCAATGACATTGATGAATCTCAAAAAGGTAGTGCTGAGCAAAAAAGAAGCCAGACACAAAAGGCTAACGACTGTATGATTCTAGTTATATGAAATTCCAGAAAAGGCAAAACTGTAGTGAACAAAAGCAGACCAGAGTTTGCCTGGGATTGGGATTGGGATTGGCTGGAAATTGACTGCAAAAGGGCACAAAGGAGGATTTTGGGGTGATGAAAATGTTCTTTCACGATGGTGGAGGTGGTTTACACAAGTGAATATATTTGTCAAAACTCATTTGTACACATAAAATTTGTGTTTTTTTTTTTTTTGGAGACAGGGTCTCACTGTTACTCACAATGGAATATAGTGGCACAATCATGGCTCACTGCAGCCTCCACTTCCTGGGCTCAAGCGATCTTGCCACCTCAGCCTCCTAAGTAGCTGGGACTACAGGCATGCACCACCACAACCAATTTTTTGTAGAGATGGGGTTTTGCCATGTTATACAGGCTGGTCTCAAACTCCTGGTCTCAAGCAGTCTACTCACCTTGGCCTCCCAAAGTGCTGTGATTGCAAGGCATGAGCCACTGCACCCAACCTGGTGGATTTTATTGTACATAAATTATTCTTTGATAGACTGACTAAAAAGAAACCAGACAAAATTAATCTTAGGTGGTAGCGGTCAGAATAATGGTTACCTTGGGGGATGATTCACTGGAAGGGGCACAAAGTAGCCTGCTCAGGGACCGTAAGTGCCCTGTACCTTGATCTGGGTGGTCACCACAGAGGTATATGTCTATGGAAAGATTCACTGAGCCGTATGGTCAGGATTTATGTACTTTATTGCATGTGAATTATACCTGAATTTAAAAAGAAAAAGAAGAAATGATGGCCAAGCCCTGTTCCTAGAAACTGGGATTTAGCTGGTCTGGAAATGGTCCCAGGCATTGTTATTTAGGAGTTCCTAGGGGATTTCAATGTTCAACCAGAGTTGAGAACCATTGATTTAAGGGACAGGCAAGAGTCAAGTGTTGAGTCTGAGTGATGGAGACTATTCTGATGCCATGTGCAATCTGGTGGCATGTTCAGGAACTGGGGAGGATGCTCAGTTCAACCTTGGGTTTCTAGTGATCTGAGGTGAGGGTGGAGCTTCCAAGCTTCTGCGTGGACATACATGCAACGCGAAGCAGTAAACTCCAAGGCTGGGGCTGCAGACAGGGCGGACTGTGTGCTGAGCGCTCGGTGTGGAGTTTGCTTCAGCTGAGGCTTCATTTCTGATGCCTAGGGCAGGATGGCAGCAGATGAAAGCTCACAGAACACTTTGCGGCTCCAGTTCAAGGCAATGCAGGAGATGCAGCACAAACGGTTACAGAAGCAGATGGAGAAAAAGAGGGAAAAAGAACTGAGCCTCAAAAGCAGAGCTGACGACCAAGAGGAGCCCTTGGAGGTTTCAGATGGCCTCAGCCTTCTCCACGCAGGGGAGCCAAACTCGAAAAATAGCTTTGAGAAGAGGTAAATGCAAGTTTGAAATCTCTCAGGGGTGTGTGTGTGTGTGTGTGTGTGTGTGTGTGTGTACCACCGGAGCTATAGCAAAACTTGTAAAATGCAGCTAAAGTGATAGAAGGAAGCTTAGAGCCTTAATTATAGCTGCATTTAACAAGTTTTGATACAGCTTCTGTGGTCAATCCATTCTAAATGCTTTATAATACATATTATGATTTCTTCTTAACCCATAAATAATTTAGGAGTATAGGGTGTTTTTCTAGTTCCAAGCATATGATGAGTTTTGGGTTTTCTTGTTTTATTTCTATTTTTTATTATTGATTTCTAAAACAGTCACTTGCCATTAGAGAAAATAGTCTGTATAATGTTATTATTTAGAATTTGCTAAGATTCCCTTTATAACCTATAATACTTTTTTTTAAGAGACAGAGTCTTGTACTGTCACCCGGGCTGGAATGCAGGATGATAGCTCACTGCAGCCTCAAGCTCCTGGGTTCAAGCAATCCTTCCACCTCAGCTTCTAGAGTCACTGGGATTACACGTGTACACCACCATGCCTGGCTAATTTTGTTTTCTTTTATTTTTAGAGACAGGGTCTTTCTTTGTTGCCTAGGCTAGTCACAAACTCCTGCCTTGGCTTCCCAAAGTGCTGGGATTAGAGGCATGAGCCACCACACCCAGCCCTGTAATATATTTTTATGCATGTTCCATGGATGCTTAAAAGAAATATGAATTATGAGTGGGTTTTTTTATAACTCCCTATTTAAGCCAGCTAATGAACGACATTGAAATCTTTCTTCTTTCACGTCAGTGTGTCTGCATCTGCGTGTCCATCTGTCCACCTAGGCAGTGGAGGCCTGACCCCTGCCCACCAGGGCCTTTGCCTTGGAGGAGCATTAATTCTGCCTTTGCCTTGTAGGGTGCTTGAAGATGAGATTGAACACCTTCGAAATGAGCTCAGGGAAACGGTGGACGAGAACGGGCGATTGTATAAGCTGCTGAAGGAAAGGGACTTTGAAATCAAACACCTCAAAAAGAAAATAGAAGAGGACAGATTTGCCTTCACAGGTAGCTCCACCATTGTTGTGATAGTCCTTGCCCTGCAGTCCAGGGACTTCAGATAGGGCAGACAGCAGGTTCCAGAGAGCAGATTCCCAAGAGAGTGCCAAGGGTCAGTTGTGATCAAGCTTGTCCAGAGGAGTCCTGGAAGTGAGGGAGAGGGTAGAGGAAAAGAGCAGCCCCAGGGAGGCCAGCCCACCAGAAAATGGGAGCACAGGGAGCAATGAGGGATTTAAAAATGGGCCAGAAGGGCCAGCAGGCAAGCATCATAGGCAATGTTGGTGATCCAGCTGGGACTCATGACAAGGGTTTGCCATCATGCTCGCAGCATGTAAAGGGGCTGGCAGGATCCATTTCTCCTTGGTGCACTGGCTCACATGTTATGTTGTGAACATAAAAAAGGCCCAGCAGCCTGCAGTGAGCTATGATCACCCCCACTGCACTGAACCCTGGGCAACAGAGATCCTGTCTTGAAAAAAAAAAAAGCCCCAGTAGAGCCAGGTATGAACTCTACAGCACCTGCTGTTGCTGCTCCAGAAAGGTAGATGAGTCACCTGTTCTAGGAGGATATCATGGGACCCAACCACCAACAAGGTGTGGGCTGGGTCTTGGCCCTGTAAGTCTGGGCTAGACCTTGGCTGTGTTGGTGGAGACCTCATGGTGGCCCCATGAGTCTGGTGAGGACCTTGGCTTTGCAGGTCTGGGAATGACCTTTGATCATGGTTGTGAGCTGGACATTGGCTCTGTGGTTATGAGTTTGACTTTTGCCCTGCTGATGTAGTGAGGACTTTGGACTTGATTGTCCTGTGTTATGTATATACCCATTGAGCAATTCGCAGATGGCTAATAAATAAGAAAGTATTATAGATGTCACCAATCACGGAGAGCAACAGGGCTGACTCAGCATCTACCAGACTATTGTCCTTGCCTTTGAGAGTAAATGCGTTTGAGGATAGGTACGTTCATAGGACCAAAGCTCTGGTCAGTCAATGCTGAATTACAAAGCAAGGGGAATTTGGTATCCTAAAGACTCATGGTAGCCTAATGCACCTCCCTCCATTCTTTGGCCTTTTCTGTCTGAAACAAAAAACACAAAGCCTGGCTAAGGAAGCCTACACTCAGCCTGGTTACAGATTCAGCTGTGGAAGGGGCCACTTGCACTTTTGCAAGGCTGTAGAGAAGCTGATGGGCTCCAGGGGGAGCAGGAGATACATCTCCACCCAGCAGACCTGGGAAGCAGATCTGGGGTTACTCCCTCTTCCCCAGCCCCTCTCATTGTTAACTGTCTCTTGCAAGCTTTGCCAAAGCCCAGACTTGGTTGTGGCCTCATCTGACTGCCAGCCCTAAGCGTCCCTGAAAACCACTTAAATCCAGTCTTCACTCTGAAGTCACCATTTCTGATTTTCATTCTCACGTTTTGGAGAGAAAATCTGACAAGCCCATTTATGTTTTTAATTTTTTTCTTTTTGAGACAGAGTCTTGCTCTGTTGCCCAGATTAGAGTGCAGTGGCACGATCTTGGCTCACCACAACCTCCACTTCCTGGGTTCAAGTGATTCTCCTGCCTCAGCCTCCTGAGTAGCTGGGATTACAGGTGTGTGCCACCACACCCAGCTAATTTTTGTATTTTTAGTAGAGACAGGGTTTCACCATGTTGGCTAGTCTGGTCTCGAACTGCTGACCTTGTGATCTGCCCGCCTCGGACTCCCAAAGTCCTGGGATTACAGGTGTGAGCCACCGCGACTGGCCTCCATTTATGTTTTTAAACTGAGCTGCAAGTGACAGGCTACTGAGAGTTGATAGATCGGTTTCTTTTGGCTGGATTTTTAGTGATTCCTTTGGGTTTTGTTTGCTTACTATATTTTTCGTACAGTTTTTTAGTGATCTAGTGATTACAAAATATTTATTACCTTTTCATAGTCTACGTAGAACTAATATTTTACCACTTCAAATGGAATGTAGAAACTTTACCACCATTCAGGTCCCTTTACCTCTCCCTTTCTATTGCAGTTTTTATATGTATTATATCTATATATATTGAAAATCCCATCAGTCAATGTTATACTTTTTGCTCAACTATTATATGTATTTTAAAGAACCCAAAGGGAAAACTATTCTATTTAGCCAGATAGTTAGCATTTCTGTGTTTGCCCATCCACTGCCGCCCCCATTTATCAAGGGGTTGCAGCTTCAACAGTAGAGCTTGCCTGGAGACAGGGTTGGGAAAGAATAGGAAAAAAAAATACCCAGAGGATTTTTTCCATTCTGTCTGAGCCCCACTTCCTGCTCTTTGGACTAGAAAGACCTTCTCTTGAACCTCTTTCTGATAGCCAGTTCCAGAATTTGTGCTGATTTGAGTCCTGGGAGGAAACGTACCACTGGACCATTTGTAATTCTAGGTCCGGTTTCCTTCCCCAATATGCTTGCTACCATTTATGTCCGGAACCCTCAGGTAGCTGCTTCACACATCCTATCCAGGGCTTTTGGTTGTATTCAGCAAAAGAGACAGGGTAGAGTGCGCTTACTCCATCTTAACCAGAACCAGACCTCTGCTGAAACTGCATTTCTTTAACTGCTAGAGTTCATGATTTTCACAGTGATCCTTTATTATCACCACCCCCGTTACCCTCCTGACACACAACCTATTAAAGGAGCCAGGGAGCAAAGTGTGCCATCTTGGTGCTGAATGGGGCCTGTCTCCCTCTAGATACTCCAGGGCTCCAGGTCTGCTCTGAGCCTTTTCTCTTGGTGTGTCCTTGTCTTCTTCAGCAGACATGAGATTCCAAGGGCAGCTACTCCTAGTTGCCCCACTCACTGCCTCGCCCAGGCTGGCAGGAGCAAGCCTGGGCTGAGGTGATTTGAAAGCCATAAAGTGCCTGTTTGCTTTCCACCAGTTGTCACCCTTCTTCTTGTTCTGAGGCATATGATGGTCATGTTAAAAAGCAGGACTAAAAAATAGGACTGCCAGTTACTCCCTGCTATGGTGTCAGAAGTGTTCAGGAAACTTGCAGACCATCTGACCACCTCTGCCATTGCACAGATAGGGGAGCTGCACTCCAGAGAGGGCAAGGGACTGTCAGGGCTACCCACCTAGTCGATGACGATGCTGGACTAGCTCCCGGTGCCTGCCTTCCACACAGCTCCCATACCATACAACTTCCCCATTCACATCCTCCAGCCACCTTCCACAGCCTCCTTCCTTTGCCCACTGCAAGTAGCCTTCCAGCTACTCTGGAGTCCTTGATGGTCCTCAGATACTCTAAGCACATTCCACCTCCAGACCTCTGTACTTGCCATTTCCTCTGCTTAGAATGTTCTTCCTAGGTGAGAGCACTCTTCATGGTTTGAGCCCTCAGTTCATTCACTCAGGTCTCTCTTCACACATCACCTCCTCAGAGAGCCTTTCCTGGCCACTCCATCTAAAATAGCATCATCTCCCTCGTTCTTACCCCCTTGCCCAGCTCCAGTGTATTTCCTAGCACTTATTCCTGCTACATATTAGAATACATATTTATTTCTTTGATGTTTTAAATTATCTGTCTTCCCTACTTGAATGTAAACCCCATAAGTCTTTTTTATCCACCACTGAATCCCTAACACCAAGAGGACCCAGCACTTGGTAGAAAATAAATATTTGCTAAATGAATGTATGCCTTTCTATTGGGTAGGCGTTACCACCAAATTCTAAGAAACAACCACATAATCTCAGCAGCAGTAAGCATTTATTTAGCTTAAACATCTGGGGGTTGGTTGGGGATTGGCCGATCTAGGCCAGGCTTGGCTAGATTGGTTCCACTTTGTTCAACATGTCTCTCTTCTATTCTTGAGACCAGCCAGCCAGGTATGTTCTTCCTGTGGAGAGGGCATAAGCAAACACAGCGAATTTAACTGCACGAGTGCTTTTCAAGCCTCTACCTTATCTGCACCTTATCTGTTAACATGCTATTGGCCAAAGCAAGCCAAATGGTTGAGCCCAGAGTCATAGAAGGCCCAAGGGGACTACATCCTGCTCATTAGAGGGCACAGCAAAATTACTGGGATATGGATGTAATCCTATCACTGAGGATTACATGAAGCATCGGAGTGATAAACCTGAGTCTCACAGAATTAAAACTCTGCTTTCTGTTTTTATCATTTTCCTAGAACATACTGAACCTCTGAGTGGCTGCATTTCCACTCATTGGAGTTGGGTCCCAGGGCTGCTAGGTATATGGTGACCCTCCTAAGTTAGTGCCCCTTTATGAGCATTCATGCCAAGCAGCTTTAGCTTTTAAGACCCTGGTGCTGTTAGTGGTGGAGCATGAGTTTGATGTGTATGCCTGTGTTTTTAATTGACCTCACCATTCCTTTCATTTTAGGGACAGCCGGTGTAGCCGGAGACGTGGTCGCCACCAAAATTGTGGAGCTATCAAAAAAGAACCGGCTGTTGATGGCAGAATCAGAGGGTGCAAAAACCAGGGTGAAGCAGCTGACCAATCGCATCCAGGAGCTGGAGCGGGAAGTGAGGGGCCTTGGTCATTCTCCCTCTGGAGGGGACTCCTAGCATGGGCAAGAGGGAACCTCCCTAGCTTCTCCATATGTAGCCGGGAGAGCTGAAGTTGGAAGGTTAAGAGGCTTTCTCAAGTCACGCAGTATATGGTGGTGCTGCATTTTAAATCCAATTCTGTTGCCCTCCAACAGGCTTCTTGGTGTCTCTGGCCTCATCTGTTCATCTGTAACCTGAAATCCATCATTCTTTTTTGCCCCGCCTCCTAGACTATTGTTGGAACTTCAGGAGACAGATTATAAGTGTACCATTATTATTTATTAAGCTGTTAGTAAACCCTTGGGCTACTTTTATAGTACGATTAGGGAATGGGTCAGACAATCAATTAAACCCTCTCCATTCCAGAGCGGTTTCTAAAGGAGAATGCTGCCATTAATGATCCTAAAGTGAGCTAAAAGGACACACCACCAAGATAGGTAACCACACACACAATGGCACCAGAGTGCTTTCCTTGGGCTGCACAATCGCTGAGCAGAGTATTAAGCACGAGGTTTGCTTTTTCAGCTGCAGACAGCCCTGACCAGGCTGTCAGCCAAGGGGGCCACCGACGCAGGAGCCAAGCCACCGAGGGCCCAGATGGGAGACAGAGCATTGGTATGAATTCTCTTCTGTGCTGGGAAGTCTGTGAGGCAGCCATGGGCCTGGGCCTCCCCTCCTCCACAGGTGTGTAGGTACCTCTACCCGAGGTCCACCCCCAACCCCCAACCCCGCTGCCGAGCCAGGTGCCCATTGTCTACCATTGCTGCATCCTCAGAGCAGACATCAGAGAACAGTACCGAGTGTATGGCCTGAGGCCAAGAATGTCGTGTCGGAAGCTATGGAGGGTGTAGCTCCAACTCTGTCTCCAGAAAGGAAGGCTGGGAGGAGCCTGAGAACCCTGGAACACTAGAGCCTGAGGATCAAGAGGGAAGGCCTGGTCCAACTGACCTCCCACTGTCAGCCCAGCCATCTCCTGTACAGCATCCTCACTGGGGACACATCCAGACTCCACCTTACTCCAGGGACAGGGAGCTCACTACTGCCCAGTGGAATCCTGTTCTTTATGGGGCAGTTCATATTATGAACACTTTCCCTTTCGTGGGGCTCCAAATCTACAGAGTAAAAGTGGCTATTGGAAATGGGGACTTATTCCCCAGAGCCCATTTTACTAAACCAGTGACAGTTCATGAAACTCAAGAGGTGGGAATTGCAGCTCCATGAAAGGAAGTCAGTCTGACCTAGTGGGTTGGTTTATCCCCAAATCAGATAGTAAATATCATCAGAGTCTAACATTCCAGGAGGCTTCACCAAGGGTTTTCTTGGGAAGCCAGGCCAGTTGGTGAGAGAGGCAGCCAAGCCCCGGGACTCCCAATTTGGTGCTTGTTTTCTAGCCCCATCTTCCCTGCTGCCTGCACCTCAGGATCAGACTGCCCTGTGCCTTCCTTGAGGATAATTCAGTCCTCGCTGTGCAGTGATGGGCCCCTCAGGTTCCGGCGGGGATGGGCCCTCAGGTTCCGAGGTGAATGTGCCTCCTCAAGAGTAGTCTTGTGTAAACCTGTCTCATTGCTGGGGAAGTAGAAGAGGGGCTCTGCCCTCTACAGGGGCTGAGTATTCTTCAGGGCCTTTCCTGGCTTCAGGGGACACTGCTAAGCTGCCCCTGGTTTATTCCACGCATTGAGCACCTCCACATTCCGAACTAGGGCTGCCCTGGATAGGAAACTGCTTGTTCAGCCTGATGGGATTTTCTAAGCCCTGTGGCACAGAGAATCAAAAATAGAGCCTTGACCGGGTGAGGTGGCTCATGCCCGTAATCCCAGCACTTTGGGAGGCTGAGGCTGATGGATCACTTGAGGCCAGGAGTTCGAGACCAGCCTGGCCAACATGGTGAAACACCATCTCTAGTAAAAATACAACAATTAGCCAGGCATGGTGGCGAACGCCTGTAATCCCAGCTACTCAGGAGGCTGAGGCATGAGAATCGCTTGAACCTGGGAGGCAGAGGTTGCAGTGAGCTGAGATAGCGCCACTGCACTCCAGCCTGGGTGACAGAGTGAGACTGTGTCTCAAAACAAACAAACAAACAACTACAACAACCACCAAAAAAACAGAGGCTCTGTCTATGGAGAATCCCAGAGGAGGAATGAGAAGTCATTCGAAGGCAGGATGTGGACAGGGCCTTCAGAGATGGCCCCGGTGCTCTAAGCTCACAGGGGAGTCCACCCTCCATTAAGGTTGCAGCTGGAAGGTGGGACGGAGGAGGGCGTCCCTGAGCTGGCCTTACTGGAGAAGGAAGATGGGGAAGGTGAACTGAGTGTCAGCTGGATAACATTTGACTGCAGCCCAGAGCTCACACGGGAGAAAAGGGGAACGAAAGCCAAAAAAGCTGGGGTGAAGTCACCCATAGAGGGAGCCCTTGAATGGCAGCTGGAGCAGGAGTTTTGACTTTATTCTGTGGCCACAGGGAGCCTGGGAGGTTCCAGGTTCTGAGAGAAGAGTGTGTGATGGGCCGCAGGTCTCAATTCATCAGCACCACGTGTTCTCCCTGGCATCTCCTGATCAGAGCGAGAGCAAAAGCAATGTTTCCCCTCATAGGCTGCTCAGGGCGGCCCAAGCCCGAGCCACACTCCAGAGGCCTGCAGGCTCAATCCACATTCCAACCCTAGGCCTCCAAAGCACATTCCAGAGTGGAGCTGAACACCCTTCCCTCTGCTTGGGGCTTCAGGAGGCCGTGATGTGAGTAGCGTTGGCATCATCTGCTCCCCATGTACTGCGCTTTAGTTATTTTCTCAAAGAAAACAGCCTCGGGTAGGGGAGGGAGCGTACCCATACCCAGGTCCCCCACAAAGCCTGTGGAATTTCACTCTGGGAAGAAAGAACTCTGAAATGGCTTAGAGGTAGGATTAGCTCAACTGCCTAAGCTAGGAGGACGGGGCCTGATCCAGCCCTCTCCAGAACACCATCTAGCCCTCAGCCCACTTGTCAGCTGCCCACTCAAGCCAGGCTAGGCCTGCCAGCATTGCCCTCCATCAGGACCTGCCCCAGACAGCACCCTTGACATGCGTTGTCCTAGCAACCCTCTCAGGTTCCCTGGAGATTGGCATTACATATCCCCATTTTACAGATGAGAAAATGAGGCTTGGACAGGGCATCACTGCCCAGGTTCTAGAGCCAGATCCAATCTGTATGCTTTTTCCATGCTCTGAGCAGATCAAAGAGATGCTGCAGGGTCACTGCAGCCATATGGAAGCACATGTACTCCCACAGCTCTCAGCACCCCCACTGTCAGGGCCACTGGGGCTCATGGCGCTAGAGATCTGACAGGCAGGGCGGGGCGTGGCAGGGGGTGGAGGGGTGTTGCTTCCCAACCCAGGGCAGATTCAAAGCCACACATTCAACAGGAGAAGAGGCAGGCACCCAACAGAGTATGCAGGGATGGCAGGCGGCCAGACAGGAGGAAGAACACAGAAGAAAATATACTTTAAAAAAAAGGATGGCCGGGCACGGTGGCTCACATCTGTAATCCCAGCACTTTGGGAGGCCAAGGCAGGTGGATCACCTGAGGTCTGGAGTTCAAGACCAGCCTGGCTAACATGGTGAAACCCCATCTCTACTAAAAAATATACAAAAATTAGCCAGGCATGGTGGTGGGCACCTGTAATCCCAGCTACTCGGGAGGCTGAGGCAGGAGAATCGCTTCAACCCGGGGGGGCGGAGGTTGCAGTGAGCTGAGATTATGTTTCATATAAGTTCCGAGTTGGCACATTCTGTTCACGTTGGCTGTTCTCTTTAGCCTGATGGTGGTGCTCTGAGGAAGCGGAGCAGGAAAGTATTTGTATACTCATTCCATAGATGAGGACACTGGATGAGGCCAGAGTTTCTGGACCAGGTGTTCATGTCTAGTTTCTTTGGCCAGTGGTTTTCAGCTGGGCTGCCCAGAGCCTCTGGGGTCCATGGAACTTCCCGGACCCAGTATACTTGGATCTGTCTTTCACACTAGCATTCAGAGGAGATTTTGTTTGTGCCTGCTAGAGAAAGGTCAGAAAGCCACTGTAGTACCAGCCCTGCTTCCTGAAGTTCAGCTGCTTTGCCCTGTTGGGGCAGCAGCAGAGGGCCTCAGCGTCATTGCCTGATGGGATGCTCAGCCTGACAACCAACGTTCCTGTGGCCACAATGCCCAGCATTAACAGCAGCTTAAATTGGAAGAGTCAGCCAGGGCAGGGGAAGGACAAGTATTCTTTCTCATCCCACCTGTGTCACCCCAACCAGCTGTATGCCTGAAGGCAAATTACCTCCCCTCTCTGGGCCTTATTTTCATCATTATGGAAGGGGTTTAAATGGGCTGACCTTGAAGGTCCCTTTGTCAAATATCTATGAGTCACAGGAGTGTCTATTGAAGACAGAGAAGTAGTCAGCCCATTTAAGAAAAATTTCCATCCAGATAGTTTAAATAAAACATTGGGTTAAAAAAAAAAAAGACATTGCTAAGAGTTTCAGCAGGCAGTTTTCATGGTTGCTGTAGTTCTTCAAGCCACAGAGATGAGCATTTGGAAATTAAAATGGGTCCTTATTTCTATTCAGTGGTCACTGCTAGGAAAGAGAGCCCAAGGCCCCTCAGCTGTCAAAAGACCAAGGCCCAAGCTGACGATTCTGGGAGAGGCAGATCCTGAATTAGGATGCCATGGCTCTCCTGCCACGCTGGGCTTGCCTTCGGGGAATAACGTGGTTTCCTCTTTATTCTGAGTGAAGATGGATTAGCTGTGATGCCAGTCTCTGAGCACAGCAGTGGGTCCACACCCAGGAAGTGTCTGGGAGGCGTGGAGCCTGCCGCTTCCTCCAGATGCTTCACCTCTAGGGTAAGGCATACACCCACATGTGTGTGTGCAACACTCTGCAAAAAGCTCAGTCCCAAAGTTAAGCTGCCAGGATTCAAATCCAGGTTCCACCTTTATTAACCAGGTAGCTCAAGTAGAGGACTTACCTTCCACCACCCTCCATTTTGCATCTATAAGGGGCTTACAAGAGAACCTACCTCACAGGGGTTTATGAGGATTAAATGAGTTCTTCCATGTCAAACACTTAGCACAGTGCCTGGCACAGACTTGGATAAATGGGGGCTATGATTACTATTCCCATGTAGGCAATAAATGACTACTTTCTCTCCTGTCCTTCCCAACCAGCTGGAGACCCCAGAGGTGAAGGCCCTGCAGGACAGGCTGGTGGCCACCAACTTGAAGATGAGTGACCTCCGAAACCAGATCCAGTCTGTGAAGCAGGAGCTGCGGATGGCACAGAAGGTCTTTCAGAGCCAGGGCTTGGGGCTTCTTGTGTGGCTGGGGCTGGACTTGGGAAGAGCACGGCTGGCACAGTGGATTCCTTTCTGGAGCCATGAGTGCTCAGTCCCTTGAGCACACTGCTTGCTCTGGGTCAGGCTCCAGTTCCAGTCCTTCCTCCCACCAGCCCTTGGTCCATAACCATTTGGTGGGCAGAGTCGCTGGCTACCTGAGCCTGCCACCCCCACCCCCGCAGCATACCTGCCCTTGTGGTGCCTGCCCAGCTCTAGACTGAGGAGGACAGCACTGTCCACCCAGGGAGAGTCCATTAAGCCTTCCCTGCACTACTTGTGCCCCAGTAGATCCTGGGTCTCCCCTTAATGTCACCCTTACTTAACTTGAAAGCCTGCCAACACCTGCCTTCTTCTCTGCTATCTGTAACAGAAAATGAATAGGTTACTTGTGTATTAAAGGACCCTTTCAAAGGAAAATGCTCAGACTTGGGACACAGGCCCAGCTGGTTCGTTATTTATTTTTATTTACATAGCGAATTCTCTGGCATTTGTCTTCCCTGCTGGAACCACTCAGACTGGCCAAGATTTCCAAAACAGTGTTCTATTGTGGAAACAAGTGCCAGAGACTTGGTACGCTGGATCGGGTTTCTGTGACAGGCTTCAGAGGGGCCCAGGTCACAAGCTGGAGCGTATTGTTTCTGCCTCAAAGCCTTGAGGTTGGGCCTGAGTGCTGCACTTCAACAACCGCAAAGCTGGGTCCTTCTTGGACCACAGCACCCCAACTGACATTCAGTAGCCCACCTTTTGCTGCACTCAGAGGTCCACTTGTCCGTGGGTTTTCACAAAGGCTAGGGTCCTGTGGTGATGTACTTCCTATAGCCAGAATTAGCTCAGCACTAGGTGACAGGTGAGTGGGTTAAGGAAGCAGGAGTTGGTCAGCTTTGTGGTTCAGTCATCCCAGAATATGTCAAGAGCAAGGGGCCCTATCTGGGCATTGCTGGCAGTTTCTTGGCTGCTCTAAGCATTGCCAAGAAATGCCAGGGATGATGGGTTTACTACTTTCCCAGGGAGAGCTGCCCTTGGGACATGGAAAACTGACCTTTGAGGGCTATGCTCTGAGATGGGAAGAAGATCGTGTAGGTGAAGACTGCTTCTGAATATGCTTCTAAATACGTAGCAGCATCAGGGTCTGGTGGAGCCCTCTCTTTTGGCCACATTGAAGGCCCTGCCTTATTTCAGGTTTTGGCCAGAGAGGTTGGGGAAGACATCAACGTTCAGCAGCTCCTATCTTCGCCAGGGACCTGGAGGGGTCGGGCTCAACAAATTCTTGTTTTGCAGAGCAAGGTGAGTGAGTCATCAGACTTCTCCTGGCCTGAACAAAGGATTTAAAACACCCCAGAAAGAGCTGCCCTGACCCCCTTAGAGACCTAAGCACACAGTACCCAAAAAAGGCCTTTAGGTCTCACAGTGCACTCGTGCGGGGTTGTTGTTTTACCTTCTCGCCAACCAGCCTGATTTTAATTTGTTATTTAATGAACAAGCTCTTATATAACACTTAGCACATGCCAGGCACTGGAGCTTAACAAATGCCAACGCCTTTGGTTTGATTTATTTTACTCCAGGCATCTTTTTTTTTTCTTAGTTTATGTAGATTTGCGTGACTGTTGTAATTGTAAGCTTTTTCCAGTTTTGTCCAGATGCTTGTAGTCTTTTGAAAGTTTAATTACCCAATAAAAATTTAGCCTTGTCTCCCTCTTTATTGTCTGAATATTTTGGAGCATACCAAAAGCAGCTAACAGCAGGGGCTCTGGAGCCACACTGCTCAGATTCAAATCCCAGCTCTCCACTCACCAGCTGTGTGACCTTAAGCAAGTTCCTTTAGCTCTGTGCCTCAGTTTCCTCATCTGTATAATGGGGATAATAACGATGCCTACCCCACAGGATTGTTGGGAGAATTGAGTCAATACTTGTAAAATGCTCAGCACAGGGCCTGGCATGGAGGAAGCACTGTATAAAAGTTAGGTGTGGTTCTTTTCCCTTTGTCCCTTCAAACTGAGAAACATGTGAGAAGGTGTATGACTTCCACCATTTGCCAAGCATATCACCCTTGTTCCCAGGGACTTCGAGGGTCACAGTGGCTTTTATCTTCAGTGTCTCCCATGGGATCCTTGAAGCCAATATAAAGGGGGAAAAACTCCAAGAAGCTAATAGATGATAGTGCATGGCCTTGGGGTTCAAGAGACCTGAGTTTACGTTTGGCCACCGGTCTGCCAACTCTGACCTTGGGCAAACCCCTTCATCTTCCTATGTCTTCATCTTCACACCTGTGAAATGGGGTAACATAAAATAACATTTGTAAAGCACCTAGGACAGTGCCTGACCATAATAAGCACAAAACAACTTACTTCTTATTGTCATTAAGTTACATGTCAAATTCTTTTTTTTTTTTTTTTTTTTTTTTTGAGACGGAGTCTCGCTCTATCACCCAGGCTGGAGTGCAGTGGTGCGATCTCGGCTCACTGCAAGCTCCGCCTCCCGGGTTCACGCCATTCTCCTGCCTCAGCCTCCTGAGTAGCTGAGACTACATTTGCCCGCCACCACGCCCGGCTAATTTTTTGTATTTTTAGTAGAGACGAGGTTTCACTGTGTTAGCCAGGATGGTCTCGATCTCCTGACCTCGTGATCCGCCCACCTCGGCTTGCCAAAGTGCTGGGATTACAGGCATGAGCCACCACGCCCGGCCCTGTATGTCAAATTCTTAAAGGTAACAGTATTCTTTAATGATTAAATGGAATTGCCTCACAGCGCCACACGAGGGCACTGGTGGGTGCCTTCAAAGCTGTGCTCCTGCCCTTTGCCAGGGAGCCTAGCGAATTGTGCTTCCTTTCCTGGCTCAAGTTTACCAACATTGTTTTGTCATTTGGTTGTGTTGATAGGGAAACCAGGGTCAGAAGGACCCTAGGAGTTGTCTGCTTCTACCCTAGCGTTATAAGGGTGATAAGGGCATTGTTCTGTGGGATGACATCTACCTGCCACTTGCTGAAGGCCCACATGTGCCAGGCTGTGTTGACAGCTTCACCTAGACCATCTTGGGATTTTGCAAAGTTACCTAATCCTAAAAATAACCTGTAGCATTTAAAATGCAGATTCCATGTCCCTTCCGCTAGAACTGTAGTTTGTTGATCTGGAGTAAGCACCAAGATTTCAGTCCAAGAAGAACCTCAGAGGATTCCCAGGCTCAGACAACTTCACAATACTGAATCCTCATAACAGTGTTACGCAGGGCAGTGTTACTCTTAGGCCCATCTTACAGATGAGGGAACTGAGATTCAGAGAGTTACCTGTGCGCAGTCACACAATCTGTGAGGCTTTGAGGCAGTCTGTTTCCAAACCCTGCCTTCCCCTCTTCAGTATCTCCTGTAAGTGACTGCCATCTTCCGAGAAGCCCACCCAGTCTTAGGTGGTCTGTCTGTTAGAAAGTTCCTCCTTGCCCAGCACTTTGGGAGGCTGAGGTGGGCAGATCTCTCGAGCCCAGGAGTTCAAGTTCAAGACCAGCCTGGGCAACATGGTGAAACCCCGTCTCTACCAAATTTTATATATATATATATTTATATTTATATATTTATGTGTGTGTGTGTATATGTGTATATATATATGTGTGTGTGTATATATATATATAAAATTATCCAGGCACAGTTGCCTGTGCCTGTGGTCCCAGCTGCTTAGGAGGCTGAGCTGGGAGGATTGCTTGAGCCCGGGAGGCAGAGGTTACAGTGAGCCATGATTGCACCACTGCACTCCAGTCGGGGCAACAGAGCAAGACCCTGTCTCTAAAATAAATAAATAAATAAATAAATAAATAAATAAATAAATAAATAAATATTCTTTCTTGAACTGAGACCTGCCATCCTATCCATCCCTGGTTCCTGGGGCCATAGGTCTGCTTTCCAGCCTCAAACAGCCCCTCAGAGATAGGGTGATTTTTCTCATTCACCATTTTTCTAAGCTGAACTTTCCTGGTGTCTTCCAATGTGTTGCTCAAGATGCCAGCTCAGATTGTCCCCCACCCCTAGTCCTCCTCAGATGGGGCTACCACAGCCATCTAGAGAGGTGGTTCCATCTTCAGTCTGTGGGGTCTCCTATCACACTTCTGAGTAGAAGAGGCTGGCAGAAGACCCATTGTGGAACGACGAGTTTTACCATCCTCAGGTTCAAGAGCTTGAGAAGCAATTGGGCCAGGCCCGGAGCCAGTCTGCGGGAACAGCCAGTGATGAGTTGTCTGTCTATCCAGACCCAAGGAAGCTGTCGGCACAGGAGAAAAACCTGCTGAGGATCCGCAGCCTGGAAAGGGAAAAACAGGAAGGCTTGGAGGTAACGCGTGCCTGAGGAGGTCAGCTGGGCATGTGGGAACGAGAGATCATGATGGTGCCTGCAAGGGCTCTGAGGCACATGTGGTCAGAAGTCTGAGCCACCCCTTCTAGGCAGGAGACACCTGGGGACCTGGGTCACCTCTGCATGTTCCTCATGTCCTGTCAAACCAACTTGAGCTGCCTGACTGGGACCTCACTGTGAGCCCATTTAATGAACTTTTCGTGGCCCCATCCTGGCTGTTTTGGAGGTGCTATACCTGAAATTCTCATTGTAAAAGGGAGAGGGGGAGGGTCATGGCCCCAGAAGTATGATAGGGTTAGATGGGGCTTAAAGGGGGAAAGTTCCAGGCTGATGAAAGAGGTAGGCAGGCTGGACTCAACACCAGGGGCCGCATCTCACTGGCTGCGTTGGGAGTGTCAGAACTCTAACTCTACCAGGTTTAAGCAACAAAGGGAAGTCATTGGCCCATGTAAACGAACAATCCAGAGGTGGCCTAGCTTCAGGTGCAGATCGGGGCCTTGCTCTCAGCACCTTCTCCTGGGTTGGCTTCACTCTCTTCCACAAGGACCCTGGGTAGTCCCAGCTTCTCTCCTCCAATGCAGCCTCTACAGACAAAGGGTTTCTCTTTCCCAATAGTTCCAACAAAGTCCCAGAATTGAGTGTCTTTGGTCTAGCCTGGGTTATGTGACCATCCTTGAGCCCATCACTGTAGCCAAGAGTACAGGGTGTTTTGATTGGTCAAGCTTCAGACACCTGCCCCAAGGTTTGAGGGGATGAGTTAGCCTCCCCAAACTTGCAATGAGAGTAGGGAGTAGGGGCCACTTTAAAGAAGGTAACAGAAGCAGCATGAAGAGGTGCAGGCAGGCCATACAACAGGCCCACGTAGTGGCCCTGGCAGTGAGCTACCTAACAGTGAGGACTTGCCTTTTCATCTGGAGACTTTTGCCTGTGAGCACCAACGCTGGGTTAGGCCCTGTGTTAGGAATGCTGTAACCATGACCACATTGCACCTCCCAGCGCTGTAGACCATCAGCTGTGAGGAGGGAAACAGTGAGACCACAGAAGTGGACAGGGCCTGCTGGGCTTTGTATGCCAGCCAGGACTTTTGGCCTGTATCTTGAAGGCTGTGGAGAACCACCAAACGGTTTTTGTTTTTTTTTAGATAGAGTCTCGCTCTGTTGCCCAGGCTGGAGTGCAATGGTGTGATCTTGGCTTACTGCAACCTCCGCCTCCGGGGTTCAAGTGATTCTCCTGCCTCAGCCTCCCAAGTAGCTGGGATTACAGGCACCTGCCACCATGCCCGGCTAATTTTTATATATTTAGTAGAGACAGGGTTTCACTGTGTTGGTCAGGCTGGTCTCAAATTCCTAACGTCAGGTGATCCACCTGCCTCGGCCTCACAAAGTGCTGGGATTACAGGTGTGAGCCATTCGCCGAGCCCACGACAGGGTTTTAATTTGTGGAGGGAGGTGGTCAGCTGTGCATTTTGGAAAGGTCACATGGTTGGAGCAAGAGGAGGAATGGGTTGGAAGAGGAATGGAAGGCAGAATAGTAATCCTGGAGACATGACCAAAGATCTTTGCCAAGATAGTGGACTGTCATGGAAGGGCCAGACACCTGGGACAGTGAGGACAGACTTTCTAGGGCTCAAGGACTGATTGGACTTGGAAGAGAGATGAGGAGGAAGAGTTATAAAGGACTTCTAGGGAGTATAGTGGGTGGGTAAGGGAGACAGGGTGGGTTCAAGAAGAGAAAGGGAGTTGAGATTTGGAAATGCTGGGTTTGAAATGCACCTAGCTTGAACTTACATGTTAGTGCAGAACAGATTATGTTGAACAGTTGGGCTGACCATAAGCTGCAATAGCGGGTGGAAGGAAACAGCTTCCTGCATGCATTCCCTCTGGCAGGCACCCATAAGAGCCTGGAGTGTGTAGGCAGGAGAGCAACAGGTGAGTAATGGCTGCCTCCCTGCAAAGGGCTTGTGTCCTATAGATTCATGTTTTACTTGTTTTGCATTTCTATAATTCACTTCATCAAGGATATGAAAATACTTTTCCAGCAACAATTCACCCTCAGGATCAAGCAGGTGATGTCACCCACTGCCCAAGCTCCTCCCCAATGTCTCCATCTTGTCTTTATGGGTTTGCCTAATCTAACCTCTGCCCCTTCACTCACTGTGCTCCAGCCACACACCTTCTACCCCAGGGCCTTTGCTCTTCCCTTCATCTCCTTCAGTCTCTGCTCAGATGCCACCTTTTCAGAAAGGCCTTACCTGACCATATCCTTCTCGCTATTCCTGTTTCCTACTTTCAAATTAGCATTTGTCACTATTTGACATTATCTGTCTCCTCCATTAGGATTATCAGCTCCTTGAGGACAAGGACTGTTTTGCTTTTTGCTGTCCCCCAGCATCTATAACAATACTAAGCCCATAGTAGGCCCTCAGGAAACCATAGTAGGAAACCTCAGGAAACCCATAGTAGGCCCTCAGGAAACCCTCGAGAATGAAGGGATGATTGAATGAGAGACTCCGAAGATGTGTGCTGCATGTGAGTTTCCAGTTGGTAGCTGACAAAGCAAGGTGCTGTCAGGGGTTGTGCCAAATAATCATGGAGGAAGTGGGAGAAAAGACCCTCCTTTCTCATTCTAGCTCCTGGTGGTGCAAGGTGCTGCAGTTGGAACCTAGCCCAGCACTCTTTTTCTAAAGTATGGCTTTTCTCTTTTCCCCTGCTTGGGGAGGGGCTTAGGGGTAGGACTGGCTGTGCTCTCTGGAGGACACACGCAGTTGGCTGGCGGCTTTCCTCTCATGTGCTAGGAAGTCTGTGTCTCAGGCTGAGGTTAGGAGTGCTGTCATGGGTTAGTGCTGTCATGTGCTAGGGGAAGGGTGGGAGGCTGCTGGCCACCTGATATCCCTGAGAGGCCTGGGCTGGGAGTCAGGGCCCTGGCTCTAGTGACTTGCTCTGTGGCATTCAACAAGCACCCCCACCCCCAGCCCCGGGCCTTGCCATTGAGTAGGAGCCAGGGAGCAGATGTGGCCAAGGTCCCACACAGCCCTGCTGCCCATGCCCTCACTTTCTAATTACAGAAACTTGCCAGTGAACGGGATGTCCTCCAGAGAGAGCTTGAAGAGCTAAAAAAGAAGTTCGAGGGCATGAGGTCTCGGAACAAGCTGCTGTCAAGTGAGATGAAGACCCTCAAGAGTCAGATGGGAACCCTGGTGGAGAAGGGCCGGCATGATGACGAGCTCATCGACGCCCTCATGGTATGGCCCCACCACTCAGGCAGGGCGAGAGCCAGGGGTGGTTCCTCAAAGGATGGGCCCCAGCCATGGCCAGAGTGAGCCCTCACTCACCCCTCAATGCCACCTGTGTAACCCCAAAGCCCGTTGCCTCCAGATGGCCCCCAGTACCAAAGCCCTGCCCCAGGGACAGGAGCAGCTCAGGGAGGCTGCCTGAGGGCAGGTAGGGGGCTGTGATGGAGCAGCACCAGGCACAAGGCACTGGGCCTATGGACCCCAAAAGAGACAGAAATGTATTGGGGGAAGGAGGTGGGATTATACCCTGGGTTATTTTTCAGCAAGGAATGAAAGGGACAAGAGGAGCCAGTACCAGTTCTTATCTCTGCAGTGGCACAGAACCCTTCCTCTTCTGGGCATGTTATAATGCTTAGTCCCTAAGATAACTTCTAGGATCATATATTTTAATCCCACTTCACAGATGGGGAAACTAAGACTCAAATTCATTAGATAACTCATCTAAGACCATACAACTGAGTTCAAAGCAGGTTTATCTGACTATAAAAACTTCCTGGATTAAACGTATCTCAAAATAATAAGAGCTATTTATGACAAACCCACAGCCAATATCATACTGAATGGGCAAAAACTGGAAGCATTCCCTTTGAAAACCAGCACAGGACAAGGATGCCCTCTCTCACCACTCCTATTCAACATAGTGTTGGAAGTTCTGGCCAGGGCGATCAGGCAAGAGAAAGAAATAAAGGGTATTCAAATAGGAAATGAGGAAGTCAAATTGTTCCTGTTTGCAGATGACATGATTGTATATTTAGAAAACCCCATCATCTCAGCCCAAAATCTCCTTAAGCTGATAAGCAACTTCAGGAGTCTCAGGATACAAAATCAATGTGCAAAAATCCCAAGCATTCCTATACACCAGTAACAGACAAACAGAGAGTCAAATCATGAGTGAACTCCCATTCACAACTGCTTCAAAGAGAATAAAATACCTAGGAATCCAACTTAAAAGGGATGTGAAGAACCTCTTCAAGAAGAACTACAAACCACTGCTCAATGAAATAAAAGAGGACACAAACAAATGGAAGAATATTCCATGCTCATGGGTAGGAAGAGTCAATATCATGAAAATGGCCATACTGCCCAAAGTAATTTATAGATTCAGTGCCATCCCCATCAAGCTACCAATGACTTTCTTCACAGAATTGGAAAAAACTACTTTAAAGTTCATATGGAATCAAAAAAGAGCCCACATTGCCAAGACAATCCTAAGCAAAAAGAACAAAGCTGGAGGGATCATAGTACCTGACTTCAAACTATACTACAAGGCTACAGTAACCAAAACAGCATGGTACTGGTACCAAAACAGATATATAGACCAATGGAACAGAACAGAGGCCTCAGAAATAACACCACACATCTACAACCATCTGATCTTTGACAAACCTGACAAAAACAAGAAATGGGGGAAGGATTCCCTATTTAATAAGTGGTGCTGGGAAAACTGGCTAGCCATATGTAGAAAGCTGAAACTGGATCCCTTCCTTACACCTTATACAAAAATTAATTCAAGATGGATTAAAGATTTAAATGTTAGACCTAAGACCATAAAAACCCTAGAAGAAAAGCTAGGAAATACCATTCAGGACATAGGCATGGGCAAGGACTTCATGACTAAAACACCAAAAGCAATGGCAGCAAAAGCCAAAATAGACAAATGGGATCTAATTAAACTAAAGAGCTTCTGCATGGCAAAAGAAACTACCATCAGAGTGAACAGGCAACCTAAAGAATGGGATAAAATTTTTGCAATCTACCCATCTGACAAAGGGCTAATATCCAGAATCTACAAAGAACTCAAACAAATTTACAAGAAAAAAACAACCCCATCAAAAAGTGGGCGAAGGATATGAACAGACGCTTCTCAAAAGAAGACATCTGTGCAGCCAACAGACACTTGAAAAAATGCTCATCATCACTGGCCATCAGAGAAATGCAAATCAAAACCACAATGAGATACCATCTCACACCAGTTAGAAGGGCAATCATTAAAAAGTCAGGAAACAACAGGTGCTGGAGAGGATGTGGAGAAATAGGAATGCTTTTACACTGTTGGTGGGACTGTGAATTAGTTCAACCATTGTGGAAGACAGTGTGGCGATTCCTCAAGGATCTAGAACTAGAAATACCATTTGATCCAGCAATCCCATTACTGGGTATATACCCAAAGGATTATAAATCATGCTACTATAAAGACGCATGCACACGTATGTTTACTGCGGCACTATCCACAATAGCAAAGACTTGGAACCAACCCAAATGTCCATCAGTAATAGACTGGATTAAGAAAATGTGGCACATGTACACCAT